>NC_000001.11:110159895-110462925 GCF_000001405.40 Homo sapiens | reverse complement strand
GTTTGGGTTAATGTCAAATCGTTCTCTTCAGCCTACAAAACAAATATTAAATGAACATTTTTTAAAATATCCATTTGAAGGAATATCAAGTCACAGTCCAGCCCAGAACACCCACCCTCCTCACTCCTGATGTGCCCCAGGGCTTGAGGATCTCCTGGGTCCCTGGAAGCACCAAAACTCAGAAACTGTGAGCCCCGGCCCCTTCCTGACCTCATCTTTTCGATTCTACAAACCGAAGTTGTAGAGCTATTTTTTTTTCTTTTTTACTTTTTGGATTTTAGTATTTTTAAAACAGCTTTATGGTGATATAATTTACATACCAGACCATTCACCCATTTAAAATATACATTTCAAATAATTTTTAGGATACTCACAGAGTTGTGCCACCATGCCTACTAACTAATTTTGAACATTCTTATGGCTCCAAAAAGAACATTAACAGTCACCGCCTATTTTCCTACCTGCAGCCCACCCCAGCCCTGGGCAACAGCTAATCTACTTTCTGTCTCTACAGAGTTACCTATTCAGGACATTTCCCATAAATAGAATTATACAAGATGTGGCCTTCTGTGACTGGCTCTTTCACCCAGCATGATGTTTTCAAGGTTCCTCCATGTTATGGTGTATATCAATACTTCATTCTTTTTCATGGCTGCATAATACTCCATTGTGTGGATATAGTGTGTTTTATTCATTCACTTGTCATTCGATGGAGAAAACCTGTTTGTTTAACAATGGCTCTTATTGTTTTCCTTTCCAGCTCCCAATCAGAACAGGTGTCCCCAAAGATACCCAGACAGAGAATGTGCCCCCAGGCCACCTTGTGCTTCCTTCCCCCACTGGTAGAATCTGATTTTTTGACAACCCAGGCGAATCCTCAAGGTTGACTCTTGGGCTAGACTCACAGGTCAAGGCCGACTACTGGGCCAGGCGCAGTGGCTCACACCTGTAATCCCAGTGCTTTGGGAGGCCAAGGCAGGAGGAATGCTTGAGACCTGGAGTTTGAGACCAGCCTGGGCAGTATATGGGTCACATTTTCAAGTAGCAATTTCTGGAACTCAGTGATTGTCACTGTCAAGGGTATGAAGAAGTAGGAATGCTGCTGTGGTCTGAATGTCCCCCTGAATTTATGTGTTGAAATTTAACCACCCATGCAATAATATTAAGAGGTGGAGCCTTGCGGGTGATTAGGTCAGAATAGGATCTGCCCTTGTGAATGGGATTAGTGCCCTAATAAAAGGGCTCCAGGGAACTAGCCAGCCCCTTTTGCCCTTCTACCTTCTGCCATATGAGGATAAAAAGAAAGCCTTGAGCAGACACTGAATCTGCTGGTGCCTTGATCTTGGACTTCTCAGCCTCCAGAATTATGAGAAATACATTTCTGTTCTTCATAAATTACTCGGTCACAGGTATTTTGTTATAGCAGCAGAAACGGAGTAAGACAAACATCAAGTGTTGCCCTCCATAGCTCGAGGGTCTTGGCCCCACCTCAGCCCCTGCCCAAGCACAGCCACCCTAGACAAAACACACACTCTAAGTAAAATCCAGCTGTCATTCGTCCTGCAAATTCAACTCTGAAGCAGGTCCCCAACCTCGGAGCCTCTGCTGAGCTGACCTTTCCCTTTGGCTTTGGGAGGCTTCCTGCTCCTCCTTGGGTCTCACCTCTGGCCACTGCCTCCTGGGGCCTCAGAAGGGGATCACTGGACAGGAGGAACAGCAGTCAGCATGCACTCACCTGTGCCTGCTCAGTCATCAGCCAGTTGGCATTCTATGGACTACACTGTCCCATGTTCACTGTTAAATATTCAGGTGGAGCTGGATTTAGCAGCAGATTTCCACTTAATCTCCTTTGAGTGTTTCAGGCCCTCAGGAGAGCTCCCAGGATAACTGCTCTGGCGGCTGCCCTCCTCTCAGTCTGTGTCTAGCCCTTCCTCCTTGGTGGCGAGGGCTCCAGGCTCTAGCCCACCCCGGCCTCCCTCTGGATACCAGGGAGAGGGTGGAAGCCTTGACCAAGGTGAATGACAGAAATGCAGATTTGGGGAGGGGATCGAATGATGAAAAATCCTCAGAGAGGCAGCTCTTGCCGTTCATGCTGTGTCCCAAGGATACACAAATGAAGGAAGGGGACACTCAATAGTGTTATTCCGACCCCTGCCCACCTCCACTTTCTCGATCCTTGAGAAGCTGTGAGAGGGGATGCCCTCAGCCTTTCCTAAAATCCCAGCAGGAAGAGGACAGCAGCTCCGAAAAAAGAAGTTTCCAGGATGGCACAGGGCCCAAGTAGCAATTAAGCATTTTTCGTGTGGTCCATAGGGTGGCAGACTTCTTTCCACAAACAGAAGTGCCGTCCCTCTAAACCTGTTACTGAGACTAATGTTTGAGGATAGCTGCAGAATGGTCCCTATCTGCTTTGAGGAGTGGCCTCTGAGTCGCCCATCTTTTCCACTTCAGCTCCCCTGTGCTGTCCCCACTTCAACCACTAGATGGTAGCAGACACCACCAGTTGGTGAGGAAAGTGTTGGTGCAAAATAGGAGGTAAAGGCTGCAATTGAAGGCTCCTCCCTATCTTGAAGCTATGTCAGTTTCATCTGTTTCTAATTTAATTTAATTGCATCTAATTCATTTTTCTTATAGGTACATTCTTATAAGTAAATTATTTTTATATTTATGAAGAACATATTCCTGAATATAAAGAATACTCACAAATGTATTCTTCTTAACCCCCCGAGCCTCTCCTTTCTCCGCCCTTTTGTCTTCAGTAATAGGAATGGGGACCAATTCTACATTCCTCAAAATTCGGATAATAAGAAATGAGAATGGTCTCTACAAAAATAAAAATAAAAATTAGGCAGGCTTGGCCAGGTACAGTGGCTCATGCCTATAATCCCAGCGCTTTGGGAGTCCGAGGCAGGCAGATCACTTGAGGCCAGGAGTTCAAGACCAGCCTGGACAACATGGCTAAACCCCATCTCTACTAAAAATACAAAAATTAGCTAGGCATGGTGGTGTGTGCCTGTAATCTCAGCTACTTGGGAGGCTGAGGCACGAGAATCACTGGAGCTCAGGAGACAGAGGCTGCAATGAGCTGAGATCGTGCCACTGCACTCCAGCCTGGGCAAGAGCGAGACTCTGTCTCAAGAAAAAAAAAAAATTAGCCAGGCTTGCTGGCACAAAGCTATGATCCTAGCCACTCAGAAGCCTGAGGCCAGAGGATCGCTTGAACCCAGGACATCAAGGCTGCAGTGAGCTATAACCGTGCCACTGCACTGTAGCCTGGGTGACAGAGAAAGACCCTGTCTCAAAAAAAAGAAAATGCATTGATTCTTAACCTTTCCAGTGGGTATGACATACAATTCCAAACTGCATATCAGGATTTGCATAACGGGCCAGGTGCAGTGGCTCACGCCTGTAATCCCCTTGGGAGGACAAGGCAGAAGGATTGCTTGAGCCCAGGAGTTTGAAACCAGCCTGGGCAGCATAGTGAGACCCCCCTCTCTACAAAAAAAAAGAAAAATTAGCCAGGCATAGTGGCACATGCTTGTAGTCCCAGCTACTTAGGAGGCTGAGGTGGGAGGATCGTTTGAGCCCAGGAGTTCAAGCCTGCAGTGATCTATGATCATGCTCCTGTACTCCAGCCTGAATGACAGAAAGAGACACTCTCTCTCTCTCTTTTTTTTTTTTTTTTTTTTTTTTGAGACGGAGTCTCGCTCTGTAGCCCAGGCTGGAGTGCAGTGGCGCAATCTCGACTCACTGCAAGCTCCGCCTTCCGGGTTCACGCCATTCTCCTGCATCAGCCTCCCGAGTAGCTGGGACTACAGGCACCTGCCACCACACCTGGCTAATTTTTTGTATTTTTAGTAGAGACGGGGTTTCACCGTGTTAGCCAGGATGGTCTCGATCTCCTGACCTCGTGATCCACCCGCCTCGGCCTACCAAAGTGCTGGGATTACAGGCGTGAGCCACCGCGCCCGGCCCCCTCTCTCTCTTAAAAAACAGAAAAGAAAATATGAAAATGGGTCCAATTAGTAGGTTGGTGCAAAAGTAATTGTGGTTTTCCACTACTTTTAATGGCAAAACTGCAATTACTTTTGCACCACCCTAACAGATTACACAGCAGCAACTGGCATATTAGTGAGCACCACGGGGTGTCCTGGTGCCTGCAGCCACCTTAGCCTGCCCTCCGCTGCTCTGAGACAAGAACTTGCCTCATCCAGGATGGCTCTGCTTGCAGGGAGGGTCACAATTTAGAAAGGGCTCCACAAAAGTCCACCAGGCAGCAGTCAATGGTACCTCGAGAAAAGCTATGAATGTCAAAGGACAAGCCATGGTCAAAATGGAATCCTGGACGTGGAAGGGAACTTTATATCCAGGACCTGAGCCTGAAACCAAGGGAGAAAGCGACTCAAGGGCTGCAAGAAGGTCCCAAGTCACCACAGCAGGTGACAATGTCCGTAAAAGGAGACAAAAACAAAAACAAAAACAAACAAAGAAAGGACCCTGTGGGGGCCTGGCCTGGCTTAAGTGGGTCCTGGAGTAAAGACTGTCCTGGGCCGGGCGCGGTGGCTCACGCCTGTAATCCCAGCACTTTGGGAGGCCGAGGCGGGCGGATCACGAGGTCAGGAGATCGAGACCATCCCGGCTAAAACGGTGAAACCCCGTCTCTACTAAAAATACAAAAAATTAGCCGGGCGTAGTGGCGGGCGCCTGTAGTCCCAGCTACTTGGGAGGCTGAGGCAGGAGAATGGCGTGAACCCGGGAGGCGGAGCTTGCAGTGAGCCGAGATCCCGCCACTGCACTCCAGCCTGGGGGACAGAGCGAGACTCCGTCTCAAAAAAAAAAAAAAAAAAAAAAAAAAAAAAAAAAAAAAAAAAAAAAAAAAAAAAAAAGACTGTCCTGGGCATCCCCTGAGCAGGGAGAGTTGATGGATGGAGAACACACGCAGAGCCAGCCCTCCAGGCCTCAGCCACCATAGTCTTCCTGGAGGCTTCTAAGAAATAGAATGGAACACGATGTGCTTTCCTATTGTATGTTACATTTTTCTGGACTAAAAATTGAGGAGCAGAGGAGACAGCGAGACCAGGAAGCTACATTTAGAGGAGGCTCCCAGCCTCTGGGTTAAGATGGAGGGCTCACATCCTTGCCAGCTCCATCAGTAATGTGGATTTCTTCACTCCAGGCACACAGTGGCCTGGTGGGGTCAAATATTTAACCTAAAACAAATGGGACCAAATTTCAAAAATGAGAGTTGCAGCTGGTCCCTGCTAAGCAATCTCAGCAATGGAATCTTTCCAGCCCATGTCAGCTCACAGCCCCTTCCTGCCCCCAACCCTTCTGAGCAGCGTACCACCTGCCCAGAGCCCACGAGGCTGCCTCTTATCCTTTCTTCAAAAAGACCCTGAAATCCACTCTCTCCGAAAAAGAGACCCTGGCCGGGTTGGGGAAGGGAGGAACACCAGTCACACCCCTCCCCAACCTGGACACAACCTGGTCCTTGCCTTCCTCCCCAGGTTGCCACAGAGGCATAGGCCCTGGCTGAAACCGACAGCAGGAATACCACACCACACATCTCAGTTCAGTTGGTGCTTTTATTCTAAAGCCAGCAGGTTGGTGTGTAGTTGCCTCCCTGGTCTGAATCAGTGCCCCTTTCAGCCCCTGCCCTGCTCCCTGTCCCTTGCTCCCACCCCAATCTGGACAGAGGACTGCCCTCCTCAAAGTCACCAACCTGCTCTCAGGGCTGATCCTTGGAAAGGAGTTGTTTAAGGAAACACCCTAATTGCCTTCTAATATGTCAATATCAGATTAGATTGAACCACCACCATTTGCATTTTAATGGAAAAGCTGTGGGAATTGGGGGCTTCAGTGGTTAACTGGTAAAGTGTGGTAAGAGGGGGCCTCAGAGGCATGACAATTCTGGCAGAAGGTCACAGGTCACAGGCCACAAGCCACAGGCTGACTGGGACCAGAGTCTTCAGGGGGCTGATTGGCCTCCCTGGGCTCCCTACACCTGCCTTGGGGTGACTGTCTGCTGCCCTCTGGGAAGAGCCAATCTTGAGTCTGTGGTCTGAAACTAAGGAGTTAACCAATCGAGGGAAGATGAACTACCCACAAATTGGTCCTCACAGACCTCACGTGAAGGGCCTGAGGGTCAGGCCAGGACCTGGGACTCTGAGCAATGCACCCAAGAGCCTGTGCCCAGGAATGTCTAATTCAGACCGAGGGATACATGTGGGGAGAGGGGCAGGGCCCAGGAAAGAGAGCAGGTCACCTGGGGAGGGGAGGGGGAATGTCCTTTCTGCCATTTACCACCTCTCTGGCAGCCTGAGCAGGGAAGAGAACCAGGCTGGCCACCTTTCACACCACAGCCTCAAGCTGTGACATCCTCAGGCCAGCCTGGGGACCATGTCATGATGGGAGGTATGTCTGCCTGTGTGCATATGTGCGTACTAGACAAGAGAGATCAGGGTAGTCAGTGTAGGGACTGGGAGAGTCATGGGAGCTGGGTTTCATGGCAGAAATAAAAATCCAGGCTGTGCTCAGGAAAAGGATGGTGGGTATCCTGAGACCAGGCAAGCGCCTAAAAATTGATGTTCTTCAAGTCCATGGAGCAGCGGTACCTGCCGTCCGGGAACCTGGAGCACAGCAGGTTGGGCAAGCAAGGACAGGTGTGGTGCTTGCGTTTCCTGAAGAAGGGGACCTAAGGAGAGAAGAAATCAACACCTTCACCAAAGGGAGGTAGGTGGGCCTCCTGGCAGCAGTCTCTGCTCAGCCCAGCACTGGCAAAAGTCTCACCCCCACACCCTAGCCCACTTCTCCACTGCACCTAGCACAACAATAATAGCAATTAGAGATGAGGAAACCGAGGTACGGTGTGGCTAAGCAATACGCCAAGATCACACAGCTAATTTGTGGAGGAGCTAGGATTTGCACCCAGGCTACCTGGCTCTGGAGACTCAGCACACATGTGCCTGCACACACACACACACACGCACACACATGTCCATTGATTGAATGTTTGTTGCTCATCCATTATGGGCTCAAAACCATGGTGGGTGCTGCAAGTGCAGCCGTGAATAGGACAGCCACCATCTCTGCCCTGACTCACACCCTAGAGGAGTGCTAAACCAATGGGGTATCCTCAGGGAGAAGTTAGGAGCATGGGCCCATTGTCAGACTGCCTGGGTTCAAATCCCAGGTCTACCGCTTCCCAGCTGTGTGATAATCAGCAAATCATTTGGCCTCTCTGTGCCTCAGCTTTATCATTTGTAAAATGGTTTAATAATAGCACCTACCACATGTGGTTATAAAGAGGTTAAAATAACAAAAAGCACCCAGTATGAAGGGTGGCATACAGGAAGCACTCAGCATTAGTTTTTTTATCACTGTTGTCTGTATTGGGAATATGGATCTGGAGCTGAACCACCTCACATTCCCCAAGGTTACAAGGACTGCCACATTGTCCTGACTCGTTCACCACTCCCTAGCCCCTCTTCGTCCTGGGACAGGAGGTTGGACAGGGGCTGTGATTGGGAGAGAAACCGCTGGAGGACGCTCCGTGCCTAGAGATGAGCACCGAGCCGGGGTGCAGGCAAGTCCCCGAAGAGCAGGAAACATGCCTGAGTCCAGGTGGAAGACAGCTGGTAAGCCTGAAAGCCTGTGTTCAGGAATGTCTAATTCAGACAGAGGGGTACATGTAGGGAGAGGGGCAAGGCCCAGGGAGGAAAGCAAGTCACCTGAGAGCCTGTGGAAATGCCCTAATTGCCTTCTAATATGTCAATGTCAGACTAGATTGAACCACCACCATTTGCATTTTAATGAAAAAGCTGTGGGAATTGGGAGCTTCACTGGTTAACTGGTAAAGTGTGGTAAAGTGGCTCCAGAGAGGGAGAGCAGCAGGGATGCTGTGGCTCCAGAGGACTCTGGACTGGGAGCTGGAGGTCAAGGAGTGGGAGCAAGGCAGGAGCTATGTACTTAGGCCACAAGAGAGAGTGACTTCTTAAAGTGGGCACCTCACTTGCCTCACTGTAGGCCTGACCAGGTGTGGAAGGCGATTTTGTGGGTCTACTTTTGTGTCCCTGAAGGGAAGTTCTTACAGAGCAAAGGGCATGTGAGATCCTTCCCAAATCTGAATTCATCAGATCCATAAGGGACATTAGAGGTAGTGAGTTTGCTCCACTCATCATATAAGTGTGGCCTGAGAGCAGGTGAGGTAGTTTGCCCAAGTCCACACAGCAAATTAGGGGCTGGGAATGCCCAGCTTGTTTAACAGCCTATAAGATCAGTGGCACCCCTCCACCTGAGGCTGCCCCCCAAAAACAAGGAGGCAGTGCCCAACATCAGTGAGGTATGACTAGAGGTGGCATCGGAAAACTGCAGTTCCAGTCCCAGCTCTGTCTCATTGGTTGTGTGCCTTGAGCAAGTCACATGACTTTGCTGTATGTCAGTTTCCTCAGCATTGCCCAGGGTTGCAGTGAGGATCAAATAAAGATCAGTGGTTCTCCAACCTGTGCTAGAAGTTTGTAGATGAATTATGTCAGGCCCTGTACAAATAAATGTACAAATGTGTCATCTGCAGGGCACTAAGTAAGGTGGATGCCTGTTGATGGCAGGGGCACAGCAACCCCATAGCCTTCTGCTTCCCCTTGGACATTCAGGGGCTGGATCAGGGCTGGATCAGCTATCAGAGGAGGGTGAAGTCCTCTGGAGCCACAGCCTCCCTAGACTGCCTCTCTGGAGCCAGCCTCTCTAGCCTTCCTAGCTAGAGCAAGGCCCCAGGACATCACCCTCTGCTCCCCGCATGGCCCACCCACATATGTGCACCTATGCAGTGTCTGCAGAGTACCTTGTGGCTGCCGGGGTGGCACTCCTCGCCTTCCCGCCCCAGCGGGGTGCACATCCGCAGCCCTCGAAGCCACAGGCTGATGGCACAGCAGGTGCCTGCCCCACACTGGACATCCCGCTCACAGGCCTGTAGGAGGGAGAGAGAAGGGAACAGTTCATTAGTGCACCCAAGAGAAAGCAGAAGGGAAGGGTAGATCCAAAAAGCCCTTATCAGGATGGAGCAAGAAGAGGCTGAGAGTATCACCCCCGGCCTTAGCCTAACAGAACACCCTGGGCCACACTTTATTGCCTTGCTCCCCTCGTGGGGAGGCTCAGGGCTCAGGGGGGCATTGGATCTGGATCTGAGGAAACTTCCAAGCTCCTGGAGGCCACTCAGAAGGAAGACAGTCCTCCTTTTCTGACAAGGCTGGAGGTTAGAAGGCATAGCTTTTCTAGGGCTAAGTAGATGCTCAGTGGATGCTGGTGGAATTGAATTAATTAGAATTCTCAGAGGTGGGAGGGACCCTGATGGCCCAAATTCCTTGGTGGTCAGTACTGAGCTGCCTTGGACCAGGAGTCTCCAGCCCTGACTCTGCACTGTGGTCAGTCCCTCCCCTCTGCATGGAGGCACCCCCATCCTGGCCCTCAAGTGGCCCAGCCTCAGCAGAGGGGCCAGCACCCCAGTGAACAGGTGCCTCTCCCAGGGTTTCTCTACTGACTTCCATGATTCCCAGAGAGGATCGCAGAACAGGAGCTGAGCGGCCCTGCCTGGTTTGGGGAAGGTACCATTTGTAAAGAAGGCCACATTAAATAAGCTCACATTTAACATGAGCCCACGTTAAATAAAAGCCAGAGCCGGGGAAGACAGAACTCTTAACTGCTCCAGACTCAGGTGGGGACCTGCTGAAGAAGCATCCACACTTGCCATTCTCAGAGATGCTATGTGGCTTTTCTGAGCTGAAATGCAAAGCTGGGTTTTGGATCACTCTTCTCCAATAAAAGCCTATGGGCACCTTCAGGCTGCTGTGTGGGACGTGGCAGGACCTGGAAGCCTCCTACTTGCTCAGACCCAAGAGGGAAAGAGTGGATGTCAGCTCCACAGATCATGCAGAGGAGTTACGGGTGGTGGGCACCCAGCTGTGCCTGTCTCCAGCCCAGCAAGGGCACGTCTCACACCCAGCCAGGCCACAAAAGCTTGGGGTTGGGGTAAAGGAAACCCCAGTCGACTCTTCTTCTCCCATAGAGGTGGGGCATCACTGTCCCACTCTTGGAAGAAGGATCATAAAGCCTTGGATGTGGGGACAGTTACAGTCCAGGGAGCAGGGGAGTGTAGAGGTGGTGGAGCCTGGGCTCCTGCTGAAAATCAGAAGTGGGACACCAGCAGGACATGGAGGATGTGGGGAGCCTGGGGGTTCCTGACTTCCCCTTACTGCCCTGTTCTCACCACTCACCTGTCTTTCCTGGGTTTCCCTCACCTAGGGAAAAGTGCTCTCTATTGTGCTTTTCACCGTGAAAATGTTTGCCTGCCGCTCTCAGATCTGCCTGCCCTGCTGTCACTCTGGGCCAGTGCTGGAGCTGGCACGGGTGGTGAGGCAAGCCTGGCATCCAGGCCAACCACGCTGCTCCTGCCCTCACCGCGCAGCAGCCGGGGCTTCTCTCCATTGTTCTTGCCCTCCCAGATTTTCAAGCTACCCCATAGAAGGGCAGCCTACAGTGTAAACACTTCATTAGGTATAATTCTGCCTTCACAATTATTTTTATTTTTGCTTTGGATCTCAAAAGCATTTGACTCGCCTTTAATATTTGTTCTTTTGAACTCAGTGTTTTTCCTTTAAAAGAGAAAAGAAAGAATTTGTCCTTTCTGTGAATGGTAAAATTAACCCAATTCCAGGAATTGTTTGGCATTTCTCTACATTTCCACTATCCATGTAAAAAGCTGGTGGAGGCTGAACTAAAAGTTAGTTTCCCTGCTTCCCCGACCTTTTTCTTCCAGTGGATTTTATATGGAAAGCTCTCAGGTACAGCATTGCTTTCTGCTTCAGTAAGAATGGTCCTGCTACCATAACACATCATGTGCCCCTATTTGAAGGTGGTTTGAGGTAAAAGCAAACTTCCGAGAGAAAACCATGATCTGAATATTTTGAACCAATTGTACAGTGCCCATATGCTGAACCTTTGCTTCTCTGCTTCGAGACTGGATATCTACTTGTTATCTGGATGCTTGCTTTGGGGTACACTCAGCTGAATGTTAGTGGCACCCATATTCCTCTCAGAACTAACTAGGCAGGCACAGAGTGAAAGAGTTTCAAAGATATCCTTTCTAAGCGGAGGTTAAGTTTATACAATAGAAGTTTATAAGCTTACCACCTTTAATTAAGCTTACTGCCTTTAATTAAGTCAACATGCTATGTAAATTAATATTAATATTAATATGTGAATCAGACCATAAATAAAAATTAAAATTCACACAAAAGATAAGTTAAGGTTTGCCAATCCACTTTATAAAGGAATTCCTTATTACTTAATAGGAATCTTCACTTTACCAAAGGACTGAACTTCAAAATGTTCAATGCTCTGCTAACACATTGAAAACAGGATTTGATTCATACACAGCTTCTCAAAAGCAGATCCCATTTAGTAGAGTGAGGTCTAACTAGTCTGAAAATCGCATGCAATCCCTTTAATGCATAATTCCCCATTCCCTTTGGTTCACACTGTGTTGAGCCAACAGAGCCTCCTGCATGGTTCCTGGGCTCACAACCCGTGCAGACCCTGACATCTTCCCAAAACCCAAGGCACAGAGAATGTTAGGCGACTTACCCCTGTGATCACAGCACAGTCAGACACAGTTACTAGGAGGAGCATGATTGAGACTCGCGTGGCACCTCTCATGGTCACTTGGGGTGAAGGCAAAACACTGCCTGCTTAGATGCCTCTCGCTTCCTCCCGCTCAGCCTTGTGCCTGGCAAGCTGGGGAGGCCAGGCTCTCCTGCATCCCCCGCCTCCTCCCAGATGTTTACACTCAGGATCCAGGGCTGCCTGTGGATGCCTCATCTCTGCTCTTCCCTTCTCCAACACCGATGTTACTCAGATGATCTCAGAAGCGAAGATGAGACCTGAATCTCTAACAACATCAAATCAACATCAAAACCAATAAAAATGGATACTTGGGGGGCTTTGACGGTTGCTCTAACTCTCCCAAGAACGCAGTGATTCAGACAGTTATGTATATTTCACTCAATGTTCTTTTCTGCCTCTGGGTATCCTTCTATCCTACTTGGGGCAGAGGAAAGCCTCTGGTAATGAATTAAGGGATTTGCAACATCACCATTTATGCTTCCCTGCACCAAACTATGCAACATACAAGATTATTGGTTCCCTCTCACTCACACCAAGACTTATCTAGGCATTTACCATGGGCTCAACACAGAGGTAGCTGAGAAGACAGAAGAGGGTGAGGTGGTATCCTTATTTCTCTAAAAGGTTAAAATTATAGTGAGGAGCCATAAGACAGTGAGGAAAAAAAGACCAGACTTGTGGGGCTGATGTTCCTAAGTGACACACACATAAGGATTTGCTCTCTCATGGGCTCAGGATGAACACCAGCAAGTGTCCCTTGGTACAATGACCCAAGGGCAGAAAGCCAGCAAACATACAGGGCACACACTCTCTCAGTACCCTGCAGAGCCGAGCTGGTATGGGCTGTGGCTGAAAGGTACCAGAGCCACACCACTGGCCTTCCAGTTTTAGGGGTGAGCATGAGAGTGGCCTTATCCGTGAGTGTATAAACACGGTGGTCTCAGATGCCAGTCTGGTGGGAAGTTGACTTTCGGGATGGCCCCTCCGCCTGTGAGGGAAGCCCCTGACCCCAGCCCTCTCTGTGTCATACGACCCAGAGAGAGCTCCCAGTGCTTTGTCAGATGATCTGCCTTCTCTCCACAGTAATAAAAGCCAACATTTCCCAAGGTATGTGTTGCAATATGTTAATACACAAATAAACAAATAAAAGACTTCTACAGTCAAAAATTTGGGAAACACAAACCGGCTTGTTTTTTGCAGAACTTTTCAGGGCCTTTCATATGCTAATAAGTGTTTGAAACACCAAGTGGGAAATGCAGTTTGTAGTATTTCACAAGCAGATTCATCCACAAAACCTTTCTTATCAAATGTCACAGGGGTCTAGGGTTTCCACATTGAAACGCTGATAGGCATTTATGAGTGCAGAGAGGAAGGTTAACTAGCACGGGAGCTGGGAGCTAAGCCCCCAGAGGCAGATGCTTTGATTCAGATCGATGGCTTCATGACCTTGAAAATATTGCTAATCTCTCCAAGCCTCAGTTTTCCTATCTATAACATGGGATAAGAATAGCATTTACATCATACGATTTTGCGAGTATTCATCTATTTATTTATTCATTGACTATATTTATTGAGAGCCTACTGTATAGAAGACACTGTTCTTGGCACTGGGAATATAGCAGTGAACAAAACAAAACCCTGTCCTCATGTAATTTTGACTATAGTCAAGGAGACGGGTAATAGACAAATAAACAGATTTGTAATAAAATGGCCAGTTGTGTTGAGCACTGTTAAAAAGGAAGGCCAGGCGCAGTGGCTCATGCTTGTAATCCCAGCACTTAGAAGGTAGAGGCAGGCGGATCACTTGAGGTCAGGAGTTCGAGACCAGCCTGGTCAACATGGTGAAACCCCATCTCTAGTAAAAATATAAAAATTAGCCAGCTGTGGTGGCTCACGCCTGTAATCCCAGCTACTCGGGAGGCTGAGGCAAGAGAATCACTTGAACCTGGGAGGCAGAGGTTGCAGTGAGCCGAGATCGCGCCACTGCACTCCAGCCTGGGCAACAAAACGAGACTCCATCTCAAAAAATAAAAAAAAGGTGGTGGGGAGAAAGGCAGGGAAAGCAACAGACCTTGACAAGTGGTGATATTTTAGATGTGGTAAGGGTCTGTCTGAGAAGGCACTTGTGCAGATGACTGATAAAGTGAAGGAGTGAGCTGGACAGAGCCTGGATGAAAAGTCAGTGCAACAACCCTGTGGCAGGGCTTTTTGGCCAGTTCCAGGAGAAGCAAAGAGTGAGGTGAGCCAGGGGACGGGATGGGAGGGGATGCAGTTGGAGCAGGAGCCAAAGACCAAATCCAGCCTGCCTTGTGGGACATGGCAGGAACCTGACTCCAAGTGTGATGGGAACCCTTGGAGAGTTTGGAGCAGGGGAGAGGCAGGATCTGGTATACACTTGGATTTTTTTTAGAGACAAGGTCTTGCTCTGTTAGCCAGGTTGAAGTGTGATTATAGCTCACTGCAGCCTGGAACTCCTGGGCTCAAGCGATGCTCCTGCCTCAGCCTCCAGAGTAGCTAGGACTGTAGACACACACCACCGCACCTGGCCTGATTCACACCTTGAAAGGATCCCTCTGACTGCAGATGGAGAGTTAAGTGAGGTGATGCATATGAAGTGCTTACCACAATGCCTGGCACACAGCAGCATTTGCTACCAATGGCCAGTTTTTTCTATAAACATATGAACTTGTATGCCTTAATATAAAATTCTCCTGGGAGGTGAGAATCAAAATAATGAGTCTGTAAGGCCCACCTGTACACTGTGACACTGGGCCGGGCTGGTGACAGAAGAATCAAGAGACCATCCGAGCCTTGGAGGACCTTCTGCTCTGGGAGAAAAGCTACCTAGGGAGGAGGCAGCACTTTGCTGGGGGCTTGGAACACCTTACAGAAGTGGTCCTGTGGGCTCTGCTTGCCCTGCACACACTACCCCACCTCACAAGTTTGCCTTCCAAGAGACAATGTCAGATCAGGTGATTCTCAGGCTAACACCCGTCCCATTCGCTCCCCTATTCTCACTCCCTCCCTCCCCACTGCCACAAACACACAAAACTAATCATCTCACAATTGCAGTGAAGAATGGTAGCAAGAAATGCTGTTGCAAAACAAAACCAATAGCATTGATTAAAAGCATTTTATTTCTCTTGAATGCTAGTGCTTGAGGAAAAGCCATTTTAATTAGAGGAGGACAAGGGACAGAGGGCAACTTGGTGGAAATCCCAGAAGAGACTCTGAGGAGCTCCGGGGATAAGCAGTACTGATTCTTTATTCAATAACTCAATTACACATTCATTCAGTTCCTTCCATGTGTCAGGACCAGGAACTCGCACTTCTAGGGTCTAATTTCCCTCTAGACCTTAGAGCTCTCCTGTTCCCTTGTCTAGGTGGATTTCAACAGTACTTGATTCTTTTTTGCCATGGTTAGGGTTACTTTTTGGCTGCCAGGTGCAGTGTGGAAAAGGACAGTGGAAAGGAGAGGAAAACCCTGAACTAAGCAAGCATGAACTGGAGGAGACAAAGGAGGGAAGCCGGAGGGGAGGTGAGACAAGAAGCAAGTGGTAAAAAATGGAGGGGAAACGGTGAAAGTGCTAAAAGTGGACTTGGTTCCGCTGAGGGAGGAGAGAGCTAGTGGAGAAGATGTGCCGGGCAAGCCTTTCCCAGAATCCTACACACCTGCGGAGAGAATGAGGGCAGGTGGGCAGCATGCCATTGAGTGTCTGTGTAGAAGGGCTACGTGCAGTTCACATCTCATAACGTCAGCCTGGCCCTTATTTCTCTGCTTTAGCTGATGTCAGTGTCACCATGGACCATTTATACAGATGTGTGTGTGTGCGCGTGTAGCAACAGCCAATCTCAAGGCCTACCTTGAGGGGCCCCTCAAGATGTAGGGCGACCTTCTCATGGAGTGAGACTATGGAGTGGAATATTCCCTGACCTGGCATAGTCCTCTGAGACTGTTTACCTTCAGGCATGGAGTAAGTCTCACCTAAGCATGGGGGAGAGGTTGAGAAGCCCCTTTCCACTCTACCTTAAGATCATGGTTATTGTTCTGCAAGCTAGAAAGGGAGCCCATGTCCAGGGGTCTCCTTGCTCCTGCCTGAGTGGGCGGATCTTGTGTTAATGTTTGAGCACATGTGTTCAAATATGCTCCCTTTGGCTGGGTGCAGTGGCTCACGCCTGTAATCTCAGCACTTTGGGAGGCAGAGGCAAGTGGATCACCTGAGGTCAGGAGTTCGAGACCAGCCTGGCCAACATGGTGAAACCCTATCTGTACTAAGAATACAAAAATTAGCCAGGCCTGATAGCATGTGCCTGTAATCCCAGCTACTCGGGAGGCTGAGGCAGGAGAATCACTTGAACCTGGAAGGCGGAGGTTGCAGTGAGCCCAGATCACATCTCTACCTGGGTGACAGAGTGAGACTCTGTCTCAAAGAAAAAAAAAATGCTCCCTTTATTACTGGTTTGTTGCTAATGATTAAACAAGAATTAACTCTGATCCGTTTCAAAAAGAGATGAAGAAAGGAATAATAGAATAAAGGAAACCCAAGCATCCAGGCTGGGGGTTGTTAACTTGGAGTCACAGCCCTGAGGAGCTCATGAGCAGAATTCAGAGAATCCATAAACTTGGTAGAGAGAAAAATTGCATCTTAATGTTCACTAACTTCTAACTGAATTTTTAACATTTTCTTTGAACCATAGGCCACAAACTACAAAAGTTTTAACAGTACCGTGATTTTGTTGCCAGGAGAAATTACAGATGTTTTTATGTCATATTACTATTGCTTCAAATAGCTCCAAATATCATTCCTGCTCATCACTACCTTGAAATCACTGTAGTTACTAGGCTCCTTGCTAGATTGTTACTTGATCCATTAATAAAGAAGTGCATGTATTACCATGTCACAAATTTGTTTTTAATAAATATCTTGATAACTTTATTTTAATAAACTTGATATTTTTTATAATCTTACATATTGTATTTTATACATTTGAAGTCATTATTCTGAGCCATAGGCTTCAAAGGGGCCTACAGCACAATAGCCAAGAACTCCGGGGGTAAACTCTGGAGACTCGGAGCAAAGGAAAGATGCAGCTTAGTACAGTGCAGGGTCATAAATTCAGGCCAGCTGAAAGCCTGAATTTAAACTGGACAAATCTAAGAAGAATTGGAAGAGGAGGAGGAAGAGAAGAACAAGGAGAAAAAAGAAGAAGAAAACAAAATAGAAAGAGAAGAGTACCATCCTGGCTAACATGGTGAAACCCCGTCTCTACTAAAAATACAAAAAAATTAGCCGGGCGTGGTGGCGGGCACCTGTAGTTCCAGCTACTCGGGAGGCTGAGGCAGGAGAATGGTGTGAATCCGGGAGGTGGAGCTTGCGGTGAGCTGAGATCGTGCCACTGCACTCCAGCCTGGGCGACAGAGTGAGACTCCGTCTCAAACAAAAAAAAAAAGAAAGAAAGAGAAGAGTACAGTGTCGGGGTCCAGAGAATAACAGGGACCTGGGGAGTGTCTTAGGCTGCTTGTGCTGTCATAATAAAATACTTCAGACTGGGTAATTTATAAACAACAGAAATGTATTGCTCTGGAGGCTGGGGAGTCCAAGATCAAGATGCTGGCAGATTCCGTGTGTGGTGAGGGCTCATTCTCTGCTTCCTAGAGGACGCTTTGTTGCTGTGTCCTCCCACGGTGGAAGGGGCAAACAAGCTCCCTCCAGCTTCTTTTATAAGGAAACTAATCCCATTTCTGAGGGCTCCCTGTCATGACTTAATCACCTCCCCAAAGCCCCTACCTCTTAATACTATTGCATGAGAGATTAGGTTGCAGCATATGAATTCTGGGGGCACTCCAACATTCAGACATGGCAGAGGCTATATCTGCATGGAGGGATCACGGGAAACATTGGCCCCTGGTCTGCATCCAGGTAGACTCCCTCCCAGGTCTCTGAGTTTCCTTAACCCATAGATAACCTGCGCCCCATACACTCTCATCTTCAGAACTCTGGATTTTAAAAAACAAGGCCTAGGTGCCCAGTAGTCCTTAAAACTGGTATCCTCGGCTGGGTGCAGTGACTGACACCTGTTATCCCAGCACTTTGAGAGTCCAGGGCAGGAGGATCGCTTGAGCCCAGGAGTTCAAGACCATCCTGGGCAACTGAACAAGACCCTATCTCCATTTTTTTAATTAAAAATAACAATTTCATTAAATGGCATCCTCACTCAAGTGATCCCTTTAACTGGGTTTCAAATGATTGCAAGACTTTTTTATTCTACAACTAGAAGATGTCATTCAAGAAAAGATATCATAACGACAGTGTCAGACTATCTAGTACCTAAGGATAAACAAGCTGTCAACCCTGGCATCTCCCCTAGTCATCCCCACACAGACCACACCGCTACCTCTCGGCCACAGTGGCTCCTGGCTCAGCCCATAAGCGCAGTACGCGCCTCTCCTTTCACTCCTGCCTGCCCCTCTTCTTCCTGACACAGTCAGTGGTAGGAGAGCTCTGCATTTCCTCTTCTCCCACACCCTCCTCAGCCCACTCCAGTCTCGCTCCTGTTCCCATTGTGCCAGCGGAACTGCTTTCTCCAAGTCACCTTTATCCTTCTACTGTTTTTCTTTTCTTTTCTTTTCTTTTTTTTTTTTTTTTTTTTTTGAGACAAGGTCTTGCCTTGTCACCCAGGCTGGAGTACAGTGGTGTGATCATGGCTCACTCCAGCTTCAATGTCTGAGGCTTAAGGGATCCTCCCACCTCAGTAGCTGGGACTACAGGTGCACACCACCACGCCTGGCTAATTTTTGTATTTTTCATAGAGATGGTGTTTCGCCATGTTGCCCAGGCTGGACTTGAACTCCTGGGCTCAAGCATTCTGCCCACCTCAGCCTCCCAAAATGCTGAGACTATAGGCATGAGCCATCTTGCCTGGCCCATCCTTAGCCTTTTAAATGTCAAACGCAAGGCATCGTTTTTTCACTCCTCATCTCCCTTGCCCTTCTGTGCCTTTTTGACCGAGGCACTACTCTTTCTTTGAATTCCTGTCTTACTTTTCATGACACCATTTTGTCTAGATCCTCCCATCTCAGTCTCCTTCTAAGTCTCCCCTGCTTCTTGCTATCTCTTAAACGAAGCTGTTCACTGAGGTTCCACACTCGATGCTCTCCCGTCCCTCCGCACCCGTCCCAAATAGGCCTCACAGCCACCTACACATTCATGATCTCACACCAGTGTTCCCAGCACAGGCCACCCCATGCTCCTGGCCCATAGAGCCAATAGCCCCTTGGACATCACCACATCGATACCCCACTGGCACCTCACATTCAGCATGCCCCTGTCCTTTCACCTCCTTTTCATCCTCGCTGCTAAACCCACTTATATTGTTCAGGGTTCTTAGTTGTAAATAACAGAGTCCAGCCTGGCTGGCTTCAGCAGAAATGGAATTTAATGAAGACTGTTAAGTAGCTCGTTGAGTTGTTGGGTGTCTTGAGAAGCAGGATGCAGCTGAGTGTCCAAGAACAATGTCCAGAACCAACCACAGAATTGCCTAACAAGGAAGGCGTCTCCCAAAGGCAGCTCCTCTGCTGATGAGACCTGGCCCAGCTCTCCGTTCAGCTTCCTCTGCCATCATCTGCTGACGTCCAGGCCCCTGCAGAGCCCTTTCTACGAGTTGCTTCTTTCCTGTGAAAGGCTCATGTGGGCTGTCCGATCACACAGCCCAGTGCGCACACCTGCACCTCTGCAAGCGCACTGGGAGATAACTGACTCAGACCTGAGTACAAGGAAAGTGTCCAAGGATCTTGGGCAGCTACAAACCATGGCTGCCCACTGCCACATCCTTCCAGCGTTGTGAGAGGCACCACAATACACTCAGGAGTTGAACCTGGGAACTTCCTAGATTCCTAAATTTATCTGAATTCATTGGTCATTTAATCCTGTCACTTGGACCTCCCCTTAACTTCAGACTCTTCCTTCCCTTTCCATCTGCACTGGTGCTGTTCTTCCCATCCTCCTGACAGGCCCTTCTCTCTAGGTTTACCTCTCTGCAATCCATCTTCCATGCAACCCAGAGGTCTGCTCTTCATCTCTGAGAGCTCCGAAGTCTCCAAGGATCCTCTGTATCCCCAGGTCAAGCCCAAACTCCTTAGCCTGGGTCAAAGGTCTTAAAAGACCTGCCCTGCTCTCCTTCAGCCTCCTCTCCCATCATTCCCACCCTCACACACTCACCACTGCAGCAGGATGAAGCTGCTCACAGCTCTTCCGTGGGCCGAGCTTGCATTCTTCCATATCTTTCCACAGGCTGGCCCCTGCCCTCTTGCCTGGGTGGTGAAGCCCTCAGTTTCCATCCTAGTCCAGCCACTCACTGATGATATGAACTGGTACAAGTTATCTCACCTCTCTGAGCCTCAGTTTTATCTTCTGAAACATGGGAATAATACCCTCCTCTCAGGTGTATTACGAGTACATGACAGAACTCTCGGAGTGCTTAGACACACTAGTGGGTTGAATGGTGGTTCCAAAAAGATATGTCTCTCTCGCACTCCAACCTGTGAATATGACCATATTTGGGAAAAAGCTCTTTGCAGATGTAATTAGTTTAAGGATCCTGACATGGGATCATCCAGTATTACAGAAGCGAGTCCTAAGTCCAATGGCAAATATTCCTATAAGAGAGAGAAGAGGAGAAGGCCATGGGGAGCAGAGGCAACGATTGGAATTGTGCTGCTGCACGCCAAGGAACACCAGCCACCACCAGGAACTCGAATAGGCAAGGAAAGATTCTTCCCTAGAGATTTCAGAGACAATGTGGCCCTACTAATGCCTTGATTTCAGACTTCTGGCCTCTCAACCTATGAAAAAATAAATGTCTGTTGTTTAAAGCCACTAAGTTTGTGGCAACTTGTTCCAGCAGCTGTGGGAACCAGCACTGGCACTCACAGCATATCTGCCCCTCTTCCCACATTATCCTTCTATCAGGTATGATGTGGACCTGGGACCAAGAAAACCAGGCCCTGGCCAGCCAGCACCACAATAAAACCCTGTTTCCTTAAGTAATCACTGCAGAGAAGGCCTCCCTGAAGAGCAAAATCTGAATGATACACTGTCCCTCCCTCACCCCAGCTGTTTAGAGGGACTAGACCCAGGGGACCAGAAGCAAGGAGTCACTCCCTTCAGGTCTCCCAGTGGCACTGCTTAAGGCCAGAGCCACTTTATCTTGGCTTCCTTTAAAGACACACCCAGAATTTACAGATTGTGTGTGTTTGTTTCTTAACATGTCCTAAGAAATGCTAGAACACTTCTTCCTCTGGGGCCCTGTGGCATTTGGTTATTTTGACTAAGCTCCCCAGTCACAATGCCTAAGGAGTCTACAAAGAAACTGAGAGCCACAGGCAGGGTAAAAACCGCTTCACTGCCCAGAGGGGAGATGGCTCAGGCTGACCCAGGAGGCCAGGGAGAAGCCAGCCACAGAGGGGAAAGGGCTTTCTCTCCACAGCTCTCTCTCCTGCCCGCTGCTAGGGCAGGACTTGGCATTTTCACCCTCAAGGTTTCATCCCAAGGCAGTCTGGTCTGTTTCTACCCCCTCACCACACGGAGAAGGAACCTGAACCCATAAGTTCCTGAACCCAGAAGGAACCTGAACCCAGAAGTCATGAAAGTGCCTAAGTCACATAGCTAGACACTGGCAGAACCCAAACTCCACCCAGCTATGGCCCAGGAGGAGGAGGCCTGGAATGAAGAAGCCTGGGTTTGAGTCCCAGCTCTGCCACTGAGATCAGCTGGATTCCCTCACTCCTTCCAGTCTCTATCTTCAGGACCTGCCTCACCTCCCAGATTTTTAAGGGAACCGAAGGAGAGAGGGTGGGCTAACACGCCTGTGGACTGGGATATCTTTCATGATGGGACATTGCTCTTCAGCCCCATTGGAGCCCTCATCATTTAGCTGGAAAGGTGAAAAGGAGAGTTGTTCTAACAGAACCATCTTCTCAGGCCACAGGGCTGGGACTATTGTTTAAGAACATTCCATGATAACTTGGCAGAGCCTAGGAAAGGAGGTGCAGCAGCAGGATCTCAGGGTAAGCAGTGTTTGCACTTCCTCATGCCTGGTCAGCCTTAGGCACAGGATGGGGGCTCACTTAGGAGCTGAGCTGTCGAGTTGGCTGACCAGTCAAGAAGGACTGGAAAAAAGGCACGAGAGGCCTTTTTCTTTTTTAGACAGAGTCTTGCTCTATCACCAAGGCTGGAATGCAGTGACGCAATCTGGGCTCACTGCAACCCCCACCTCCCAGGTTCAAGTGATTCTTGTGCCTAAGCCTGCCAAGCAGCTGGGATTACAGGAGTGTGCCACCACACCCAGCTAATTTTTTGTATTTTGGGTAGAGGACGGGGTTTCTCCATGTTGGCCAGGCTGGTCTTGAACTCCTGGCCTCAAGAGATCCACCCACCTCAGCCTCCCAAAGTGCTGGAATTGCAGGTGTGAGCCACTGCCCCTGGCCACAAGAGACATTAATAAGCTCCACCGTCTCCTTCTACCATCCTGCCATGATGCCCATCCCATCCCACCTTCCCCTCCTACTCTGGGGCTTCTCCCACCGGCCCCCACACCAGGTTTGTTAATGCTCTCCAGTCTCAGCCCCCTGCTCTGTCCTTGGGATGGGGTCTCCCTGAAGGTTCATATTTGGGGGAATCTGGTGCACAGGAGGGAAAGGCAGCATGGGGGCCCTGAGCCCAGAGGCAGCCTTAACAGTCTGGACCTGCTGGAGCTTTTCGCAAAAGGCCCCGCCCAGAAGAAAGCTTGGGGCCCTTCTCTCTTAGCCTGCGTTCCCAAACTTGGAGCCCAAGGCTGAGTTTGGGGGTTAGGTTGGAAACTTAACAGGACAATGTCCTATCCCACCTGCCTTACCAGCCTTAGGTCCCCCCACCCACACACCAGAAAGTCCAGCCTGCTAATCTTCTGATCATCTTCTTCCCCAGCAGCCCTCAATTTCCACCTCCCACCACCCTGTCACCTGTCAGCTTCCAAACACTCTAACCCTATGTATTAGTCCATTCTCACATTACTATAAGGAAATACCCAAGAATGTGTAATTTATAAAGAAAAGAGATTTAATTGACTCACAGTTCCGCATGGCTGGGGAAGTCTCAGGAAACTTACAATCATGGCAGAAATCACTTCTTCACAGGGTGGCAGGAGAGAGAATGAGTGCCAGCAGGGGAAATACCAGACACTTATAAAACCATCAGATCTCATGAGAACTCACTCACTATCACAAAAGCAGCATGGGGGAAACCACTCCCATGATTCAATTACCTCCCACTGGGTCCCGCACTTGACACGTGGGAATTATTACAATTCAAGATGAGATTTGGGTGGGGACACAGAGCCAAACCATACATCACCCTATAAGGCACAGTCCCAGGACTGCACTCTCTCTCTGGTCCACTGCAGGCCGAGTTCCAGAGCCAGAGAGTGGGTGCGCTGTTTTAGGGTAGGTCTTGAAATGGCAACCAAGCTTATGAGGAAGAAGAAGTGAACGAATTGCAGATGCCTAGCCTGAAAAAGCAGCCATGATGGCAACCTTCCACTGCAGTGATCCATTACTGGGCAGTCTACGTGCATTGTCTGATGTCCTGAGTAGACATCACTACCCCACCACTACTCCAGCTGAGGAAACGAAGGCTCCATGATGGCCCAAAGTCACACAGATAGTAAGTCACAGGGCTAAAACCTGACCCCAAATCTAACTCTAGATGCTCACACTTCTGACTGCTGTGCCGCACTGCCTCTCACATATGAGAGAGTTGTGTTGCCCCAAAAGGCAAAATAGGATCAAAGTGTGGAAGGTACAGGGAAGAAGATTTTAGCCCAGTATAAGGAAGAATATCCCAGCAGACAAGGGAATTGGCTGCTATGGAAGCAATGAGCTTCTCATTGCTAAATATGTTCAGAAATAGGCCTTACAGCTGACCCTCTGTCAGGGAGGATATGGAGGGGATTTTTCTCCTTAGTACCCTTTAAGATCCTAAGAGACTGAGTATACAAATGGACAACAGCCAGACCATATCTAAAAACAGGGATTGCACCTACAATCTGCAGCAGCAAGTCCAGGAAACCAACCCCTTATCTACCATAAACAATCCAGGAAGCCCGGCTACCATAAGTCAGACTTGCAACAAATCATGCTGCTATCTCTCACAGTAATCCAGAAAACCAAAAAATAACCGCTGTAAACAATCAGCCCCAAATGGCCAGGACTTGATTAATAACCAACAGCACCCGCCCCCGCTAATTTTTGTCCCCACTTCCAACTCAGGACAAACCAGAGAAAGCTAAATATGCACCCCCTACCAATCACATAGGATGCCCCGCTTCTAGTGAGCCTGCCTACAGCTTCCCCAGGCCAGCAGCCCCCAATCAGGAAACACCTGAAGCCTTCCCTTTTTCCCACTGTAAACCTTTCCCACTCCTCTGCCTGCCTTTAGGTCTCATCAATACGCAAGTGAGGGTGGCGGTCTCCCTTGCTATAGCAAGCTTGGGCCAAGTAGCTTTTGCTTGTCTCATTTGGTCTTCGTTTATTTCCACAATCCTTCCAAATGCTAAGATTCAAATGAATGAGTGTGTGTGTGTGTGTGTGTGTGTGTGTGTGTGTGTGTGTGTTTCTATGCCCAGGTGCGATCATGTATACCCACATGCATAAGTATACATCTCATATGTTACTCTTGCCTGTGGATCGCTGGCATCCTAGGCCCAGCTCATGGACTTTCTGGACCCCAAGGGTTCCTGATAGCAGGTTCCCCTGGTGCCCCACAACATCATGTCCCCTGGGCCCATCTTTGGTTTCAGGAACAGCTGAGATAGAAAATTCCATGTGAGCTCAGATTCACTTTCACTCGCATCAGTGAAGAGACCACCAAACAGGCTTTGTGTGAGCAACAAGGCTGTTTATTTCACCTGGGTGCAGGTGGGCTGAGTCCGAAAAGAGTCAGCGAAGGGAGATAGGGGTGGGGCCGTTTTATAAGATTTGGGTGGATAGTGGAAAATTATAGTCAAAGGGGGTTGTTCTCTGGTGGCAGGGGCTGGGGCCATAAGGTGCTCAGTGGGGGAGCTTTTGAGCCAGGATGAGCCAGGAGAAGGAATTTCACAAGGTAATGTCATCAGTTAAGGCAGGGACCGGCCATTTTCGCTTCTTTTGTGGTGGAATGTCATAAGTTAAGGCAGGATCGGGCCATTTTCACTTCTTTTGTGATTCTTCAGTTACTTCAGGCCATCTGGATGTATACGTGCAGGTCACAGGGGATATGATGGCTTAGCTTGGGCTCAGAGGCCTGACATTCACCTTGTGCTAACAGGGTCAACCTGGAAAACCGTTTTTTCCCATGTGATGCCCACGGCCTCTCTACTGCAGGAGCTCAACCCACTCATCAGCACAGCCTGCAAGTACAGGAAGTTAATCCCTCCCCACTGGAGGAACCCTCAACCAGAGGGAGTAGGAACCAGTGGGTGAATGCTCCAACTCAGAGGGCCTTAGACCTCTTCTCTGGGGGCTATGGAAGAATCCAGCCTGCAATCTGGAGAACACATTATTTCTCAGCATTCCTTCTTTCCTTGCTTCTTTCCCCCCACTCTTTCTTCTATTTTCTGGAATCACCTTCAGATAAACTACTGGCACCCAAGCCTTTGCCTCTGGCTCTGTTTTGTGGGGAACCCAAGCTAAGATGTCACCTCAACATTTTAGGACTTTATTTTTCTTCTCTTCAAAATAAGGGGCTTTCAGACACAGTGCCTTGGGGGCTATCCTGGGAGGAAGGGTATCCTCCCTGTGGCTAGAAGAGTCCAGCAGAAAGCTGCCCACACCACTGGGACAGAGCAGCTCCAAATGCAGCAATTTCACATAGTTGGGGTCCACGTGAGTTCACTTTCTGAAAGGACTTGTGCTTTGACATCTTGGAAGACCAGTGCCTGAGCTCATCTTTGATTTCAGCAGCAGCTGAGATAGAAAATTCCACCTGAGCACAGATTCAGCCAGGTTTTTGGCAATTGCCCTTCTTCCATCCAACTCTGAAGGCAGTTTCAGAAAGAAGAGCCCAGGCTCCCAGCTGCTCCTGCTGAGGTGGAGCCCGTTGTCTGAAGCTGCCTTACAGGGCCTCCTGTCCAAGGACATAAGGTCTCATCAAAATGAAGCATGGGGTTAGTTAGTATGCGCACTTGGCTGGATATTTCCAATAAATTTCTGGACATTCCTATGTGAAATAAATTTCTTCTTGTAAGAGGATCCCTCAGGCACTAGAAACCTCTCTGGTTTATTAGCTCGCTGACCCTCCTATAAATGTCAAAGCCATCCCCTAGATGGGAGCCCAGCAATGTCTTTGAAGTGGCAGAGGCCATAAACATTCCACGACTGCCTTACTAATGGCAGAGGCTCTCACAGACAATCAAGGCCCTTCAGCCTCCTTGCACGCTAGTGACTCCCACACAGGCAGGAAGATGCCAGAGTTGGCGGGAAAGGAGGGCAATTGCTAAAAGCCAGAGGCCCAGAAACGTGGAAAGCTGTGGTCGGCGGGACTCCCTTCCCTGAAGGAGTCAGAGAAGATGTCTTCCCCTTTGTGCTGGCAAGATCAGAGTTCTCAGGAGAGGAGAACCCAGGAGTCAATGCTCCCAGCTAGTCTCCATCTGGTCTAGCTTCTCTCCAGGCATAGTTGGAGCGTGGGCCAAAGAAAACTCAGTCAGGGGACGGCAGGCAGAAAGCCACCAAAGGGCCAAAGCCACTAGTCCTGCCCCTGAGTTTTCTGTGTGTGGTCTCCTCTGGCCTTGATTTTCCACCCACAGAATGGGGTGAACGCCCCTCTGAAAATCACAGAATGTTAGAAGCAACAAAGGCTTAGATCTTCCAGCACAGTCTCTTCAAGTCTGAGCGCGGCTGGTCCAGCTTCCTCCTGGCCAGATCCCTGCTCATCCTATACTGTTGCTCACTCAGTGCTCCCAGGTCACCCCCCAAAATTGTTTCATGGCCCTTTGTTAATTCAAGGCATCTTCCCCAGCACCTGACCTTTTAGGTACAGAGATCACATGTAACCCAAAGGGCAGCACTATTACAAATAGGCCTTCTTAAGTAGCTATTTCCACGGCAAAAAATGAGTGGTGCTCTAGTGCAATTTTTCTAACTATTTGACTATGACCCACCATAAGAAATAAACTAGAGCCCAGCACCCACAAGCACGAATTTATGTTTATATAAAACTAAAATCAAGGGTTTATGAAATAATACTTATCCCTATCACAGGCAATGCACTCTGATATATTTTCTATTCTAGTCTAATCTGTTTCATCTTTTAGTACTGGTTGCAACTCGCTAAACCAGGGATCAGCAAATATTTTCTGCAAAAGGCCTGAGAGTAAATATTTTAGGCTTTGATGACTATATGATCTCTGTCCCAAGTAATTAAATTAACTCTGCCATTGTAGTGGGAAAGCTGCCATTGACAATAGGAAACGAGTGGGGGTAGCGGTGTTCCAATGAAACTTTATTCATACAAATAAATAAAGGCTGAATTTGCCCCATAAGCTGTGATCTAAACTGATTTCATGACCCACTAATGGATCTCAATCCACAGTTTGAAAAACATTGCTGTAGGGGACCACTCCCCAAGTCTTTTCCTCTAACAGAAACCAAGTTTTGCTCAGTGTGTACCTCTCCTACAGGTAATGCAATTCCCCAGGGTACTTAGAAGCTGTGCTTCAGGGGAAGCTGACCATATTCCCAGCACTAGCACTGCATCTTGAACAGTCAACCCACCACATTGTTCACCTGTAACTGCGGATGATCCAGGGGTGTACAGGTGAACTACGCTGGCCTGATTAGTCAGAAGGGAAGGCCATAAAGTCTATGCTTGGGAGAGTGGTTTCTTTCTTTCTACAGCTGGGTGAATCAAGCAATCATGGAGCCCTTCTCCTTCCACCATCGGTAGTTGGAGAGTCGGGACCATCAGAGTAACCAGTCTTAGGAAAAAAGCCAATGCTGAGGATGACAGAGCAGAAAGATGAAAGAACCTGGATCCTTGATTTGACCACATGTTAATTGAATTTAAGCCAGGCTCTCTATCTCTTGTACCCAGAAGCATTCTGATACAAACACAGTACATCAAGAGGCAGGCTCCTGCCCGAAGACAGCACATTGGCTCTATCCCAAACAAATGCAAGCTTCTGGGGAAAGATCAGACAAGTTCCCATTCCAAGCAGCCAGGGACCCAAGCCCTTCACCAGCTGACTGGAGTCCCTCTCCCCAGTGGTGCCAGCCCCACAGAAGCCAGCAGCCTTTAAGGTGTTCTAAGCTCTGGATCCAGTGCTCTTTCCTTCCTCACATAGGCTGGTAAAAGTAGGAGTAAGTGAAATCAGGACCAACTCACTCTATTTTTTTTTCTTTCTTTTTTTTAGATGGAGTCTTGCTCTGTTGCCCAGGCTGGAGTGCAGTGGCACCTCCACCTCTCGGGTTCAAGCGATTCTCAAACCTCAGCCTCCTGAGTAGCTGGGATTACAGGTGCATGCCCCCACACCCAGCTAATTTTTGTATTTTTAGGAAAGACGGGTTTTCACCACGTTGGCCAGGCTCGTCTCGAACTCCTGACCTCAAGTGATCTGCCTGCCTCGACCTCCCGAAGTGCTGGAATTACAATTGTGAGCCACTGTGACCAGCCAACTCACTCTAATTTCTTAATTTAAAAAGCCTCCCATTAGCTGCCTGCTGAAGGAAGGCAGATTCCATGGAAGTTTACATTTTTCAGATGGGTGGTTGTCAGAATAGAAACTTTTCATCCAAATGGGAGATATTGGGCATCCAAGTTGACCCCCGACACCCACCCTGTGGCCTGGGGGGAAACAGACAGGACCACCGCTTTATTGATAAGGCTGCCAGGAGCGAAAAGAAAGGAAAATACTTAATGCCACTGAATCGTACACTCAAAAATGGTTAAAATAGTAAATTCTAAGTTATTCGCATTTCACCACAATTTTAAAAGACTGAAAAGAAGGAAACAGAGTCACATGAGTAGCTCTGAGGGCAGCAGGGCAGGGAGATCACATGTTGAAATCCTACAGAAACTCCTTAGAAAGACAGGCATGAAACACTGTCCTGAGCGTGAGTCTGTACTGCCAGGAAGGCCTGGGTGCAGGTTAGCTCAGGGGTGTGAGTCTGATGGGCTGGTCACACGGGGAAAGGCCTGGGGCTGAGTCAGTGGCAGCAACAAAGCCAGAACCTCCCAGCAGGTGGCTTTCTCTCACTCTCCAGCCTTTCGGCCTGCCCCTGCCCCCACTGTGGGCTGAGAGTGCAGGAGGAGCTTCTGTTGGGCAATCACTCTCAGCAGGCACTGTGACAGGTCCCTAAAAGGGCCAGGAGGATGGAGAGAACTAAGGAAAATGACAAGTTCACCAAGGACTTGGACTAGTTGGTGCCAAGTGCACTTTGTAGGCCCCTGGCCAGCGCCAGGAGGAGACACAAGGGGACAAAGATGCCCAGGTCCCCAGCATCCAAAGCAGAGACTCTGGGTTTCACTCAGAGGCCAATGCTTGTGCAGATAGTAAGAAGGCAGGCAGGCAGGCATTATATCCACTCCTTCCACCCAGCCCAGCTCAGCCTGGCAAATGCTCAGAGAGGGCAACATGGCCCTCTGAGGGGGTGACTCTCCAGAAGAGAGAAGCAAGGCTGAGCTCAGGAAGTAGCTTCTCTCAGGAAGCTTCTTCCTCCATTAGGGTGGAGAGGGAGGAGATGGGGTAGATAACAGTTGTCCTTTTTATCAACTCTATCCCACTAGGCTAGGAGGAGAAGCCCTATAATCCCATGTACCCCCACATGACTGGATATCTGCTCCTTCCTTCTGCTTCTACAGGTTGAACTGTAGGGGATTCCCCTAATAGTGAAATTCCACCGCCATGTAACAAAACCTTGCACGGCAGCAGGGCCTGTGGCAAAACAGAATTTTGCCAGGTATGTGGGAAATAAATGAATGTTTTAAGTGGTCAAGATCTCTCAGTGCTAGTCAAGTAGAGTCATAGAATTAAGGTACTCTACTTAATTTTTTTTTTTTCCTGATCCTGGGAAGGTTCCATGTGAGATTTCCAAAGCAAGTAGAAGTTTGGAGATATGGCCTGATGAGACCTGCAGGTAGACAAGACTACTGGAGAAGCAAGATCCATCTTCCTGCACCCCATGAATAGCACGTCCTTAGCACTTGGACACAATCACGCACACACACACCTGCCTATAACATTTTTCTCTCCGGGCCAGGCGCGGTGGCTCACGCCTGTAATCCCAGCACTTGGGGAGGCTGAAGCGGGTGAATCACTTGAGGTTAGGAATTCGAGACCAGCCTGACCAACATGATGAAACCCTGTCTCTACTAAAAATATAAAAATTAGCCGGGTGTGTTGGTGCACGCCTGTAATCCCAGCTACTCAGGGGGAGACTGAGGCACAAGAATCACTTGAACCCGGGAGTCTGAGGTTGCAGTGAGCCGAGATCATGCCACTGCACTCCAGCCTGGGTGACAGAGCAAGACTCTATCTCAGGGAAAAAAAAAAAAAATATATATATATATATATATATATATATATTTCCTTCCTTCCTTTCCCCTTCCTTCCTTCCCTTCTTTCTCTTTCTTTCTTTCTTTCTCTCTTTCTTTCTTTCTTTCTTTCTCCCTTTCCCCTTCCCTTCCCTTCCCTTCCTGACCTAACAAGCTGAGCTTCCTGACAGCTAGTCCGATATTCAATCTTCGCTAATGGGATCTTCATCTCTAACCGGGAGCCTCAAAAATTTGTAACCCCCAGAAACATACTCTGGGTAGAGGAGGCAGGAGATTCGAAGGACTGAGAGATACACAGGAAAGAGATAAGGCGAGGAGCTCCCAGCCTGGTCGCCCATTTATAACAGTATTTATTGAGCACTTACTGTGTGCCAGGCACTGCCCATGCATTATCTCACATGATCCTCCCACCAACCCCAAAAAATAGGTATTCTTGAGGGGAGCAGGGTACAAGGCAATGGAAAGGACATAGGCTTTGAGATCTGCTCTTAGATTCAACTACTCCTTGCCATATATCATTTGGGGAAATTGATAGGCAAACAGATCATTTCAGTCCAGTAAATACAGGCTATCCCAGGATAGCTTTTACAGGTCCTGCAGTGATCAAAAGAAAAGGCTTTGTGGAGGAAGGATGCTTGAACTGCAGGGGGAGTGAAGTGCACTCTGCAGACATGCACAGAAGATGTTCCAGTCAGAATAAATTATGTTTATGGCAGCAGAAACACAATGCAGTCCACCTGGGGAGTGGCGGAGACAGAGACTGGCCTCTGGGAGGCAAGGCTAGAGTTTTGTCTACCATGCCAATGAATTTAGGTTTCATCTTGCTGGTGATGAAGGACCATCTAAAGGAATCGTGTGTTACATGAGGAGACCTTCAGCAAGGGAGAGGTGGATGAGTGAGGCCATGCCTGGAGATGCTGGGCCAGCTAGCAGACAGTTTCAACAGGCAGAGTCACATGAGGAGAGCCCAAAGGCAGCAGGAAGGGAGTGGGGCCGAAGGAGTGAACTTCAGAGGCTTTCAGGTCCTAGAGTAGGATGAGAGAGAAAGAAGAATAGGAGACGGTTAAGGTTGGGGCCTGGAGAGCTGTACAGATATTGATGCTATTCGCCAATCCAGGACATGCAGAAGGAGCATGCATCAGCCCCGGGCCCGCAGGAAAGAGGGAGCCACTCAAACTAGGATAATGCACAGAGGGTGTTTTCACAAAGGTGTGAGCGTGGTGTCGGATAAAGGCAGGACTAATGCAGTAACCTAGAGCCAGTAGCAGTGGAGTGAAGGAGCTTCTCCCATCACCCAGCCAGAAGACCAGGAGGAGAACAGCTACCTGGACCAGAAGGAGAGGGTCTTGTAGAGAAGCTCCCTTGAGAGGATCCCCTTCTGCCAAGGGACAGCCAACCTAGGTGGTCTTGCTGGGAGCATGACAGAGGAGTTAATTCCCCGGTTTCATGTTCCTCCTTTCCTCCACTCCTCTGAGGGTTACTAGCCAAATCCACCGAAGGCAGCCACCAAGACATCCTCACAGATCAGCCTCCCAGGACACACAGCAGGGCAAAGAAGGTGGAGATGGATGGGAGGGGAGCAAGGAGCAGATTTGGAGGAGTGCAGCATGGTCCTAGGAGAGCGCCATCCCTGCTGCCCCTAGCTGTGTGGCCTTGGCCAGGTTACCTAACTTCTCTAATCCTCAGAGAGAGGTTGGGGCTGAATACTCAGGAGTCTTCAGTGGAAAGGTGGATGCCATGGGTGTGCTGCGATTTCCTGGAGAAGGTGTAGCTTAGAGGGGAACTGGGGCAGGCTGAAGAGTGAGAGTCAGGGTACGAGGCTGGGGAGGAGCCACCACACAGTCAGCAGTAGCTTCCTCCTCTGGGATCCTCTAGCATTTTCTCTTTAACTTCTCACAGAAGACTTTACAGATTTTATTGCCACTGCTTCCGTGTGCCTCCCATCAGAGTGTGAGCACCTTTGTTCCTCAGTCCCTCAAGGCCGATGCATGGTCAGCCCTTGTTAGTTGAGTGAATGAACAAACAACACTGAAGAAGCTGCCCTTGAAAAACCGGGGCATCGGTTAAGGGCTTTGAGCAGAGGATAGAAGACAGTGGAGGAGGAGGCTCAGGAGGAAGTGGGATGTCAAGCTGTGGGGCAGCTGCAAGACCTTGCATGCATTTGGTGGAAATTTCCTAGGGGCTACCAGGGGGCAGGCTGTGCTTGGGACTAGAGGCTAGAGAGGTGGGGAAGGCTCAGTCTCTGTGCTCAAGAGACAGCCCTCTGGACAGAGCACGGCAGCTCCTCCATGACACAGCTGTCCACAAGCTTCGGAGCACAGCTCCTTGTTAGTGAGTGGTGGTGTTAGGCAGGTGGGGAGGTGGGGGAAGTTGAAAGGTATCCTGGGGATGAGCAAAGTCTGATTTGGGGGTGAAGGGGAACATGCAACAATGAACCCAGTTCAATGTTTAGGGCAAACGTTTAATGCAGGAAGCAGTGAGAGGTAAGACTGGAGCCATAAGCAGGCAGAAGCTCATGGAGACCCAAGTGCCCAGATGTGGACTTTTCCTTATAGGCAGTGGAGCTCCCTGAAGGGTTCTGAAGCAGAGAAGAGCATACATAGTCAGGTGTGCTTCTTACCTGGACTACTGCTGAGGGATATTTAGGATGCAGCATCCTCTGGATGGTTGCTATAATAATAACTATTGTGACAAAGCTTCTTCCTGTGGAGCTGTTGTGTTTGCAAATCGGACCAAGGTCCCAGGCATCCAGGCCATGGAGCTAAGTTCCTAGCCCAGGTCTCTGGTCAGGGCATAAGTCATTCAGTGTGCCAAACCTCTGAAAGGTAGCCCGGCCCCTTTATTTACCATACTACACACAGCCAGTTCACCTTCTCCTCCTGAGCACCTGGAAAAGCTAACAGATGTGCCACGGTTCAACACAGCTTTTCTGTGCTGCTATTACAAACCCACAAGATTGAGTGGGGATCATGGTCTGTGAGTTGCCATGAAGAAGCAAATAATCGGCTGGGCGCAGTGGCTCACACCTGTAATCCCAGCACTTTGGGAGGCCAAGATGGGCGGATCACCTGAGGTCGGGAGTTCGAGACCAGCCTGACCAACATGCAAAAACCCCGTCTCTACCAAAAATACAAAATTAGCTGGGCATGGTGGCACATGCCTGTAATCCCAGCTACTTGGGAGGCTGAGGCAGAAGAATCACTTGAACCCAGGAGGCGGAGGTTGCGGTGAGCTGAGATCATACCATTGCACTCCAGCCTGGGCAAGAAGAGCAAAACTTCATCTCAAAAAAAAAAAAGAAAAAAAAAAAAGAAGAAGAAGAAAAAGCAAATAGTCATTTGCCAGAACCTGAAGCCACAGAGCCACTGAGCTCCATAATCCCTTGCATAGGCTGAGTCGTGCAAACACTTGGGGGAAAAAATCAGGATGGTGTGAACATAGTGTTGAGGGAGTGTTAGAGCAGAGAGCAGCCTGCCCACATGGCCCATCAGGACACAAAGCCAGGATCTCGCAACGTGAATGGAATATTACCTCCACCCTGTGTTGATTGAATGAGGCAATCAGCAGAAGCTGCTATGAGAATACTGATGGCCAAAGCTAAATATTGGGTGATAAATCTGTGCTGGCTAATTTTTCACTACAATAAGTCAGCCACATGCTTCTGGGAAGCCCCTGGGAACCCCGGCCCAGTTCAGGGACTTCATTGCTCTATTCTTCTCATTAAAGAATAGGCCAGATGCAGTGGCTCATTCCTGTAATCCCAGCACTTTGGGAGGCCAAGGTGGGTGGCTCACCTGAAGTAAGGAGTTTGAGACCAGCCTGGACAACATGGTGAAACCCCACCTCTACTAAAAATACAAAACTTAGCCGGGCATGGTGGCACATGCCTGTAATCTCAGCTACTTGGGAGGCTGAGGCACTAGAATTGCTTGAACCCGGCTCTGCCTCTTGCCTGCCTCAGGGAGAAGGGCAACCCAGCCCCTGCTTCAAGGGACCCTGACAAGAGGTGAGAAGAGTCCCAGGGCTGGACTAGGAACAGGCAGGAAAGGAGGCTACCTGTGGCAATGTCAGGAGAAACATATTCAGTCTTAAATAAGAAAATGGGGCTGGATATGGTAGCTCATGCCTGTAAACCCAGCACTTTGGGAGGCTAAGGTGGATGGAATGCTTGAGGCCAGGAGTTTGAAACCAGCCTGGCTAACATGGCGCAACTCTTTCTCTACTAAAAATACAAAATTTAGCAGGCATGGTGGCACACACCTGTAATCCCAGCTACGTGGGAGGCTGAGGCACGAGAATCACTTGAGCCCGGGAGGCAGAGATTGCAGTGAGCTGGGATAGTGTCACTGCACTCCAGCCTGGGTGACAGAGTGAAGAAAGAAAGAAAATCATAGGATCAGAATAAGAATCCTTGGCTCTCTTCAACCTAACTTCCTCCATCTGCTTCCACTTCTCCCGCCACCTCCTGCCCTCATTCTTCATTTTATTTTTTTAATATATATTTTGTAGAGATGGGATCTTGCCATGTTGCCCAGGCTGGTCTCAAACTCCTGGCCTCAAGCAATCCTCCCATCTCAGCCTCCCAAAGTGCTGGGATTATAGGCATGAGCCACCATGCCCAGCTCTGCCCTCATTCTTATGAGGAAACAGGCAAATGAACCAACCTAAGGGCCTTCTAAGTATTCTATCTAATAAGAACTTGATATACAATTCCTGCTTGTGATTATAAACTAATTCAGGAATGTCAAAGGATTTCATTCCAGGTCAGTGCTGACTGATTCGTAATGGCTGCCTGGAGAAGTATGTTGAGACTGAGTCTGAAGCTGCTTCTAGGCTCAGTGGGGAGGGTGCCAATGTTGATTGGTGATGCCTGCCATGGGTGCAGGATAGGAAAATGCTGGCACACATGCCATGTATTTTCTAAATAGGGGACTCTACAATGAAATAATTCACCTACAGTGGAAAATATCAATGAGATAACCACAGGCCCAGGATAAAGGGAGTTTCAACTCCTTGTGGGAGGTCCTAGTTATGTTTCTGCCTCTGATCACATTGCACTTTGGCAATGCAATTATAAGCCTCCTGATTCAGGTCACCCTTTTGGAGTCATAGATCTTCTTTGAGAGTTATGGATTGTTGGTGTTGAGAATTGAGTTATAACCCATCAATGCTTTCCCCATTTCTAGAAGTCCATGGAATAAACTTTTTTTTTCAACATTTTGATAAGGAGTCCTGGGGCTGAGCCCTGAAAAGGCCTGCCTCCCAAGATGCCAGTCCCTTCTAAGGAAGTCACCCCGTCCTGGCCATCCTGGACAGAGGCCATGTGACCATGCACATGGGCTAAGATGACTCCTATAGGCTCGTAGGATTTCCCTAAAAAATGAAATATTCTTCATTTTTTCCTCAATGTTTGCCCTCTTAAAGTGGCTCTTTTCAGCTCTGAGCAAAATAAGACCTAGCACCTTCAGATTTCTAGGTCATGGTTCCCTTCACATCCGTGGAAGTTCACTTTGAAAATTGTCTCCCAGAGCCCAGTAACTGATTCCCTTCAGGAAGCAGGGACTGAGGTGGCTGCAAGGGCACAGCCATTCAAAAGGGGATGTGCCTCTTCCTCTACACAGTTCCTGCTCGTTCCAGATAACTGTGGTGGTGAAGGGCCACGCTGCCTCTGGGGCATCCTGCTACAAATGGCACTCTAGTCACGTATGGGTGGTGTCTCTCTCTCTCTCTCCTGCTTGCTCCCCAGCCCAGGATGGGCTTTAAACAAGATAACAGATTCCCCCTGAATAGAACTTCTGTTGGAAAGGAGACTTCAGTGTCCCCCTAAGATGCAGGCCAGAAAGGAGGCATTCAAACAGACACAGGAGAAAACAAAATTGGGCAGAACATGCCTTGGACAGAAGAGTTAAGCATGGGATTGAAGATCATTTATTGATATCAGGAAATAGTAATATTAGATAGCTAAGTGGAAAATGCTAGAAGCAAAAAAGAATATACAATGTGATTTCACTTTGCCTGTGTGTGTGTGTGCACACAGAGAGTAAAGACTGAAAAGAAAAAGAAATAAAAATGTTAACATTTTTGTCTTGGCAAGTTGGCATTGCTAATACTGGGGGTTATTTTGTTTTGTCTTCATACATTTTTATATTTTCTAAGTTTTTTGTTTGAGCATGTGTTCCTTTTATAACAGAAAATTAATTAAATGTTATTTTAAAATAATTATAAAGGGGACTAAAAAAGAGCATGGGTGATGGAGTCATTTACAACTGAGCTCAGATCCTCATTAGCCGGTACCCTTAGACAAATTATTTAATTTCTCTGGGCCTGTTTACTCCCCCTAAATCACCTGAATAGTACATGCTTAGAACAGAGAAGACAAGCCTATTGCTTTTATGGTGGTTATGGTTTCAGAGCAGGGATGCTTAGCAGTCAGCAAAAGGTGGTTGCGGGGCGAGGAGGAGATTTTTGGTTTCCTCTGCTGAGACTGATGATCTAGAGAGGAAGCAAGGCAGCCCCAGGGAACCAAGGAAACGGCCCGGCTGGGAGGTACTCCAACAACCTGTATCCCCCTGCCATCCCCCAACCCAGGCATGCAGAGTGGAAAACAAACACCAGAGACCTTTGGGACTCCAGTGGGCAGGACTCCAGTCCCGTCTGTGGCCATGACTAATGTGAGCTCAAAAGTCTGGGACACAGTCTCCAAACACAGATGGCAGACATGTTCCTTCTGAAACCCTCTGTAAGTGCTTGCAAGTGGGCCAAGCTGCGCTGGGAGGCGTAGATGGACGGGTTTGTCTGCAAGCTGGTAAGGCCCATGGCCAAGTGAAGTAGCCGGGCAGTGGCAAAACGGACACAGGGGGACACCAGGATGGGGCTGAGCCTGGGCATGGCTCCAAAGGCCTTTAAAGACACTGCAAAGCATGGGAAAAGCAGGGGCGCCTCCACAGTGGCACAGCAGTGCCTGCCAAAGGAGCAGCCCTGGCTCCACTCTGCCATGTAAATCTCTCTCCAAAGCACTCAAGTTAATTTCAGCAACAGCTCCCCCGAGCTCCAGCTGATCACCAGGACACCTCCTGTCCTAAGGAAAATAAGAAAAGGAACAGCCAGATTTGTCAAGAAATTAATTGAAAACAGCAATGAGTGGATCATGAATTTATAATAAGATAGTAATTTACTCCTTTCTCAAAGGCAGACTCGGATGCCAGTTTCCTTTCCCTCTGACGCCTGCTGATCCAAAGCCCCTGTATTCTGGGAGGCGTCAGTCCTGCCACCAGTGGACAGCTGTTCCCTCTCTAGCAGAGCTACAAAATACAAGTCCTCGCCCACCTCCCAGCCCAGGAGTCAGGGCTGCAGGCTTCAAGTAGAATCCAGGATGCCTCTTCCAAAGAAAGCAAGAAAAAATACTATTCATTCATTATCCGTTTCATTTATATGTTTGCCTTGAGTAGCTTCTTTTTCATATGGGTGATTAGAGCAAACTAGAAGGAAACCCAGGGATTAGACAGCATCCCCAGGCCCAGCACAGCACCCAGGATTTAGGTGCAATCTCATCGTTGATGGATGAGAATAGCAAGGCGTGGGGAGACTACAGGATGGGTCAAGGTCACAGAAACAATGAGCAGGCAGGTCTGCTGCTCCCAACCCGCTCTATCTAGCACATGGCTCCTTCTTCAATTCTGTTCTACAAACCAGAGCATGTGGAAAGGGGCAAAGATGAAAAAGACACAGTCCCTACCCTCAAGAGACCAGGGCATAAAAAATTTCTGTGATGTTAAAAAATAATACTTTGAGTCCAAACCTTGGAAATAAGGCCAAGAGAGAACAGCATGTCCTTCCAACGTCATTCTGGGCATTTCTTCACAAGCCTACCCAAGGATTGCTTAATTACCTCAGGGAAAGTATCTCCCTGTGACTTGGCTATTTATTATTCATTAAGGGCTCAGACTCTGTGAAGTTATGTGTTAACTTACAGATCTTATCCAGTAAGTATAAATAATTTCTATCTAATAAAAAAGATAACACCAAAGATTATGATGTTTTAATTGCCCTGTAGGGTGTTAGCCAGCTTTGTTTTTTAATTGGTACAAAGTTTACCATCTTAACCTTTTTTTTTTTTTTGAGATGGAGTCTTGCTCTGTTGCTCAGGCTGGAGTGCAGTGGTGCGATCTCAGTACACTGCAACCTCTGCATCCTGGATTCAGAAAATTCTCCTGCCTCAGCCTCCCAAGTGGCTTGAATTACAGGTGCGCACCACCACACCTCGCTAATTTTTGTATTTTTAGTGGAGACTGGGTTTCGCCATATTGGTCAGGCTGGTCTCGAACTCCTGATCTCAGGTGATCTGCCCGCCTCGGCGTTCCAAAGTGTTAGGATTACAGGCATGAGCCACTGCACCCGGGCCATCTTAACCATATTTCAGCGGAGTTAAGAACAGTTCAGTGGTATTAAGCACATTTATGTCATGCAACCATCACCACCATCCATCTCCAGAACACTTTTCATCTTGCAAAACTGAAACTTCTCAACCATTAAACAATAACTCCCTATTTTGTCTTCCCTCAACCCCTGGCAACCATCATACCTTCTGTCTTGATGATTTTGTCTATCATAAGTACCTCATATAAGTGGAATAATACAGTATTTGTCTTTTTGTGACTGGCTTATTTCATTTTGCATAATGTCCTCAAGTTTCATTCATGTTGTAGCAAGTGAGATGGAGCAGGGACTTGTAACAGAACCAAACTGAGGTCTGCTCACCCAACACAGTAAAACCAGATACCCACACCCAGGATTTTGTGGTGATAGAAAGGAAGGTGTTTATTGCAGAGCACTAAGTAAGGAAGACCAGACAGCTAAGTGCTCAAAACCTAGCCTCCCCAGTGGCTTGCCGGCAAGGATTTTTAGAGGCAGGAATAAATTTCAGAACAGCAGAAGCTACAGGCAAAATCATAAATTGCAAAATTGATTGCCAGGAGGTTACACATTGGCTTAAGTTTAAAAGGGTGGGATGTCTTGAATAGGGGGCTTGCAGGCTGCAGATAGATTCAAAGATCTTCTGATTTGCAATTGATTATGGAAGAGAAGCTTTGTTTAAAAATGTGGGGGTCAGGGCTGGGCACAGTGGCTCACACCTGTAATCCCAACACTTTGGGAGGCTGAGGCAGGTGAATAGCTTGAGCTCAGGAGTTCGAGACCAGCCTGGGCAACATGGCGAAACTCTGTACAAAAATACAAAAATTAGCTGTGCTTGGTGGTGCATGCCTGTAGTCTCAGCTACTTAGGGGCTGAGGTAGGGGGATTGCTTGAGCCTGAAAGGTGGAGGTTGCAGTGAGCTGAGATTGTGCCACTGCATTGAACTCCAGCCAGGGTGACAGAGTGAAATCTTGCCTCAAAAAAAAAAAAAAAAGTCATTGTCAAATATAATACCATGGACCTTTTTCCCTATGTTTTCTTCTAAGAATTTTATAATTTTAGCTCTTATGCTTAAGTCTTTGATCCATTTTGAGTTAATTTTTGTATATGGTGGAAGGTAAGGTAAGGGTTCATTCTTTTGAACATGGATATCTAGTTTTCCCAACACGATTTGTTGAAAAGACTGTGTTTTCCCCATGGAATGGTCTTGGCACCCTTGTCAAAAATCATTTGACCATATATGCAATGGCAAGTTTTATTTTTAACCTAGAAATTTTAACATTTCCTTTTAAATGACCATAAGTATTCATTTCCTCAAAATGCTCTTTGAATTAGCTTAACTACATTATTGGTTCCCTCCTTCATGAGTTGCTAAGTCTTCGGCATGTGTCCATTTTATATTTGAAGGAGGTATATTGTAAATATTTGAATATTATGCTTTTACAGTAATGTACAAAGTGTTATGGGAGTCAGGGTGAAGATCATTTCTAATGGGGGAATTCAAAAAACTTTTCACGTCCAGGCGCGGTGGCTCACGCCTGTAATCCCAGCACTTTGGGAGGCAGAGGTGGGTGGATCACTTGAGGTCAGGAGTTTGAGACCAGCCTGGCCAATATGGTGAAACCCCGTCTGTACTAAAAATATAAAAATTAGCCAGGCTTGGCGGCACGTGCCTGTAGTCCCAGCTACTTGGGAGGCTGAGGCAGGAGAATCGCTTGAACCCAGGAGGCAGAGGTTGCAGTGAGCTGAGATTGTGCCACTGCACTCCAGCCTAGGCAACAGAGTGAGACTCCTTCTCAAAAAAAAAAAAAAATTCACTTTTGAGATCGGCCTTATGATTAATGCATGAATTTTTGGTAGATAGAAATCGAAGTTTGAGGCAGACATTTCAAACTCTGGAGACAGCAGGATGAATGTTTTTCTTCTTATTTACTTTCATTATTGTGTGTCTTACTCAATCAAGTCTAATAGCTGTAGGGTCAAAGAAGGAAAGCTCCCCCTTTGCCTTCTGAAGGTCCACTGAAAATACCCTAACAAAAGGCAGATTGATAAAAGAAAAAGGCATACAAAATTCATTTAACATGTGGGGTAGGGATCATAGAAGCACGATCACACAGTCATCTAATGAGATCCAGACAGAAACTTATATACCCTTCCTCATAGGGGAGTGGGAGATGGAGAATGTTGGTAATTCTTTTGAGGAGTAGTAAATGATTCTTAGGGAGAATGAATGGGCGTAGAAGACACAAATTGACGTGTAAATGACTCTTTAGAATTTGAATGAGTTGGAGAGACAGATATTGTTTTGTGAAAATACTGTGTAGTACATTCTGTGTTACATGTTTTGTGTAAATACTGTGTAGTATGTTACATTACTGTGTAATACTGTGTATTACATTCCCCAGTCTTCTTTTCTGCCATAGATAATGAGATTTCAGGAAGGGAATGGAACGCAATTGTGTTCTCTTTGGCAGATCCAGTCTTGTGGTAGATAAGGAGATATCAGAGTAAAGCTTCTTCCAGCATCAAAGGCCTCTAACTTAAAATAACCAACATACCAAAGTGCCATATTGTAGTCACCCAGTGGGTCCTTCTTGCCCACTGCACAGATAAAGCTGATTCACTGACAGCAGTACTGCCCTAAGAAAGAGTTTAATTAACATAAGGCTAGCCACACAGAAGACAGGAGTTTATTACTCCAATCAGTTTCTCTGAGAACTCAGAGGTTAGGGTTTTTATGGATATCAATTTGGTGGGCAGGGGGCTAGGGAATGGGTGGTGCTGATTGGTTGGGGATGAAATCATAGATAGAAGTGTGGAAAACGGTCCTCTGGTGCTGTGTCAGACTGGGTAAGAACCACAGGACCAGCTGAGTCATGAGTCATGGGATCTGGGTGGAGTCAGTCACCAGAATACCAAAGTCTGAAAAAGATCTCAAAAGACCAATCTGAGGTTCTACAATAGTGATGTTATCTATGGGACCAATTGGGGAAGTTACAAATCTTGTGAGTGCCAGTGCAATAAACGATGACAGAAAGGCAAGCTATGCCTACATCTTATCAGAATTCAGGCCCCTTCCATAATCCTAATTTTGTGGCCTTTCATTAGTCTTACAAAGGCAGTTTCAGTCCCTGAACAAGAAAGGGGTCAGTTTTAGGGAGGGACAATTATGATCCTGGCTTCAAAGTTAAACCATAAATCCCTCCCAAGATTAGCTTGGCCTATGCCCAGGAATGAGACAGAACAGCCAGCCTGTGAGGCTAGAAGCAAGATAGAGTCAGCCATGCCAGGCTTCTCTCACTGTCATAATCTTTGCAAAGGTGGTTTCAACATTTTGGGGTGAACTTCCCTGGACTCCTTCATGGCCTACACAGATGGAATCATTCTACATGAGGAAACCCAGAGAAAAGTTTCTTGCCTCTCTCACATACTGTTTCTCTTCACAGCCCTTCATGAGAGACCCCTGTTACAGCTCTAGGTCAGCCCAGCCCCTCCCAAGCCCCCACCTCACCCGCTTTCCCTACCCTGCCAGAGGCTGGAAAGGGCCTCAGCCTTTCCATCAGCACTTTGGGTCATCTCTGATTCTGCCTGAGCTAGGGAATTGCATTTCCCGACTGTATCATCCCATCACATGAGACATTCATGAAATATCACCCTGACAGACTCTTAATGTTATCAGCATCAATCACAGGGATCAACGGCAAACACGCCTGAGACAGAGCAGCCATCTCTGTCCGATCCAGAGTATTATTAATTGGGAAGCTTGTTTCTGGCCGCAGAGGCTGAAATCTGCAGCCCTGGAGTGACCTTTGCTTTGGCCGCCAAGTGTCCCTGGCTGAGGCTGGCAGCAAAGCCCTCTCTTGTGGTTCTTTACTGTAGAAGGTTCTTCTGTCCCTGGCTGAAGCAAGGAGTCAGAACTGAACACTGACACATGCATTCTGAGCATCTCAGGTGTGCACATTCCTTCTTGGGTTTTTTGAAGTCACATTGTTGTGGTCCCCAGGCCTTCCTAACCCATGACAGTGGCATTTTCTGAGACTCTCAGCAGCCAGGGCAGCCTGCACTGTGGCTGGACACGCTGGATGTCCCGGTTTCCAAGGGCCCAGAGCCCATCACTGTCCTCCACCGGAAATTCACACATGGAAGTAACTGAGAGGCACCTCGGCTCACTGAGCCCCACTTGCTGGCAAGACCCACGGCCTTCAGCTTCAGCACCCCCTCCACCCTTCCTTGAGCCTCAGCTCTCCAGACACCCTGTCTGAGGCCCCCACTCATTCCAGCCCCTCAGCTGTGGTTCAGCCTCTACAACCCGTAAAAGGCACATCCTCTTGGGGTCAGCAGGGCTCTCTAAGGTGCTGACCAAGGATGGAGTGAAGCAGGGCTGTCTAGGTGGCTTTCCAGGCTGACTGATCTACGTGTACTGCGTGTGACTGACGGCAGGCCAAGCGTTGGCTGGACTGCATCTGATTTCATTCTTCACTAGCTGGGTAACCTTGGGCAAGTCAACCTCTATACACCTCAGTTTCCACATCTGTACAAAGGTTCTAATAATAACACTTACCTCATTTAACAATTAAGGCTTCTGGATAGTAAATATAAAACATGGAGTACAGAGCCTGGCAATAATTAATCCTCAACAAATGTTAACTATTTCTTGAGGGGCAGGAGGTGGATTCTGTCCTGTTTGTGTGAGTGTGTATATATAACATAAAGTCTCGGGGAAAGGAAAAGTGGAAAAAGGGCCAGAGAACTTGCTGTTCATTTCCCCAGACATTGTCTTTGCTGATCAATGTTTTTACCAACTCATAAAGGAGGTTAGTCCTCATTTCATATTCCCTTGTCCAGAGAGTGATAAACTGTCATCTCCTTAAAGTAATCTATGCTGCTTTCGAATCAGCTCTTCTCCACCTTGACAGATGGGATTAGATTCATCTCACTTCCCCTTTGGCAATTGAAAATATCAATGAGATATTAGTGTGCTTGCCTCTGACTTTCTCCTGGGGCAAAATACTGATGGTCCAGAATGAATGTGGCAGTTGATTTACTGTGTGGTGTCTGAAGGCACACAGACAAGTCCTCCTGTTGATGAGGGGAAATGGGGAGAAGGGAACCCCTAGCCACTTTATGGGACTGGCTCACAGGCCTGTGTTGTTCAAACTAGTTGAGGAGACACAATTGCAGAGGAGCCGACTCACCTGGGCCAACTCACTCAACATTGCCTGGGAGAATGGTCAGCCCCAGTATTAGAGACCCAAGACAATGAAAATTTTCAAGTTCTATGACCTTGACCAGTTAGTTGACCTCTCCAGACCTCAGTTACTTCATTCACAAAATGGGGATAGAGTCATGGAATGACTGTGAGATTAAATGAGATAATGTCCATGAAAGTTGTCAGAATCAAAATGGAATCACTAACAAGAAACCCCTGATAAATAGAGCTAGGGAAGGCCCTGAAGAGAGCATTCTCATGCTTGTATGCCTGGTAACAAAAGCTATCACAAAAGATTGCAAAAGCCACAACCTCCTACAAAAGCCATTACAACCTTACACAAAAAAGACTTCTGCAAAGACATCTGCCCAGCAACTGCCTGTCCAACCTTGGACTCGCATCACCCTTGTTATTGATCTTTATAGCCAAGGATAATTATTTCAAAACAATTATGTAATTCTCCACATTTTTTCTGTTAAAAACCTTTGTCTTCCTCTACCTCCCTGAATACATGCATTACTAAGGCAGGCATATTCCTATGCAATGCTCTATTCCCAAATAAATATTCTTTTCTTTTATAGAGACTCTCTTTGTTTGTTATTTAGGTTGACAATGGATCTGCTTTGTAAATGTTGATTTTTCATCTTTAAGTACCAGAGTAAATGCAATGTTCTTGAATGAGATACTGACCAAACTTACAGATATTAAACTGAGGCGTGGAGAGAGGTGGCATCCATAGCAGTCAAGTAAATCAGAAAGTGCTGCCTTTGCTGCTGTTGACCGTTGTGATTACCCCAGTTTCTGCTGCCTCCTTGGGAGCTGGAATAATGCACAGGTGAAGGGTTGGAGAGGGTAAGTTTCCTATGAGATTTCCAAAGGGAATTTCTTCACTAATGAAACAATCATTCACTGAACACCTATGAGCCAGATGCTTTTCTAGGCACCATGAAGGGTAAAGACAAGACACTGAAGTTTTAAAAAGGCCCTGATTCTGGCTGGGCATGGTGGCTCACGCCTGTAATCCTAGCACTTTGGGAGGCTAAGTCGGGCAGAGCACCTGAGGTCGGGAGTTCGAGACCAGCTTGACCAACATGGAGAAACCCCGTCTCTAAAAATACAAAAAAGTTAACTGGGTGTGGTGGCGCATGCCTGTAATCCCAGCTACTCGGGAGGCTGAGGCAGGAGAATCGCTTGAACCTGGGAGGCAGAGGTTGCGGTGAGCCGAGATTGTGCCATTGCACTCCAGCCTGGGCAACAAGAGCGAAACTCCATCTCAAAAAAAAAAAAGAAAGAAAGAAAGAAAAGAAAAAGGCCTTAATTCTGAGGTTTGGTGCTTCACTATTCATCCTCCTCCCTCTCCCTCTCCCTTTCTCCCAACCAGGAGAGCTCTGTCCCTGAAAGGAATGGGGAGAGACAGATGCCTACTCTATTCAAGTCCTCTCCTAGAATTTGGTGCCTGTCAGCCAGCCGTGGTGGCTCATATCTGTAATCCCAGAAGTTTGGGAGGCCGAAGCAGGAGGATTGCTTGAAGCCAGGAGTTTGAGACCAGCCTGGGCAACAGAGTGAGATCCCCATCTCTACAAAGAAAATAAAAAAATTCAAAAGAATGTGTTTCCTGGAAACAGTAGTGCAGGCCCCAATCTCCGGGCAGGGTCATGCGTGGAAGCTGTTATTGGTAATGATCGTTGGTCTGAAAAGTTTCTCTTACCCAAAGTTCAAGTTGAGTTTTTTTTTTTTTCATTATCTCTAGCTTATTAACTATATAGAGCACAAACTCCTTCAGTGAGGAAGCCCTGTCTGAATTATTATTGCTATCTGCATAGAATTTGGCAAAGTAGGGGTAAGGGATCCATAAAGAAATGGAACTGTGGATCTACAGTGAGACTCTGAGATGCTTTATGATGACCCTTATCTCTAGGAGCACAAAGTACAATGATCAACACTCCCAAATTCCATATTAGTCTAGGCTCATGCAGGAGAGAAGGTAGAATGCACCTCTCCCGTTTGTCAAGGAGTGGAATGCTGCCCAGTAAAGTTGTTTGGAGACATTGTGGAAGAGGCTGTGGTGTCAATCCCTCCAGAGGGATTCTTGCTTTGCATGAGGCAGAACTCAGGTAGGACATTCACACTCAGAGGTGTCCTACTCAGTCTAAGCTTCTAGTGACAAAGCTTCTAATCACACATGAGGAAAATGCCCCTGCTGGTCTCACACTCTGGGAGCAAGAGTTCTCCCTCATGCAAAGCAAGAATCCTTCTGGATGCTTTCATGCTGCTCACCCGCTTTTGAATGGCTTTGCTATGTGTGGGCCACTTTCAAGACAGTTACATAGAGCAGAGCATTTTCTCTCCAGCCTCCTTTACAACTAAAGCCAGGTATGTGATCCAGGCTCCATCACTGCTGGGAAGGGCAGCAGTAGAGGCATCTGGCTTCAGGGGAAGCAGTGATTGCAGGATTACGTTCCTCCTGCAGAGGGGCATTTTCCTCATGTATGATTTGAAGCTTTGTCACTAGAACTTAGACTGAGCTCTCTAGTCCTCCCAGTTCCACAAGCTACCCAATGTCATTTTAATTAACTTCCTTTCCTATTCTTTAAACCAGCGTCAGCTTCTGTTGCTTGCAGCTAAGAATGCTGAATGCAGTCTAATCCACATTTGCCTCAGCTGTCATTTCTTGAGATCCTAATGACAACAGCTTTCATTTGTTCAGTGCTTACAATGGTGCCTGGAACTGTGCTAGGAGCTTTATATTGCATTGTCTCATGAAATTCTCATAATGACACTGCAAGGTAAGTACTGTTTCTAGTGAATTTATCTTCCCATTTATAGTGGGGGAAAACCGAGGTATCAAGGCATCAGAGGATTTGTCCACAGGCTTACAAGAGGGTACTAAAGTGTTGTGACAGTAGACCAGTTCTTGGATTCCAAGGGGAATGTGGGAGTCCGGAAGAAATCTTTGCGCTCTGCTCTCCATGCTGGGGGGTGCAGAACTCTAAGCAGGTCATTTTGTCTCCATGACATTCTCTTCTCTGAGGTAAGAATCAGTAACACCCATCTAATCTGGAGATGGTGAAATAAAGACAAAAATATTTTACTGTCCAAGAAGGATTTTTCCAGGACAACAGCAGAGGTAGTTGACAATGGTACATATTGTTACCCCACAAAGAGGGTCTCTGAAACCCACTGGGGAACATGGGGTGGAAATGGATGCAGAGCAAAAGAAGCTGCAAGCCTGAGTTTGACTAAAACCCTCAGTGCACAGGCCTGCATCACAAATACGTTTTAATACAGGTAATTTCTTTTCCATTCATTTGTAAGCACTTATTTCATTTACCCAATTCCAAGGCCAATAAATCTTGGCATTAAGGCTGATTTGATGTGTATGCTGACAGTCTAATTAAGGATAGGGTATTTTATCAGCTCCTCTAAATTTTCATTTCTCTGGTCTATGATTTTTTTATACTGGGTTGATCTTTTTTTTATTCATAAGGGCTTCATTCCCATTTGTCATGGCTGCATTAACTGGGCATCTAATGAAGACTTGGATATGAAAGTCTGCATCTCATTTATCCTCTGTAGCAAAATTAATAAAGCAGCAGGAAAACAGTTTCCTGTACTGGAACTTCTTTAGCCCATCCTGAGTCATATAAAATGTATTTTGCTTGTGTTTTCCAGAATTTGGGCTCAGCTCTAAACTTTAGGAGATGGTGTCCAACTTCAACTTCCATCCACTGACAGGCCTTACATACCCTGCTTCCTGCCCCACCTATTGCTTGGAGATCGAGTAATCAAGTGAAAATGAGGTCTTTCAGGTGGGACTCTTCTGCTTGAAGAGGCTTGAACTGGAATGGCTGGGAGCTGATTTTCCCACTCATCCCCTCTACCCACATTTATTGAGCTTCTTCTACAGGTCAAGCTCAGAGACATAAAAGACTCAAGAAGGTCACAGTCAAATTAAGTTATGACACCAATGTTGGCCAATGTCCAGTGAAAGAAAAATATCTTGGCCAAAGATCAAGGTTGGGAGCAAGCTGGAAAGATCATTTGCTCTATCCTTTTGCCTCGGGGAGGGTGACCCTCCCAGCCAGTGCTTGAATGAAGGGCTGCCAAAAGTCTGTGATATTTTTGACTTGCAGACTTTATGGGTATACGAACAGATATATCCACAAAGGTTTCCTAGGGCTGCCATAACAAACTGGGTGGCCTAACCAACATGAATTTATTGTCTCACAGTGCCAGAGGGTAGCAGTCCAAAATCAAGGTGTCAGTGAGGTTGCTTCCTTCTGAGGGCTGTTAGGGAAGGATCTGTTCCAGGCCTTGGCTATAGATGACTATCTGTTCTTTATGTCTCTTCACACCATCTTCCCTCTATGTACATCTGTGTCCAAATTTCCCCTTTTTATGAGGACACCAGCCATACTGGACTAAGGCCCACCCTAACAACCTCATTTTCACCTGATTACCTCTGTAAAGGTCCTATCTCCAAATATGGTCACATTCTGAGGTACTGGGGGTTAGAACTTTGACATATGAATTTTGGGGAGACATAATTCAACCCATAACAATGAGTATCTCTGAAGCTGGTTGAACTAAAGCTCTAAGACAGCCTCTTGTAGTACAGTATAGTTAGAACACCAGAAAGAAAGTTAAGAATCCGAAGTTAAAGGTCCAAATTAGTCCCTTCCCCTCTCTGAGCCTCAGATTTCTTCTCTGTACAATAAGAGATCTGGACTGGGCCTGCTAAATCCCCTCACAGTTCTCGGGTTGTGTGGTTGATGAAGTGATAGAAATTGAAGCAGTGTCGTGGGGAAGTTAATGGTCAGGCTCCACCACTTACAAGCACAGTGATCTTCAGCAAATATTTATCTTCTGAGCCTCAGGGTTTTGTGTTTTTGTTGTTGTTGTTGTTGTTTTTAACTGTAAAAGGGGGATAGTGATGTTAGCTACTTCAAAAATGCTGTGAGGACCGAGAGACCCTTTGAATTGCCTGGCACGCTGTTGTCACTCCATGTATATGAACTGCTGATGATATTACTACCAATCGCTATTAGGAGTTAGGCTTTGAATCTATGGCTCAGCTCTCAGATGGTGTCCACTATTAGAAGGCAGGGCTGTGTCCCCAACCTGTTCTGCATCTGGGTCCTGTGCTGCAGCATGAATGCAGTAAGATGCTTTTGCCAGCAAGACTCTAGTGATCCTTGTGACAGGCCTGTCCCCATTTCCACCTTATGCAAATTCTACCCTATTCCATTCTAGCCCAGCTCCTTCACATTCATATTAGGGTTAGGACTAGAGTTTCAGGTGACTTTTTTTCTTGCTGTATTTTATCATTTTTATGCTATAGAAAAGTCTAATAAAAAGAATAAAATATACTGATTTAACATAGCTTTATAAAGCAGGTCGGCAAATCTAGCCCTGCAATTACAGCGGGATAATTTAGGAATCAGAGAGACTGAGGGGTTGAGGAGGATATATGTTATTTATTATTTAGGTGCACCAAGCCAGTCAGATTAACATCCAAAGGACTGAGCCCCGAACAAAGAGTTAAGTTACCTTTAAAGCATTTCATGGGGCAGGGGGAGATCTGTGCGAAGGGAAGCATATTACAGAAGCGAGAAATAGTTATTCATTTGACACATGCATTACATTATTTCTTACTTTTCAAGGAAAAACATGTTTTATGGCTTGAGTTTATCTGCCTAGTGACCTTGCAGCTGCACAGCTAGAGAAACAGGGTCTTCACAATGCCTGGGAAAGGGAGAGATAAGGCTCACTAGCCACAGACAGAAAAACAAGCAGATAATTTTTAAAGGACTCCACCTCTTTCTCTTTCTCAGGGGGAATTGGTTTTTTTAAAACATAAACTGAGTTTTTGCTTATGCATTTTTAAATTTCTTTCAATTCCTGTTTCACAATCCCCCTCTCCCGTAAATGCCAGACCACTTGAGGTCTGTGCCAATCATTTGGCTCTTACCTTCACTGAACTATTAGTTATTCTCTCAGATGTGTCCTCACCTAGATTATAAGCAACTTGAGGAAACAAACAGGTCTTCTTACTCAAATTTAACAAAACTTACTTGTTGACTTCCACAATGCACCAGCCCCTCTTACATAAGGTATCTCATATAATCCTCCCCACAACCTGATGAGGCAGATAATGGTACCCCCACATCACAAATGAGCCCCCTGAGATTCAAAGTTCCCATGGATAGTCAGTGGCCAAGCCAGGATCCCAATTTACATCTGACTTCAAGGCCACCAACCTAGCATAATGCTGTCCTCACCCATGCTCCGCCAGCTCCACAAACCCGTGGATTCCTTTCCCTCACCCCAGAACCTTCTGAATAGGGTTTTCTGTGGCCTTGGTGCCCCCTGGTGGCACATGAGGGCTCATTCCACTGAAAGCCCGTGACCCTAAGCATTTGAGAGTGATTCACAGGCCAGTGTGGATAGCCCTGGGGTAGCAGAGCCCTCCGTACCCATAGGAAAGCTACCCTTTCTACCAGAGCTGTGCTTCTTAAACAGACCCTCAGGAGGATTCTACTTCTGATGAGTCAACAAAAGGAGTTAGGGTCCCCTGGGCCAGCAGCAGTGAGATGGCCTACAGGGTCTGTGTTTCCCTCTCTACTTATCCCCCACTTCCCATCAGGACATGTGGGCTTGGGTATTCTCTGCTGGACCCTCCTGGCATTTTAATTTTCCAAGAGCTCATTTATGAAAGAGGGAAGAAAGAAGAGGAGAAGGTGGTTAAAGTTCAGGACCTAAATTTCTTTACCTTAGAGTAAAGGTAACCATAGAGTTCCTTTCCCAAAAGACATCAAGACTCTTCAATAAATATTTGTTGAATTTTTGTCATGCTCTGTTGCACTAGGGATGCAGAGATGAAGACACTCTTCCTGTCAATGAAAAGTAAACGTAAGGGCTGGGTGCTGTAGCTTATGCCTGTAATCCCAGCATTTCGTGAGGCCAAGGAGAGCAAATTGCAGGAGTTCGAGACCAGCCTGGCAACATGGCAAAACCCCATCTCTACAAAAAATACAAAAAATTTAGCTACACATGGTAGTGTACACCTGTAGTCCCAGCTACTCAGGAGGATGAATCACGAGCTCAGGAGGCAGAGGTTGCAGTGAGCCAAGATTGTGCCACTGCACTCCAGCCTGGGTGATAGAGTAAAACCCTGCCTCAAAAAGAAAAGAAAAAAAAAAGAATAAGAATTAAAAAGAGAAAAGAATGAACTTTTTCAAAAGTAAACATAAAAAATTACAATATAATGAAACAAATGCTCTAATACGGATGTCATGGAACTTTTCCTGTCACCCCAGAAATGGTTGCCAGCACTCAAAACTAAGAACAAAGAATTGTTAAATACCCCACAAGCTAAAGAAAGTAGAAAACAAGGGTCAGATACTTTCCCCAACCATCACTCCAGCCCCTAGCACTTGCCCAATTTATATATACTATTCCTCTCCCATTGCCTACTTGCACAGGGGCAAGACAGCAGCAGGGCAGAGAAAGCGGGGGTGGTAAGGAGTAGCCTGCTCTCTCACCTCCCATGTGGCAAGGACATGTGAGCCAGCTATCATCCTCTTCCTACTTGATTTCCCTTCAAAGGCCTTCCTTATAGCTTAAAAAGCAATCGCCAGTCTTTCGGAGAATCCTTTTTTTTTTTTGAGACAGGGTCTCATTCTGTCACCCAGGCTGGAGTGCAGTTGTGCAATCTCAGCTCACTGCAGCCTCAACCTCCCGGGCTCAAGTGATCCTCCCACCTCACACAAAGTACTTGAGACCACAGGTGCGCATCACCATGCCCAGCTAATTTTTGTGCTTTGGTAGAGACAGGGTCTCCCCACGTTGGCTAGGCTGGTCTCAAACTCCTGGGCTCAAGCCATCCGCCCACCTAGGCCTCCCAAAGTGCGGGGATTACAGGCGTAAACCACCATACCAGGCCTGAAAACTACCATGCCTGGCCTGAGAATCCTTTAATCACTGATCTAGCTTTGAGATAATTTGAGATATCCTTGGGCTACACTGGCCAATACTGTGGCCACTAGCCACAGGTGGCTGCTGAGCACTTGAAATGCGGCTGGTCTGAATTGAAATGTGCTGCTAACTGAAAAATATACCCTGGATTTTGAAGACAGTACTGGAGAAAAAATATAAAATATCTCATTAGTATTTTATCAATCACAAGTTGAAATAATATTTTGAATATATTGTTTGAATAAATAAAATGTTATTAAAATTAGTTTCATCTGTTTTACTTTTTTTTGAGACAGTCTCACACTGTAGCACAGCCTGGAGTGCTGTGGCTCAATCTCGGCTCACTGCAACCTCCAGCTCCCGAGTTCAAACGATCCTCCTGCCTCAGCCTCCTGAGTAGCTGGGACTACAGGCACGCACCATCACACCCAGCTAATTTTTGTATTTTTAGTAGAGATGGGGTTTCGCCATGTTGGCCAGGCTGGTCTCAAACTCCTGACCTCAACTGATCCACCCATCTCGGCCTCCCAAAGTGCTAGGATTACAGGCGTGAGCCACTGCACCCTGCCCTGTTTTACTTTTTTTTTTTTTTTTTTTTTTTTTTTGAGACAGAGTCTCGCTCTGTCGCCCAGGCTGGAGTGCAGTGGCGCGATCTCGGCTCACTGCAAGCTCCGCCTCCCAGGCTCACACCATTCTCCTGCCTCAGCCTCCTGAGTAGCTGGGACCACAGGCGCCCACCACCACACCCGGAGAATTTTTTGTATTTTTAGTGGAGACAGGGTTTCACCGTGTTAGCCAGGATGGTCTCAATCTCCTGACCTCGTGATCCACCCGCCTCGGCCTCCCAAAGTGCTGGGATTACAGGCGTGAGCCACCGCGCCCGGCTGTTTTACTTTTTTTAATGTGGCCACTAGACTATATTGCCCAGGCTGGACTTGAACTCCTGGGCTCAAGGGATCCTCCTGCCTCAGCCTCCTGAGTAGCTGGGATTATAGGCACGTGCCATTTCACCAGGCAGTACTTATGTTTTCTAATGCTAAGTTTTAAACTGCTTTTTCTAAAACTTATATGGCCTGTACTGTGTTACCCCTAACTTAACATGAATAATTTCTCTAGAGCAGGAGTCCAAGACCCCTGAATTATAACATTCAAACTGGAATTTTGGCTGGGTGCAATGGCTCATGCCTATAATCCCAGCACTTTGGGAGGCTGAGGTGGGCGGATCGCTTGAGGTCAGGAGTTTGAGACCAGCCTGGCCAACATGGTGAAACCCCATCTCTACTAAAAGCACAAAAATTAGCCACGTGTGGTGGTGCATGCCTGTAATCCCAGCTACTCGGGAGGCTGAGGCAGAAGAATCGCTTGAACCAGGAGGCAGAGGTTGCAGTGAGCTGAGACGGCGCCACTGCACTCCAGCCTGGGCGATAGAGCAAGACTCTGTCTCAAAAAAATAAAGAAATAAACAAACTGGAATTTCAAGGAAGCTGCAAGCTTCACTATGACAGCTGCGGAATAAAAAGGGACTCTGAATGCCAGTGCAGTGTATTGGACTTTGGTTCAATACCAAAGTCTGGTATCTTCCGATCTGGGAGCTGGGCCCCAGATTGGAAGGTAGGCTGTGAGTAAAAAGCTGGAGGTGACAGAGTTGGAAGAAACTTAGTGCAAGGAATGATCCACAGAGGGGGTGAGGCTTACCAATTTGAGTAAATTAGCACCACTTTTTCGGGAGGCAATTTGTAAGTATGTATCAAGAGTCTTAAAAAATGATCATGTCCTTTAACCCAGTCATTCCATTTCTAGTAACTTATAAGGAAATTTTAAAACTGCACAGATATTTAGCTATGAGGATATTCAACCAGCATTGTAATAGCTAAAACAAAAAACAAACAAAAGCAAAAAAAAAAAAAAAAGTCCAAGTACAGTGGCTCACCTGCAATCTCAGCGCTTTGGGAAGCCAACGAGGGAGGGTCACTTGAGACTGGGCTACACACTGAGACTCCATCTCTACAATTTTTTTTTTAATTAGCTAGGTGGGGTGGCGGGTCCCTGTAGTCCCAGCTTCTTGGGAGGCTGAGGTGGGAAGATCGCTTGAACCTAGAAGGCTGAGGCTGGACTAAGCCATGATAGTGCCACTGCACTCCAACCTTAATCCACAATTAAGATACAGCTATAAAATGGAATATTTTGCAACTACTACAAAGGATGTAAGTGAAAACTTGACATGGAAAGACATTTATTCTAAACTCTGTAAAGAAGGCCAGCTACAGAATTGTACCTCCAGTATGTATGTCAATTTTGCTTACAAAACAAACAAAACAAAAAAAACCATGCTAGGCGTGGTGACTCAGCCTGTAATCACATTTTGGGAGGCTGGAGTGGGAGGATCTGTTGAAGCAAGGAGTTTAAGACCAGCCTGGACAACACAGCGAGACCCCCATCTCTACAAAAAAACGTAAAAATTAGCCAGACATGATGGCTCGAGGCTGTGGTCCTAGCCAGTCGAGAGGCTGAGAGGTGAGGATAGCTTGAACCCAGGACGTCCGGGTTGCAATGAGCTATAATCGTTCTACTGCACTACAGCCTGGGTAACAGAGCAAGACCCTGTCCCCCAAAAAATTTATTTTAAAAAGGCAAACGAAAAAACATTAAAAGTATACATTTACAAAGACAACTATCTGAAAGGATATTCTCCAAGAAGTTAAAAGTCGTCTTTGGACAGTGGGGCCATAGATGTTTTCCTATTTTTACCAGCTTTATAATTAATTTTTAAAAGTTATTTTCAAGTAGTCCTACCCAGTCTTCCTTACGAGTTAGGACTCAAATGCCACTCTCTTCCCCTAAACTGTCCTGAGTCCCCTCACCATAATAAGCACCAATGTCTTCGTTAAAATCCCGACACTGCCAACACTCAGCTAGGGGGTTGAACCTTGCTCCATCTCGTCCTTTAGTCTCTGTGTGCGTCTTTCCCCCTACAAGCCTACTGACCCCCTCCAAGAGGTCCCGTGTCTTCCCCGTACTTGCCCCACAGGCTAGATCAGACCCTGTCTGACCCCTGGGTTATTGTAAAACTTAAGATCTGTCCCCTAGGTCTCGGAGTCGGTTGAACTAGGGTCCAAAGGTTAAAAAACACTGACACAAAATGCCAGGCCACGAACTGAAGCACTGAGGCCCGGCTGCAGACCTCTCCCGAGAGGGGAATAATCCGTGCCGGCCGGTTCCGCCATGGAGCCAGGTGCAGGTCACCTCGACGGTCACCGCGCGGGGAGCCCAAGCCTTCGTCAGGCTCTGTGCGACGGAAGCGCAGTGATGTTTTCCAGTAAAGAACGCGGACGTTGCACCGTGATCAATTTTGTCCCTTTGGAGGCGCCGTTACGGTCCACGCCCCGCTCGCGTCAAGTGACTGAGGCCTGTGGTGGAGAAGGACGTGCCGTGCCGCTGGGTTCTGAGCCGGAGTGGTCGGTGGGTGGGATGGAGGCGACCTTGGAGCAGCACTTGGAAGACACGTGAGTAGTGCGCGCCTCTTCGGCCTGTCCTGAGGTCGCGGCGGAGGAACTTGAGCGGAACGAAAGGCGCGAGCTGCGAGTACCGGCCAGGGCGTCTCGGGGACGTCGCGCGACCCCCGGGACACGGGATGAGGGGGCTAAACTCTACCCAAGGCCGCAGGGCGGGGCGGGTGACCCGGAATTAAAATCCTGCCGGGCACCGCACATTCCCTCTTGAGCGAGTCTCCCGGGCCCAGGCCACGGGCCAAAACTGCCTATCTCGTTGTTGAAATCGTCTTTACGGTCAGGGTGGTTCTGCGGAAGTTTTAGAAAACGGGTTGACTTTTGGGAAGATTGTGCCAGTTGTGCAGTGTCGAGCCCTGCAGTGTAAACAAACACGTATCTCCTGTGTGTAACCTATCAGTTACTTGGTGCTTAAGTAGATAAAAATCATTCTTTAAATTTTTCGAACAAGCAGTATCTATGTAAAATTCAAAACTGGAAAAGTGTAAAGGGTACAGAGAGACACCTGCCTCCCACCGATGTCCCTCAGCTTCCACTTACCCTCCAGGAGGTAACTTGAGTTTTTCAACAGTTGTTTTAAATGAGTTAGTACTAAAACATGCGTTTTTAACAAGAGTGAAAACATCCTAGATGTTTTTCACGCAGTGTTTGTGGCCCTCCAGAACTCAGCAGTACTTAGCACATTTTTTTCTCTCATCAGAGAGAAACTGGTTTATTTCAATTAATTAACTAGAACTTAAATTTTTTGTGTTCTTTTTTTGAGACGGAATTTCGCTCGTCTTCCAGGCTGGAGTGCAATGGCGTGATCTCGGCTCACTGCAACCTCCGCCTCCCAGGTTCAAGCGATTCTCTTGCCTCAGCCTCCCGAGTAGCTGGGATTACAGTCATGCGCCACCACGCCTGGCTAATTTTGTATTTTTAGTAGAGACGGGGTTTCTCCATGTTGGTCAGGCTGGTCTTGAACTCCCGACCTCAGGTGATCCGCCCACCTGGGCCTCCCAAAGTGCTGGGATTACAGGCGTGAGCAACCGCGCCCGGCCCTAGAACTTAATTTTTTTCTTAGGGTGTGACAATGAAAAAAGATTGAGAAATATTGATTTAAAGCACTTAATGCCTGGTACATAGAACACCTGTATGTTTGTACTTATTTAAATCCTTTTTCTCCCATTATGTACTTCAACTCTCTTGTGTTCCTGGAATTAGAATGAAGAATCCCTCCATTGTTGGAGTCCTGTGCACAGATTCACAAGGACTTAATCTGGGTTGTAAGTATCTCTCATACCAACTATTTGATGAATTGCATAGCATCTGATGTTGACTTGGAGCCTAGCGTGCTATTATTTTCTAGCTTTTATTTCCTGTTACCTTGCCAGGTCTTTCTGAGTTTGAGAGTAGAGATTATCTCCAAATAACAGTATCAGAAAATTGAAACTTTTCAGTTGGTATTTATGAAGGAAGATGTTCCTTGCAGTCCTATAACAATAAATAGTTGTCTCTACTAAAAATAATATTTGAATCATTTTAAATTGAGTCTAGAAAGGACTTCAGATAATAACAGCTGTTAACCATTTATTGAATGTATGCCATATGCTGAGACTGCTAGGCTCTAAATACATTATCTTTAATTTTCACAACAACCCGGCAAGGTGGGTGGTGTACAATTTTGAAGCTCAACTACACTAAACAAGAAGTGAATAGGCAGTAAAATGGGATTTCAGTGTTGGACATACCTGGTCTCAATCCCTTGCTCTTTCATTTGTTAGTAGTGTGAACGTGGACCAAAAAACTACCTTTTAGGCCCTCATTTTCTTCACTGGGTTGTTATTTGATAATGGTAATAATCATAGAATTATATTTATTGAGCTGTTATGTGCCAAGCACCATTGTAAGTGCTTTACATATACTCTTTTATTCCTCATAACAACCCAGTGAGGTAGAAAAAGAAATTGAGGGACCAGGTGCAGTGTCTCACGCCTGTAATCCCAGCACTTTGGGAGACCAAGGTGGGCAGATCACTTGAGCCCAGGAGTTCAAGACCAGCCTGTGCAACACAGTGAGACCCCCCATCTCTATTTTTACAATAAACATATATATATGTTTTTAAAATTTAAAAAAAGAGGCCGGATGCGGTGGCTCACACCTGTGATCCCAGCACTTTGGGAGGCGGAGGCGGGTGGATCACCTGAGGTCAGGAGTTCGAGACTAGCCTGGCCAACATGGTGAAACCACATCTCTACTAAAAATGCAAAAAAAAATTAGCCAGGCATGGTAGCAGGTGCTAGTAATCCCAGCTACTCGGGAGGCTGAGGCAGGAGAATCGCTTGAACCTGGGAGGCAGAGGTTGCAGTAAGCCGAGATTGCACCATTGCACTCCAGCCTGGATGACAAGAGCGAGACTCTGTCTCAAAAAATAAAAAAAGAAACTGAGACACAGAGGTTAAATAACTTGCCTGAGGTCATGCAGCTAGTAAGTCGTTAAGCTAGGATTTTTGTCTGGCCCTGAGGCCTCTTAATCACTTTTTTTTTTTTTTTTTTGAGACGAAATCTTGCTCTGTCGCCCAGGCTAGAGTGCAGTGGCACGATCTTGGCTCACTGCAACCTCCATTTCCCAGGTTCAGGCAATTCTCCTGCCTCAGCCTCCTGAGTAGCTGGGATTACAGGCGCCTGCCACCACGCCCAGATAATTTTTGTATTTTTAGTAGATACAGGGTTTCACTATGTTGGCCAGGCTGGTCTCGAACTCCTTATCTCAGGTGATCCACCCACCTCCGCCTCCCAAAGTGCGGGATTACAGGAATGAGCCACTACACCCGGCCTAATCACGATATTTTAAGGTTATATAATATGTATAAAATGCTTACATAGAACTGAGACATAATACTTAATAAATGGTAGCAATTACACATGAGGAAATAAGTTTGGAAAGGTAAATAAGTAAAGCATTCAGTTAATTAGTGACAACTAGTAAACCCAAGACTTGTTGCTCCTAATGCAGGAATGTTTAAAGCTCTGAATTTTTGCTGGAAGGGTAACTGAAAGAGGTAATCGGTGTAACTCAGTTATGTTTAACATGCAGATCAGTCATTTGGGAGAAAAAGGGTAAATTTTTGGAAGCATTTGCTAGGCTTACTAATGGAAAGACTGAAATTCAGGTATGGAAATCTAAAACTAAATGAGTTCCTTCAAGAAACCTTCAAGGCTCAAACGTCGGCATCGGATCTGGTCAAAATGTTTTGTATAGTAATAGTACATCCAAATGCTCTGCCATAGTGGCATGTCTATTACCTGATTTGGTTTCAGGTACAGTTAACTTTGTGTTGCCTTTATATACAGAAATATATTGTAAAGTACACTTAGTAATTAATTTTCGTACCTAGAATTTATAGGTACTTTTGTACCCGAGATTTAGTTACTATAATATATACAGACTAATACAGACATTAATAAAAAGACAATTCTGTAGACATTTTAAAACAGCCAGCTAGCTTATTTTAGCAGAAATACTCTATGAGCAATCAGGTGACATATATCATCTCTATTTTCCAGGCCGCGGGACCCTGTCAGATGAGCATGCTGGAGTGATATCTGTTCTAGCCCAGCAAGCAGCTAAGCTAACCTCTGACCCCACTGATATTCCTGTGGTGTGTCTAGAATCAGATAATGGGTGAGTAGATTTCAGCAGATCCTTTCCTTTTTGTTCAGAAAAATTCCTGGTAAAATTGGCGGGGGCCGGCCCTGTGTTCATCAGTGATTCCTTATTCAGACTACTTTGGGAAAAGTTCTTAATCTTTTGAATCACAGGAACAGACAAGTTGATCCCTAAAGCTAATGTGCTCTCAGGCCACAATGCTATTTAAATGAAGAATAAGAATTGGCAGAAGCTATCAGTTTACCAACAAAAAGAAAGTAACAAATAGCACAAAGGAAAACTAATCAGAGAATAAAAATTACTTTTTTTTTTTTTCTTTTTGAGGCAGGGTGTTGCTCTGGCACCAGGCTGGAGTACAGTGGTGTGATCATGGGTCACTGTGACTTCAACCCCACCGGGCTCAAGCGATTCACCCAACTCAGCCTCCCGAGTTGTAGCTGAGACTACAGGTGTACACTACCACACCCAGCTAATTTTTGTATTTTTTTGTAGAGATGAGGTTTCACCATGTTTCCCAGGCTGGTCTCGAACTCCTGGGCTCCAGTAATTTGCCCGCCTCAGCCTCCCAAAGTGCTGGGATTACAGGAATGAGTCACTGCACCCAGCCAAAAATTACTTCTAAAGCAATAAAATTACTAAAGATATTCCAAGTGATGGTCCTCAGAATAATATGTGAAAAAAAGTATATATATACAACTGCTACTATCACAGCCTTGTAAAAAGAAAAAACATACAGTCATGCATTGCTTAACAATGGGGATATGTTCTGAGAAATGTGTCAGGCAGTTTTGTTGTATGAACATCATAGAGTGTACTTAAACCTAGGTGGTACACCCTATTACACACCTAGGCTGTATTGCTCTTAGACTACAAAGATTTGTAGCCTAAATAATGTAGGCAGTTATAACAGTGGTATTTATGTATCTAAACGTAGAGAAGATACAGTAAAAGTATGGTATAGGGAAATTTTTTAAAAGGTATATCTGAATAGGGCACTTACCATAATGGAGCTTACAACACTGGAAGTTGCTCTGAGTGAGTCAATAAAACTTTTTGACTTTATAATAACACTTAAAACAGTTGTACAGCTGTACAAAAATTCTTTTTTTAAACTTTTTTACTTTTTAGACTTTTTTGTTAAAAGCAAAGAAGAAACACACATTAGCCTAGGCCTGCACAGGGTCAGGATCATCAATATCACTGGCTTCTATCTCCACATCTTCTCCCACTGGAAGGTCATCCAGGGCAGTAACATGCATGGAGTTGTCATCTCCTGTAATGATGATACCTTCTGGAATACCTCCTAAAGGACCTGTCTGAGGCTGTTTTATAGTTAACCTTGTCTTAATAAGTAGGAGTAGTATACTCTAAAATAATGATAAAAAGTAGGCCCGGCATGGTGGCTCACACTTGTAATCCCAGCACTTTGGGAGGCCAAGGCGGGCAGATCACTTGAGGTAAGGAGTGTGAGACAGCCTAACCAACATGGTGAAACCCTGTCTCTACTAAAAATACAAAAATTAGGCATGGTGGCAGGCACCTGTAATCCTAGCTACTCAGGAGGCTGAGGCAGGAGAATTGCTTGAACCCGGGAGGCAGAGGTTGCAGTGAGCTGAGATCACGCCACTGCCCTCCAGCCTGGGCAACAGAGCAAGACTCCGTCTCAAAAAAAAGAAAAAAAGTATAGTAAATACATAAACCATAGCATAGTCATTTATTATTATCAAGCGTTACGTACTGTACATAATTGTATGTGCTATACTTTTTATGACTGGCAGCACAATTTGTTTACACCAGCATTACCACAAACATGTGAGTAGTGTGTTGTGCTATGTGATGCTGGGACGGTTAAAAGGTCACTAGGCAATAGGAATTTTTCAGTTCCATTATAATCTTACGGGACCACCATCATATGTAGGGTCCACTGTTGACTGAAGCATTGTTATGCAGCACATGACTGTATCATATACATGCAAAGAAAACAAAGACCAGTAAAGCCTTTTTTTTGTAGTTCCAGCTACTGAGGTGGCTGAAGCAGGATTGCTTGAGCCCAGGAGTTTGAGGCCAGCTTGGGCAACATAGCAAGACAGTGCCTAAAAAACCGAAACAAAGAACCAGGGAAATATTAACAGTGGTTGTCTGTGTGTAGTAGGATTAAGGATTCATTTCGTGTTCACATGCTATATGTTTATGTATTTCCCAAATGTTTTGTTATGTTTAAATATTGCTTTTATACGTAGAAACAATTACATTATTTTAAATATTGTATCCTAAAGCAAACAACATCTTTAATCTTGCAGTGAAGTCCCACTGATTACGTTTTACTGAATATTTTCTTCCTGCATTTCAGGAACATTATGATCCAGAAACACGATGGCATCACGGTGGCAGTGCACAAAATGGCCTCTTGATGCTCATATCTGTTCTTCAGCAGCCTGTCATAGGAACTGGATCCTACCTATGTTAATTACCTTATAGAACTACTAAAGTTCCAGTAGTTAGGCCATTCATTTAATGTGCATTAGGCACTTTTCTGTTTATTTAAGAGTCAATTGCTTTCTAATGCTCTATGGACCGACTATCAAGATATTAGTAAGAAAGGATCATGTTTTGAAGCAGCAGGTCCAGGTCACTTTGTATATAGAATTTTGCTGTATTCAATAAATCTGTTTGGAGGAAAATGGATCTTTTCTAGATTCTTTAAACTTAACCAAATGTTCCTTTTGTTCAGTTATCAAACTGTAATTTTTTTAAAAGGTCTTTGTTCTAAATTACTTTTGTTTAAGAAGCTTCCTGAAATACCTACATTCTCACAGGTATGTCCATGGATCCCACCCCTGTGCAGTCAGAAATCTACATGTAACTTTTGACCCCTCAGTAGCCTACTGACTTAAACAGTAACACGAGTTTTCTATGTTTTACGTTTTCGTTTTTTGTTTTGTTTTGTTTTGTTTTTTTCAGTAGACAGAGTCCTGCTCTGTCGCCAGGCTGGAGTGCAGTGGTGCGATCTCAGCTCACTGCAAGCTCCGCCTCCTGGGTTCAAGCGATTCTCCTGCCTCAGCCTCCAGAGTAGCTGGGACTACAGGCGCACGACACCACACCTGGCTGATTTTTGTATTTTTAGTAGAGATGGGGTTTCGCCATGTTGGCCAGGATCGTCTCGATCTCCTGACCTCGTGATCCACCCGCCTCAGCCTCCGAAAGTGCTGGGATTATAGGCAATGAGCCACCGCACCCGGCTGTTTTATGTATTATATACTATATTCTTAGAGTAAAGTAAGCTAGAAAAAATGTTATTAAAACTATGAAGATAAAATATATTCAATATTCATTAAGTAGAAGTGGATCATTATAAAAGGTCTATATTTGTCATCTTCACATTGAGTAGGCTGAAAAGGAGGGTTTGTCTCACTGTCTCAGGGGTGACAGAGGTGAAAGAAAATTCATGTGTAAGTGGACCCGTGTTGTTCAAGGATCAAGTATACTATATGCCAGGAACTCATTTAATTATCCTTAACAACCCTATACAGTAGGTACTCTTACTTACCCTATCTATCTTAGGTTTGTGTAACTAAGGCTATGAAATTACCAGTCATCATTTGAACTCGGGACTCCAATTCAGTCTGTACTTTTTTTTTTTTTTTTTTTTTTTTTTTGAGACGGAGTTTCGCTCTGTTGCCCAGGCTGGAGTGTAGTGGCACGATCTCAGCTCACTGCAAGCTCCGCCTCCTGGGTTCACGCCATTCTCCTGCCTCAGCCTCCCGAGTAGCTGGGACTACAGGTGCCCTCCACCACACCCGGCTAATTTTTTGTCTTTTAGTAGAGATGGGGTTTCACTGTGTTAGCCAGGATGGCCTCAATCTCCTGACCTCATGATCCACCCGCCTCAGCCTCCCAAAGTGCTGGGATTATAGGCATGAGCCACCGCACCCAGCTGAGTCTGTACTCTTTAACACCCAGACCACCAAATAGGACATGTTGGCTAGAAAATAAATTTTTACATTTGAAAAGGTCTAGCTGGGCACAGTGACTCATGCCTGTAATCCCAACACTTTGGGAGGTCAAGGCAGGAGGATGGCTTAAGCCAAGACCAGCCTGGGCAACATAGTGTGACCCCATCTCTACAAAAAATGTTTTTTTTTTAATTAACCAGGCATGGTGGCATGGGCCTGTAGTCCCAGCTACTTGGGAGGCTGAGGCAGGAGAATCACTTGAGCCCAGAAGGTTGACGTTGATGTGCCACTGCACCCTAGCCTGGGTGACAGAGCAAGCCACTGTCTCAAAAAAAAAAAAAGGTTCGCTTCAACCTTTATAGTTCTCAACGGAATTGTGCACAAGCAGGCACAAAAGACTGATTTGTTGAACTTGAATGTAGTTCTGTTGCTCTAGCGATTTAACATTTGACAGTATAAAAACCTCCAGGATATTATTTATCCAAAAATATTAAGCATCTACAAATATAAGGTGCTATGTGAGAAAGCAAAGATTTTTAGTAAGACATAGCTCCAGCCCTTGAGCTTGTACTTTAATAAATGGGATATATATGTATGGTCTTCACCATACTTATTAATACCTGACATACATGTTGTTTTATGTCTGATTTCCCCAATAATGTACACACTTTGAGGGCAAAAGCTTTGTCTTTTTTTTTTTTTTTTTTTGAGACAGTCTCGCTCTGTCACCCAGGCTGGAGTGCAGTGGCACAATCTCGGCTCACTGCAACCTCCGCCTCCCGGGTTCAAGTGATTTTTGTGCCTCAGCCTCCCGAGTAGCTGGGACTACAGGTACACGCCACCACGCCCAGCTAATTTTTGTATTTTTAGTAGAGACAGTGTTTTGCCATGTTGGGCCAGCTGGTCTCAAACTCTTGGCCTCAAACGATCCACCTGCCTCGGCTTCCCAAGTGCTAGGATTTCAGGCGTGAGCCACCGCACCCAGCCCCTTAGTCTTATTTACATATATATCTTAAGCACCTAGAACAGTTCCTAGAACAGAGTAGGCACTGAATAATTGCTGAATAGATGAGTATATAACTAGTACAAGAGGTTTTCTTTATTTTTTTGTTTTTGAGACAGGGTCCTGCTCTATCGCCCAGGCTGGAGTGCAGGGACACAATCTTGACTCACTGCAACCTCTGCTTTCCCAGGTGCAAGAGATTCTTGTGCCTCAGCCTCCCGAGTAGCTGGGGCTACAGGCGCACACCACCACGTCTGGCTAATTTTTGTACTTTTAGTAGAGACAGGGTTTTGCTGTGTTGCCCAGGCTGGTCTTGAACTCCTGACCTCAAGCAATCCTCCCGCCTCGGCCTCCCAAGGTGCTGGGATTACAGGTGTGAGCAACCATGCCTGGCCCCACAAAAGAGTTTTGTAGTATGAACTGAGCCTCCAAAGATAGAATGAATGGATGCTTGCAGTAAAAGGAATATGGGGTTTCCAGCAAGAGGAAATGGCAGTGTGAAGAGTGGATAAACCAAAAGGAATATGTAATAGCAAATGCCTTAGTTTGGTCTGTGAGGTAGGAAGTGAAAAAGCTGAAAGGTAGGGCAGCTAACTCAAGGAAACTGAATATCTGCTTTTTAAGAAATCTAGGCTTTATCTTATTAGCAGATTGGATTTTGGAGCAGGTGAGAGTAAAGGTGGAGTTTTAAGATTAATTTGTAGTGGCCAGGCGCCGTGGCTCGCGCCTATAATCCCAGCACTTTGGGAGGCCGAGGCAGCTGGATCATCTGAGGTCAGGAGTTCAAGACCAGCCTGGTCAACCTGGTGAAACCCCATCTCCACTAAAAATATAAAAATTAGCTGGGTGTGGTGGCGAGCACCTACAATCCCAGCTACTTTGAGAGGCTGAGGCAGGAGAATCACTTGAGCCCGGGAGGCGGAGGTTGTAGTGAGCCAAGATTGCACCACTGCACTCCAGCCTGGGTGACAGAGTGAGACTCCATCTCAAAGAAAAACAAAATTAATTTGTAGAAAGAGCTCATTTTTTTCAAGGTGAGCTTCCTTTTGTTCATCTATGTATCTCCAGTTCCTAGCCCAAAGTAATAACAGTGAATCTTTAGTGAGTTTTTGCCACATGCTAAGCAATTTACATTCATTTACCTCATTTGATCCTCAATCTTACAAGGTATTATCCCCATTTTAGAGAAGAAATAGGCTCCACAAGATCATTAGCTCAGGATCAAATGTAAGAGACAAAAAAAAGCAAATTAGGCCGGGCGTGGTGGCTCACGCCTGTAATCCCAGCACTTTGGGAGGCTGAGGCGGGTGGATCACTTGAGGTCGGCAATTCAAGACCAGTCTGACCAACATGGAGAAACCCCATCTCTACTAAAAATACAAAATTAGCTGGGCATGGTGGCACATGCCTGTAATCCCAGCTACTCGGGAGGCTGAGGCAGGAGAATTCCTTGAACCCAGGAGAGGGAGGTTGCAGTGAGATCGCGCCATTGCACTCCAGCCTGGGCAACAAAAGCAAAATGCGATCTCAAAAAAATAAAATAAAATAAAAAAATTTGGCAGAAAGGGAATAAAGGAGAATGAAGAATTAAAGATGATTGAATTTTCTAGTCTAGGCGATAGAACTGGGTGTCTTAGAAAAAAGCAGTGAACTCAATAACAGCGAAAAGATGACTGGGTTTGATTTTAGATGTTGACAGGGCATCTTGGTGGTAATCCTTAATAGCAAGCATGTATTGAGTGCTTGCTGTTTACCAGGCACAATGCTAAACCTCCCCTAAGGAGCCTCTCATTGCATTTACATTATTTATTTATCTATCTATTTATTTGAAATAGAGTGTCACTCTGTCACCCAGGCTGGGGCGTAGTGGCACCATCTCGGCTCTCTGCAACCCTCTTCCTCCCAGGTCGAAGTGCTTCTCGTGCCTCAAGCGTCCCAAGTAGCTGGGATTACAGGCATGCACCACAACACCTGGCTAATTTTTGCACAGAGACAGGGTTTCGCCATGTTGGCCAGGTTGGTTTCAAACTCCTGGCCTCAACTGATCCACTCACCTTGGCCTCTCAAAGTGCCTGTGAGAGGTGACAGCGTGCTGGCAGCCCATGCAGCCCTCGCTTGCTCTCGGTGCCTCCTTGGCCTCGGCCCCCATTCTGGCAGTGCTTGAGGAGCCCTTCAGCCCGCCGCTGCACCGTGGGAGCCCTTCTCTGGGCTGGCCAAGGCTGGAGCCGGCTCCCTCGGCTTGCGGGGAGGCGTGGAGGGAGAGGCAGGGGCGGGACCCGGAACTGTGCGCGGCGCTTGCGGGCCAGCTAGAGTTCCGGGTGGGTGTGGGCTTGGCGGGCCCCGCACTCGGAGAGGCTGGCCCGCCAGCCCTGCCGGCCCCGGGCAGTGAGGGGCTTAGCACCCAGGCCAGCAGCTGCGGAGGGTGCGCGGGGTCCCCCAGCAGTGCTGGCCCACCGGCGCTGCGCTCGATTTCTCGCCAGGCCTTAGCTGCCTCCCCGCAGGGCAGGGCTTGGAACCTGCAGCCCGCCATGTCTGAGTCTACCCCCACGGCCGGCTGTGGGCTCCTGCACGGCCTGAACCTCCCTGACGAGCACCGCCCCCTGCTCCACGGCGCCCGGTCCCATCCACCGCCCAAGGGCTGAGGACTGCGCGCACCACACTGGACTGGCGGGCAGCTCCACCTGCGGCCCCAGTGCGAGATCCACTGGGTGAGGCCAGCTGGCCTCCTGAGTCTAGTGGAGACTTGGAGAACCTTTATGTCTAGCTAAGGGATTGTAAGTGCACCAATCAGCACTCTGTGTCTAGCTCAAGGTTTGTGAACACACCAATCAGCACCCTGTGTCTAGCTCAGGGTTTGTGGATGCACCAATCAGCACTCTGTATCTAGCTAATCTGGTGGGGACTTGGAGAATCTTTATGTCTAGCTAAGGGATTGTGAATGCACCAATGGGCACTCTGTGTCTAGCTCAGGGTTTGTAAATGCACCAATCAGCACTCTGTGTCTAGCTCAGGGTTTGTAAATACACCAATCTACACCCTGTATCTAGCTAATCTAGTGGGGATGTGGAGAACTTTTGTGTCTAGCTCAGGGATTGTAAACGCACCAATCAGCACCCTGTCAAAATGGACCAATCACCTCTCTGTAAAACAGACCAATCGGCTCTCTGTAAAATGGACCAATCAGCAGGATGTGGGTGGGGCCAGATAAGAGAGTAAAAGCAGGCTGCCTGAGCCAGCAGTGAGTGGCAAACTCGTGTGGTTTCTTTCCAGACTGTGGAAGCTTTGTTCTTTCACTCTTTGCAATGAATCTGGCTACTGCTCACTCTTTGGGTCTACATTGTCTTTATGAGCTGTAACACTGACGGCGAAGGTCTGCAGCTTCACTCCTGAGCCAGCGAGACCACGAACCCACCAGAAGGAAGAAACTCTGAACACATCTGAACATCAGAAGGAACAAACTCCAGACACGCCACCTTTAAGAACTGTAACACTCACGGCCAGGGTCTGCGGCTTCATTCTTGAAGTGAGTGAGACCAAGAACCCACCAATTCCGGGCACACTGGGATTATAGGTATGAGCCACCACGAACAGCCTCCCATTGCATTTAGAATTAAAAAGTTATGGCTGGGCACAGCGGTTCATGCCTGTAATCCTAGCACTCTGGGAGGCCGAGAGGGGCAGATCACTTGAGGTCCAGAGTTCGAGACCAGCCTGGCCAATATGGTGAAATCCCATTTCTACTAAAAATCCAAAAAAATTAGCTGGGTGTGGTGGTGCACATGATCCCAGCTACTCAGGAGGATGAGGCACAAGAATCACCTGAACCCAGGAGGCGGAGGTTGCAGTGAGATGAGATTGTGCCATTGCACTCCAGCCTGGGCTGTGACTGAGCGAGACCCTGTATCCAAAAAAAAAAATAAGTTCTAACCATGACCTCCCAACCCCTGCATAATTCAAGCCCTGCTAACCCCTTGGGCCACATCTCATGCCACCCTGTGTCTACCACATATCCCCCTCTGGCACAGCGTCTGGCACATAGGAAGCAATTGTTTTTATTGAATGAAATAAATGAACATACATTCTCATTTATTCTTCACAGCACCCTTTGAGGTAGGATATAATGTATCCAATTTATCAATGAAACATAAGATGTGCTGGAAAGAGCTTGAGGCTGGAAAAGGCTCATTTTCTAGTCTGTACAGAGCCAAAGCTGAAGTATGCTTGTATGAGGGAGTCCCAGGACACTTCTATAATAGTTAATTTTATGTGTCAGCTTGGCTGGGCTATGGGATGCTCAGGTATTTGGCTAGACATTATTTTGGGGTGTAACCGTGAAGGTGTTTCTGGATGAGATCAGCATTTGAATCAGTAGACTGAAGAAGACTGCCCTCCCCAATGTGAGCGGAACTCATGCAATCCATTAAAGGCCTGAATAGAATAAAAGGCTAAGAAAGAATTTCTCACTGCCTGACTGTCTTGGAGTCGGGACATCAGTCTTCTCCTGACTTTGGACTCAAACTCAGAATGGAACTTACACAAATGGCTCTCCTGGTTCTCAGGCCCTCTCAGACTAAAACTTACACCATCAGCACTTCTGGTTTTCAGGCTTCTGGACTCAGACTGGAACTACACCATCAACTCTCTTGAGTGTCCCGCTTGCTGACCAGAGTGCAGGCTTTTCAGTCTCCATAATCATGTGAGTCAATTCTCATAGTAAATCAACCTTAATATCTCCTCCCCCATCACTGGTTCTTGCTCTGGAGAATATTCTATTCTTTCTCGAGAACCCAGACTCATTCAACCCCTCAGGTTTGATAATTCACTAGGATGACTCACAGGACTGAGCATTTAGTTGTTGTACTTACATGGTTTATTAAAGTGAAAGGATACAAAGCTGACTCAACAAAGGCAAAAGGAGGATGGGGCAAAGTCCAGAAGAAACCAGGCAGAAGCTTGCAAGAATTCTTCTATCAGTGAAGATACACAGGATGCAGTTAATTCCTCCAGCAATGAGTTGTAACAACATGTGTGAAATGTTGCCAATCCAGAAAGCTTAGTAGAGACTCAGTGCCCAAGGGGGCTGGTCACCAAAGTACCCTCTCTGCCTAGCACATATCAAAATTCCAAGCTCCCGAAAAAAGCAAATGTTCAGCATAAAAATTGTATTGTTTACATAGTTTAAGCACAATGATTCACTATTATCATTTAAGGAATGGTAGGAACCCTCCTGAAATCTAAGTTCCCAGTTGCCAGCCAGAGGCCAACCATGTAAACAGGCCTTTCAAAGAATAGGAATCTCAGGCCAGCGATGTTAACTCTTTTCTGAACAAGGATTGAATGAGGGCAAGGAGAGAGTCAACTAAAAATAAAGTATCTTAATTCTAGTTGGTAAAGCTTATTAAAGTCTAAATCCATAAGTGTTAAAAATTATTCCTGGGCTGGCTATGTTTGACACTGGGATGGGGGTAATAGTGGTGATTGCCAAATCATGCTGCATTCTTGCTGAATAGCTTTAGGGCCAAGAGTTAAAAGGTTAGAAGTTGAGGGAATTGTTTATGTTTCGTTAAAGACCCTACAAGCTTTATTAAGACAATTGGGTACAGATGCCAAAATGTTAACTAATATCCCAAAGGTGGCTTAAGAATTCTTTCTTCTTGCTATTAGGCCTCATTTGACTAACAAAAATTATTTTTCATGAACCAAGTACCAATAGTAGGTCCAATGTGCAGTCATCTTACATTATATATTGTTAATCCTCACAACAACCTTGCAAAATATTAGCTACGCTTTAGAGTTTTAGAAACAGACTCAAAGAGAGTAAATTGCCCAGAGTCTACGGGCTTAAAAACTGACAAAATTGAGATTATCACCAAGCCTGCATTTCTGTTCATGTGCCTCTATGAAACATATGTTTGAAGTTCATCTCTGATTACTTTGCTGTCCTCTTGGCCTCTATGAATGACTTGCTGTTCTGCCGCATTTCAAATCTGACCCCAGGCATTAGCATCAGAGTTCTCTATCAATATAAAGCCTATTATAAGACAAAGATGAATAGGAATATATACACACATATATAATGTATTGTTTACATAGGTTAGGCACAATGATTCACTATTATCATTTAAGGAATGGTAGGAACCCTCCTGAAATCTAACTTCCCAGTTGTATATGTTCCTATATGTATATGTGTGTATATATATATTCCTCTGTGTGTGTGTGTGTAAGAAAAATATATATATAGCCTAGCATCATTTCATCCTGTGATTAGAATTATGGATAGCTGGCTCCTTACAGTGGTTTATGCCTGTAATCCTAATACTTTGGGAGGTCAGGATGGGAGGATCGCTTGAGCCCAGGACATTGCAAACAGCCTGGGCAACAGAGTGAAACCCCCATCTCTTAAAAAAAAAAAAAATTAATTAGCTGAGCATGGTGGTGCATGCCTGTAGTCCCAGCTACTCAGGAGGCTGAGGTAGGAGGATTGCTTGAGCTGGGGAGGTCAAGGCTGCAGTAAACCATGATTATGCCACTGACTCCAGCCTGGGCAATAGAGCAGGCCCTGTCTCAAGAAAAAAAGAAATCATAGATAGCCCTGCTTTAAAAGAGCAACAAGCGTGCCACCAAAAAAATAAATAAATCAGTCTTGTTTACTAAAAAATGTTTTCAGGCTGGCCACGGTGGCTTACGTCTGTAATCCCAGCACTTTGGCAGGCTAAGGCAGGCGGATTGCCTGAGCTCAGGAGTTTGAGACCAGCCCGGGCAACACGGTGAAACCCCGTTTCTACTAAAATACAAAAAATTAGCTGGGCGTGGTGGTATGCGCCTGTAGTACCAGGTACTTGGGAGACTGAGGCAGGAGAATCACTTGAACACGGGAGGCAGAGGTTGCAGTGAACCGAAATTGCACCACTGCACTCCAGCCTGGGCGACAGAGTGAGACTCTGTCTCAAAAAAAAAAAAGTTGTCTAGAGTGTATTCATAATTACAAACAGCTCTCTGAAAAGCATTTATTTGCCTTCTCTCTTTGGGTTTTCTCCTTCTGTTGAATGTTTATTTGATCCTTGCCACCAGCATCATGTAACTGCATAATCCTTCCATGCTTACACTTACAGGGCACCCTCCCAAACCACTAAGCTGTCCTTCTGCAAGCACTTTAATCAAAAAGTATTATAGAGTTTGATTTTAAGAATCTGAGAAGCCTCTTGCTTCTTAAAAAGGAACATGCATAAATATGTGCAGATTTTCCAGATAAAACTAAAAACACATCCTTTCGTCTAAAATATACTCTGGTTTAAAATCTGGAATATTGGTGTGGGAGACGAAAGACAATTTCCCATTTGACTTGTTTGTTTTGTTTTGTTTTATGTGGAGGGTAGAGGGAGGAAATGGGAAGAGAAAGTTGAATTATCCCAGTAATTTTCTAGGGGTCTCAGCCTTAACCATTTCCAAAATATAATAAAAAAAATCTCATTAAAATTACTACGAGCATACGTCTTTTGCAGGAGGTGGTTGAGGTAATCAGATCTCAAAAATGCAATTAAAATGGGGTCTGAAACCCCAAATTAGTAACCAGAATCTTTAGTCAATATACAAAAGGCCACACGAATGGGTTGAGCTTACTGAAGATTTCTGTTTGTGGCCCAGGAAATGCCTCTCTCACCACCCATCCAGGAGTTTTATATTCTCCTGTAAAATAAGCATGTTGTGAGAAGTTCCCTGAGGAAATTTGAAGACAAGTGTATGAGAGCTCTGGAGCCCCATCCCCCTGCCCTGAGCATAGTCGCCAAAAGGACTTTCCACTTAGTTTACTTCATGCTTGCTTTTGAGCCTGCGGCAAAAAATTCTACCTTCTGAGTGACTGTGGGTGGAGGGAGGGCCTGAGATGACATCAAATCACAGTCTTTCCTCCTCCCCTCAGGAAGTAAAGTCCACTAGCAGGAGGGCCTAAATCGTCTGAGCCCTCCTTGGCTCTTACAATGCTCACTTGTTTTCACAATGCAGCAAAATGAAATGCCTTAGAAAAAGAGTAACATTCCAGAAAACGGTGTAATTTATTTTTCTTCCTTAATTGCCCCATCTGTGGAGGATTTCTTTGCTGAACACCACATCAAAGGTAAGATGGGAATGGGACTGTGTGCTGGGTTGGTTTTCTAACAACGACTGGCATCTCTCCCCACCCAGCCTGCTCACCAGATGGCCATTCCGCATACCCTGCCAGCTGACTTTCCTTTCCAGTTAGAAACAGTCAGCCTTCGACCCGACAGGGGAAATAATGAGTACTGTTCCCCCTTCCTCAGAACATTTACATTTTCTTTTTGCTATCATTCTTTATATACACTTGTTTATTTTACGGAACCGATTGGGAGAAGGTAGCATAGTGTCATGTTACTCCTGAATACTTTAGCATGTATCTCCTAAGAATATTCTCTTGTGGAAGAGGTTCCAAGAGGTTAACCTTGGTACAGTATTCTGTATTATACAGTCCATATTCAAATTTCCCCAACTGTCCCCACAAACTGTCTTTTACAACTTTTTTTTCTGATCTAGGATATATTCAATAAGCGGGTATCGCATTTCGTTGTCATGTCTGTTTAGCTCCAAAAATATTTACATTTAGCAAGTGTTTTCTAAGGAGAATTCCTAAACTCAAGGCTCGCCTTCCCTTTCTATTTCTCTTAAGAGTTCACCCGGAGGACCAGCAGGGTGACGCACAGCTTCTCCAAGAAACTGGCTTGCAGACCTGGGGGGAGGGACACTGAGTACAGTTCTAGGAGTGGCCACCCCACAGTCACTGAGATCAGGCTTTCCAGGTAACTAAGTCCTTAGTTGCATCAGGCAGACTTCATCTGTAACTGAGGGGTTAAAAAAAAATTACAAGTGGTTTTATATCATAGGGAAAGAGGTTTTTTTTCTGTTTTGTATTACATTTCAACTTTTATTTTAGATTCAGGGGGTACATGTGTAGGTTTGTTACAAAGGCATATTGTCTGATGCTGAGATTTGGAGTATAATTGAACCCCTCACCCAGATAGTGAGCACAGCATCCAATAGGGAGTTTTTCAACCCTCCTCCCTCCCTATCTTGTAGTCCCCAGTGTCTGTGGTTCCCCTCTTTATGTCCATATGTACCCAATTTTTAGCTCCCACTTATAAGTGAGAACATGCAGTATTTGGTTGTTTCTGCATCAATTTGCTCAAGATAATGGTCCAGCTGCATCCATATTGCTGGAAAGGATATGATTTTGTTCTTTTTTATGGTGGCTGTGTAGTATTCCATGGTGTCTATGTATCACATTTTCTTTATCCAACCCACTGTTGATGAGCACGTAGGTTGATTCCATGTCTTTGCTATTGTGAATAATGCTGCAGTGAACATAAAAGTGCATGTGGCTTTTTGGTAGAACAATTTATCTTCCTTTGGGTATATACCCAGGAATGGGATTACTGGGTCAAATGGTAGTTCAATTTTTGGTTCTTTCAGAAATCTCCAAACTGCGTTGCACAGTGGCTGAACTAATTTGCATTCCCACCAACAATGTATGAACGTTCCCTTTCAGATAAAAAGTTTAAAAGTTTAGATTAGTTTCTGGTCCACTGAATCAACTGTCTTGGATTTATCACAGGGATCTTCTGCATTTAAAATAGAAGAGGCATCATGCTGAAGAGGGAGGGGAAGGTCCAACCTTACACTAAAACCCTGGATGGAGGATGGGGATGGATGATTGTGATTCATTTTTTCCTGGTAAGAATTCACTTTTTTCCCCCTTTCCTATTGCCTAAAAGCAGGCTTTCTGGAGAAAGGCTCAGAGCTGCCTACGAATAGGATCACTTAGGAAATCTTTGGCATCTGAGTGGAGGGGTGGGCAGGAACAAGGCCAGGAGCTGCCAAAAACTGCTAAAGTCAGAGGCCCATGCCGAACCCAGGAGAAAGTTGAAAATGCCCCTAGAGCAAAAGCAGAAATGTTCCTGGGCTGGGTGTGGGGGCTCACACCTATAATCCCAGCACTTTGGGAGGCCTAGGTGTGTGGATCACTTGAAGTCAGGAGTTCGAGACCAGCCTAGCTAACATGGTGAAACCCGATCACTACAAAAATACAAAAATTAGCTGAGTGCAGTGGCATGCACCTGTAGTCCCAGCTACTTGGGAGGCTGAGGCAGGAGAATTGCTTGAAATCAGGAGGTGGAGACTGAAGTGAGCCAAGATCGTGCCACTGCACTGCAGCCTAGGCAACCATGAGAGACTCTCTCAAAACAAACAAACAGAAGTGTTCCTGAATCCAGTCATCTACTCTTCCTATCATCTCTTAAACCTGAGAATGCTCAGTCACAATCAGCAGTTCTGTACTGGCTGCATGGCAATTAGGGTTTGGGGACAATCATACTTTTAACCATCCCAAAAGTAGCACTGGGAGGTGCTAAAAAGTGCTCTGGGGGTGATCTCCCCAGTTCAGCCCAGCATAGATAGAACACTGTGGGCACAGCCCCTTCTACCGATAAGGGGTGGGGACATTTCCTCTGTTTGGCCTGCTGTCTACTTCCCAATCCATCCCCACTAACTATAGTTTATGCTATCTATATTTCCGATGTGTTTGGAAAGGGAGGACAAGGATTTTGAAGGGGGAGCCTGATTCTTCTCCTTTACCCATAAGCAACTAGACGAGGCATTCCATTTTTTAAATTAACTTCTTTCCCTCACCCTCCCAGGGGTTGAGGTGTGAGAGTGGTGATCTGCATCATCAGCATGCCCATTCCAGAATGTTGGTGAACCCCAGCTATGCCCCACACAGCTCTCCAGAGAGTGGCACCAGCTGCACAATTCTTAAGTGTTTCCAGAGTTCTATTAACTTTGAGATGCACTCAAAAAAAAACACCCTTTTCTTGCCGACACTTCCCCCCTACTCAGCCCTACAGTAAGCAGCTCACGGGGAAAGGTAGCACAGGTCTTGGTGCCTTCTAATAATCCTATAGTTCACATGCAGATATCTAAGAATTCTACAAATAGGATGGTGGGAAAACATCAGGCCTCCTCCCTCGTGCTAGACAAGATAGGGGCAGAGGTCCCCAGCCAGGATTTATGTAATACAAAACTCTTAACACATAATAGTAGTACTTGCTAAACATTAGCTTCAGTACTAAACAATCTCATTTTCCCCCTAGAAATGTTACTAATAGGGAAACTAAAGGATGCCCTAAGTCTGAGAGCCCTTCCTGGGGCTGGGCCACCCCCCTAAATCATAGGCTTTGCAGAATAGGCACTGTTGGTGAGGATCTCTAATTCTCCTGCCTTTCTCCCCAGTAACCACCCTGACTTTTTCTACATTATCCTCTGAGGATAGAATGGTTTTTGATCAATTTAGTTGCTGATAGGAAAAACCATCTAATAACCAGATTAATAAACACTGTCCCACTTTTAGGGTGTGATACTGCTTACTAAGCACAAAAAATGCACTGGATCCTCAAAATGTTAACAATAAATTCAGGGGCTAATCCCCCACAGTTGTAATGTGGATACTTGAATGACTGTGCTTTTGTTTCTGTATGACTTACAACTGTTCTTTTCTATAACAGATGAGCTCCTAGTAAGTGAAAAATAACAATGTTCTTTGGGAGCTTCCTACTTAAAAAAAGAGAGAGAGATTCATTCTAACCAACTTACCACACTTTATATATTTGTATGACTGTTTTCTGTATTCAGTCTGTCTTACTAGACTGAATGTTCCATGGGGGCAGGGTCTATGTCTGCATTGCTCATGAGTATATGCTCATTACCGTAAGCCCAGTGCCAGTATACAGCCTGGAACATAGTAGGCACTCAGTAAAATACTGTTGGTGGATGGATAGATGGATGGATGAATTGATAGCTGCACACATTTATGAATAAACAAATAAGGATGAAGGGGATAGTTGATGAAACTGAAGAGATGAGAATGGCTCTTGAGGCTATGAGAAGCTAATGAGAAAAATTAAGCAGGGATGTGATAGATTTGCATTTCAGAGAAATGTGACGAGCAGATGCTACTGAGAGGTCAAATAGGAGAGAAATAACAAGACTCTATTGGTTTAGCAACAAAGAAATCTAATAACCTTGATAAGAGCTAGTACAGTGGAGCAGTGGGGGCCAAAGTTAGTGAACTTTAGTTTTCAGTGGAGTAGCAGAATGACAGAAAGTGGAGATACCTAATAGACCATTTTTTACAGAAGTTTGCCTGTGAAGGTCAGGAGGAGCTAGGGTGATACTAGAAAAGGACGCAGGATAAGAAGTTGTTATTAGATAAAACTAACTCTGACAAAGCCTGGTGCCTGTATTGAAAATAAGTCACTGAGGCTGATCCAACTCCTTTCCCAGACAATAATTAAAATGATCTAGTGAGGAAGCTCTTATTGGAGGTGGGGTGTGGGGGAAGTCCTGCTTAAGGTGTTCCTGCCAGGTTCAACCCAATTAACTGCTCTTAAAAACAAAAAGAAAATGAGGGGACTGGAGAAGTTCTAGGGTTTTTGCTTTATTTTGGAGTGAGCCATTTACAATGTATGACGTGGACTCTGGTAACAGAACTAAAACCCACCAAGCTTGGTCTAAGACATGGGATTATGTAGAATAATGCAGATTTATGTAGTCTGCTAAATTAACTAAGGAAAAACCTAGACCTTGGGAGAGATTTTTAATATCTTTGAGTCAAAACTGAAACAAAGTTGGAAGACTTCAAGTTAAGGGACGGGAAGCATGGTAGGTGCAAAGGCTCTGCCCTTGGTCTTCTTGATACATAGTGGACACGGACTCAGTTATTAGAGACAAGTCCTAACCATTCACTGCTGCTACACGCAGACACCAAGGACAGACCAGAGATGAAAAGCTCTGAACTGGGGGACCAGTAGCTAGCTAAATTTAGGTAGCTAAGAATATAGAGGTCAACATCCTCTAGACACCAGCACAGAACCCACGTCCATAGAACAAAAGGAAGTTTACTTTACAGAATGATGCACTGTATTATTCCTTGCTCATGAGAGGACACAATCATCACATTATTATGAACTGAGAGAAGAAAGTCTAAGTCATTTGAGATCTGTGTATATTTTCTAACCTAATTTCTAGCCTGACAGAAGTGCCTTAGAGGAAAATTATGGTTATAAATTGCCTCAATGGGGGCCTGATAAAATGTCTTTTTAACTTTTGAATATATAGTCCTGGCGTTTATAGCACTCTTCATTCTAAATAAGTTTTGTTCCTTTTATCAAATCAGAATGGGAAAAAGTATATTAAGAGACTTCTTCCTCACCACTACCACTTTTGCAATTTCTGAGCATCGCCAGTAGTGATGGGGTGAAAAGAAGGGGGCAGGTCTTGACCATTATTTAAAAGCAGGGGCTGAGGGAGGGAGGTGTCTAAGAGAAAGCACATCTGTCACTCAAATGAATGGGTGGATGGTACCAATAGAAAAAACTGAAAAGAGTAGGCATAGGATAAGGGAAATGTGAGTTTATGTTTGGACAAGTTGACCAGAAGTTATAAAGATATGGTAGACAATTAGGAGTCTGAAGCTCTTGGGAAAGCAGAATGGAAACCACAGTTAATTGTTTGAGTGTTAAGTGCCAAATATTAAGTACTTTATCAGAATTTTCTCAATTAATCTTCACAGTCTTATGAGCTAGGTAATATTTTCATCCCCAATGCCGCCTCCCCCATCATAAAAGCGGAAGCTTAACCCATGTGACGTGCGAAGTTGTTTGCCCAAGGTCACGCCCCAGTAGGAAGAACAGCCTGGATGCAAGTTAAGGCAGACTGATTGCAGAACCCTGTTCAGCTACACCACCATAAGTATGCAGGTGGTAATTAAAACCTTGAGAGTAAATGATTGTCCAGGGAGCAGATATCAAGCGAGATGAGTACAGAACTGTAACAGGCGGGCCGAGAAAGTGGAATTAATGAAGGGGAACCTAAGGCTTTGTGGTTCTTTTATTATTATTAATTTTGAGACAAGGTCTCACTGTCGCCCAGGCTGGAGTGCAGTAGTGTGATCACAACTCACCGTACCCTCGACCTCCCAGGTTCAGGTGTTCCTCCCACCTCACCCTCCCAGGTAGCTGGGACTACAGGTGTTATACCACTACGCCCAGCTAATTTTTTGTACTTTTTGTAGAGACGGGGTTTCGCCATGTTGCCCAGGCTGGTCTTGAACTCCTGGGCTCAAGCGATCCACCCACCTCGGCCTCCCAAAGTACTAGGATTATAGGCAGGAGCCTCCATGCCCAGCTGGTTTTGTGGTTCATAAGCAATGCATGGCCAGGTTGAAAGCAGAAGTGGCCTTGAAAAGCCAACGCTACGAAACCCCTGGAGACAGAGAGTACACCTGGGCTTTACGAGTGAATGCAAACCCTGGCTAGGTTCCCCTCTAGACCCCTGTGGGATAAAGCATGACTGTTACTTAAAAACGGAAAGAAGGAATAGCACTTAACAGCCCCCCGGCTAACTAGAATTCTGAGAAATAAAAGTTAATACTCCACAGAAAGAAAACCTCATCTCCAAAGCAGCAATTCTAGTGGAGTACAGGTAAGGAAGATTAGGTGGGGCAGAAAGAAAAGGATGGGGCCCCTGGCCCAACCTTAAGATGGCCACAAATCCCAGTTAATCCAAAATTAAGCACCCCTTTTCACTCTTGAGTGTCTCAATTTGGATGATACATTTTATGGTCAACCTATTTATATATCTAGTGAAGGAAGGTACTCAGCTCAGCAGCAGAGTTAAATCAAAACTAATCTAAGAACTGACAGGAATAATTATTCCTCTTTGGACAAACACTTTTCTCCCACAAAGGTAACTGGAATTAGCTGTCTTTAACAGATGCTACTGAGGGCAGTAAAAGAGTGCCAGGTCTAGAGTCAGTCTAATCTGGGTTCAAATCTCAGTTCCAGTACCCCTATTTTAAGCAACTTTTTACCTCTCTAAACTTCAATTTCCTGATCTTGGAACTGCTGTTGCAGTTATAACTGAGAAAATTATTACAGTGACAGAGATCTGACCTAACCAACTCCATCCATCCTGCTTCTAACTTCCAAGCTGTCCTTGTTCATTCCCATGCGTAGGCTGAACTAACTTTGGGGGAAACTTAGTTGATAGCTTAACTTTGAAAGAGAAACTAACAGCCGTTTCCAAAAAAAAAAAAAAAAAAAAAAAAAAACCTCCTTTTAACAGCCCTTTCCAAAAAAAAAAAAAAACACTTCCTTCCTGCCTGGGGACTAGATTGCCTTTGTAGGACTAACACATTAGCCATAAGATTAGAAATTATGGTTTAGGAGTCATACAGCTGGAGGCCACAAGACTGACCCTCCCCAAATTGCTCGGGGGATAACATCACTATTGTGAAACCTAAGATCAGTGCTTGAGATAATTTGCAGGCCCTGCATTTGATGGATCAGCTGGCACCACCCAGATTAATAAACTGGCTCATCTGGTTGTGGGTCCCCCTCCACCCTTCCACCCAGAAGTGACTCAGCGCAAAAGGGCAGCTTTGATAGAATTTCATCTCTGACCCAACCAATCAGCACTCCCAACTCACTGGCCTCCCACCCACCAAATTATCCTTAAAAACTCTGATCCCCAAAAGCTCGGGGAAACTGATTGGTCTAATAAACTCCAGTCTCTTGCACAATGGGCTCTGTGGGAATAACTCTTTCTCTATTGCAATTCCTGTCTTGATAAATCAACTGTATCTAGGCAGCAGGCAAGATGAACCCACTGGGTGGTTTATTTGGTATAAATTATTTGGTACACAACATTGGCATGCCTATTCCAAAGCCATGAAATGAGGATTAAATGAGATGTTTCCATTTAAAATGCTTAGCTACTTTAAAAGGAATGACTTCCCCCATAAAATATAAGATGTATAATGAGGCTCAACCAATAAGGCAAACTGGTAAATAGTAGTAAGCTGAGGGAATCATAACTTCTAGTAGCCGTAATTGCCTCTGTAATGGCTCACTTACCACCTGAGTTGGACTCTGGTCTGCTTTGATTTAGGTGAATGTGTTTGTGATGGGGATGACCAAGACTTTTGCAATTTTCTTTGTGGTCTTTCAAGAAGAGTTTGAAGGCACCTCAGAGCAAATTGGTTGGATTGGATCCATCATGTCATCTCTTCGTTTTTGTGCAGGTATAAAGCTGGCAATAAGCTTGCTGTCTAAGGAGAAGAACCACAAAGGGCAATTCCAAGATTCCTATTCAAGACTGAATAGGAATTCAGTTTCTAAAATTAAGGTTCATTTACTGATATGTAACGCTGAGAAAGTAAGGAATTGCAATATTTAGCTTCCACTTGACTTAGTAACAAAGTTGGGAGAATCAGCATTCAAACAAAGAAAGCTGAGGAATTATTAAATGCCATGATTCAGTATTTCATGCATTGCCTTTCCAGTCTGTTAATGCCTTAATATAGGTTCAATGAGTAAGGCCCTCAACCTGGAAGTTAGGCCATGAAGTTCTAGTTATCTAAGTATATTCAAAACAATTTTATTTATTTTTTTTTTTTGAGACACAGTCTCACTCTGTTGCCCAGGTTGGAGTGCAGTGGTGCTATCTCGGCTCACTGCAACCTCTGCCTCCCAGGTTCAAGCAACTCTCCTGCTTCAGCCTCCCAACTAGCTGGGATTACAGGCGCCCGCCACCATGCCTGGCTAATTTTTGTATTTTTAGTAGAGATGGGGTTTCACCATGTTGGCCAGGCTGGTCTCAAACTCCAGACCTCAGGTGATCTGCCCACCTTGGCCTCCCAAAGTATGGGATTAAAGAGCCACGGCGTCCAGCCTCAAAACAAATTATAGAACCAATTTCTTCTCCTTTTATTTGGAGCTGTAACAGGGTGGAAGAGCAGATAAGTGATTCAACCTTATTCTAGTCATTGACCACTAGATGCAATCTTTTTGTGGAGGTTCTATAATGCATTTCAAATCACCTCCCCTCCAAACCTTACTTACAATCAACATTTCCTTTTAAACTCCCCTTCCAAAAACTAAAATAGTGTGGCACTAGTGATATTAAGAAACCCGATATGAAAATCTTTTTTGAAGAATACGTAATACTTCAAAGTAAACAGTCCTCTTGCTTTCCTTGTCATTCATTTAAATCGCCATCAGAGGATAAGGGATGCCAGATCATTATTTACCTAAGAATTGCCTTTCTTTCTTCTCTTAAGGTCCCCTGGTTGCTATTATTTGTGACATACTTGGAGAGAAAACTACCTCCATTCTTGGGGCTTTCGTTGTTACTGGTGGATATCTGATCAGCAGCTGGGCCACAAGTATTCCTTTTCTTTGTGTGACTATGGGACTTCTACCCGGTGAGTCCATTGTAATTATGTGACCATAGAAGGCCAGGAGTGGTGGCTCACACTTGTAATCCTAGCACTTTGGGAGGCCAAAGTGGGTGGATCGCTTGAGTCCAGTTCGAGACCAGCCTGGGCAACATGGTGAAACCCTGTCTCTACTAAAAATACAAAAATTAGCCAGGCCAGTGGTGGCACATGCCTGTAGTCCCAGCTATTTGGGAAGCTGAGGTGGGAGGATTGCTTGAGCCCAGGAAGCTGAGGCTGTTGTGAGCCGAGATTGTGCCACTGCACTCCAGTCTGGGTGACAAAGTGAGACCCTGTCTCAAAATATGTGTGTGTGTGTGTGTATGTATATATGCATCCATCCATAGAAGATAGAAGATGGAACAGGACTCTTCCCTTCTACTGTTCCTGGGTCCAAAAGGCCTAGCTGTATTATCTCGGATCCAGGAGATTATCTTTTCTGTTACCAAGCCACTTAATGTAAGAGTGATTCTAAACTATTACGTTTTTCTTTTAGGTTTGGGTTCTGCTTTCTTATACCAAGTGGCTGCTGTGGTAACTACCAAATACTTCAAAAAACGATTGGCTCTTTCTACAGCTATTGCCCGTTCTGGGATGGGACTGACTTTTCTTTTGGCACCCTTTACAAAATTCCTGATAGATCTGTATGACTGGACAGGTACGTCATTCTAAGTTTATTTACTATCAACTGTGCAAGATTTAGCGTTCAGCTTTCTCCCTTTGAGAAATGGAAGTTAAGACTTTCAGAGCAATCGATTTCACAAGGTATTGCAAGAGAGGAAATGAGCATAATTTCTAAAGTAAACATGCTTCTCTTCCCTGGAGAATACATACGCAAAAGAGATCTTGAAATACTTGCAGGCTTTGCCAGCTCACACAAGCAACTCAGAATTCACCATAGGGCTCAATGTCTGAGGAGATGGAGGGCATTCCGTGCAGCTGGAAACAGCTTGCAGTAAAAGCGATACTTCTGGGGAAATAAGGCTTCCCCCTTCCCCCCCCGCCCCCGCCCCATCAAAAACCCTCACTTTTCCCATTTTCCCTTTAAGACAAAAATCTGCATTTAAAAAAACTCCTCCCCCATCGGACTCACTGAAATAGATAAAAAAGAAACAAATACTTTGGTAAAAAGAGTATGTTCCTTAAGAGTTTATGTAATGTCAACTATAAATTTTCACAAATGAATAAAAAATGATTCAACTCACAATTTTCTTTGTAACTAAGACATTTGGATTAAAATAATCCTAAACTACTGGAAAAAATACATGTATATGTGTGTATTCATATGCCTATTGCTATCTACATGGCAGTTTTGTTGAATCTTTCCTAACTATTCAGTAGTCTCATGGTGAATGGGACCAGCTGACAAATCCATGATAGGATAGCAGAACCTATAGCCCATTCTATCTTTAGAAGCACCATACAAATCATAGCTTTGATCAGGACACGCTGAATGCAAGCAACTATTCAGCTCCAAAGGCAAGATTAGCATCTGTCATCTTTTAAGGAAGATCTAAAAAATGTCATGGGATGAAAGGCTATCCATGCCTTCCTCCCTCCCGCTGCTTTTTTTTTTTTTTTGAGACAGGCTCTCTCGCTTTGTCATTCAGGCTGGAGTGCTGTGGCATGATACCGGCTCACTGCAACCTCCACCTCCCAGGCTAAGCGATCCTCCCACCTCAGCCTCCCAAGTAACTGGGACTACAGGTGCACACCACCACATCAATTAATTTTTTTGTATTTTTTGTAGAGACAGGTTTTCACCATGTTGCCCAGGCTGGTCCTGAACTCCTGGGCTCAAGTGATCTGCCTGCCTCAGCCTCCCAAAATGCTAGGACTACAGGTATGAGCCATAGCACCTGGCCAGCTGTCCCCTCTTCTAAGGCTGTTTCCAAATGATTTCTTTCATCTTATTCTATTTTTTCTGTACCTAAATCTGTACTCTCACTTCAGGATATTTAAATTTTCTATTTAATTTTTTAGCATTTGAAACACTCTCCTCTCCCTCCAAAAACTTGCCCCCCCTACCCCCCTTAACACAAATAACCACCATCTCTCCTTTTATCCCATCTATTGGTGCAGCTTTCTGGTTTTCTATCTCCAAAGCACTACATTATTACACGGATACAGCAGTGTATATGACTAATAAGTCAAATCGGAGACAAAGTAATGTTTTCAAGAATTAATGGGCTATGCCAGTGGGGCCTCTTCTGAGCCTATGAACACAAAGCAGTATTGTGAACTGAAAGGCTATTTTTAATTGCTCAATCTCTCCCTATTTAGGAGCCCTTATATTATTTGGAGCTATCGCATTGAATTTGGTGCCTTCTAGTATGCTCTTAAGACCCATCCATATCAAAAGTGAGAACAATTCTGGTATTAAAGATAAAGGCAGCAGTTTGTCTGCACATGGTCCAGAGGCACATGCAACAGAAACACACTGCCATGAGACAGAAGAGTCTACCATCAAGGACAGTACTACGCAGAAGGCTGGACTACCTAGCAAAAATTTAACAGTCTCACAAAATCAAAGTGAAGAGTTCTACAATGGGCCTAACAGGAACAGACTGTTATTAAAGAGTGATGAAGAAAGTGATAAGGTTATTTCGTGGAGCTGCAAACAACTGTTTGACATTTCTCTCTTTAGAAATCCTTTCTTCTACATATTTACTTGGTCTTTTCTCCTCAGTCAGTTAGCATACTTCATCCCTACCTTTCACCTGGTAGCCAGAGCCAAAACACTGGGGATTGACATCATGGATGCCTCTTACCTTGTTTCTGTAGCAGGTAAGAAAGCCTACATCAGCCTCCTACCCAAAAGGAAAGATCAACTTAATTTTACAAGCTTATTACATTTTAATAAAAAGCTAAAGAAAAACAAAAGAGGAATTGTAGAAGGGCCAGAGAAAGTAAAATTTTTGAGGCTAGATGGAGCACCTGGGCATTTCCCAGGAAGAGATCTCTGTCACTGCACACAGGCTCCCCTACTAGACAGTGGACCCTAAATCAAGTCTTATTCATCTTCATATAACAGTGTTTGACACAGTAGACATTATTTATTGGATAAATGCGGAAATTTCAAAAAGCTGATGCTCAATGGCAATAGCCACTATAAGGAGCAGAAAACCCCAGGTAGACAGCACAGTGCAGTGGCTCAAGGATTGGTTCTGGAGCAAGACTTCCCTGGCTCAACCTCCTGCTCTGTATTTCTTAACTGTGGGAACTTCAGCAAGTTACTTTGCTTCATGGTGCCTTCATTTCCTCATCTGTAATATAGGGATAATAGTATCTACCCTCATAAGATTGTCAGGATCAAAAAAGCAATGCATGTAGAGTTTAGAATAGTGCCTGGCCTGTAGTAAGCATTCAATAATGTTTTATTATTTGTAGCTAAGGAATTTTCCCCTTGAACTCATAGTAAAACAGATAAATATGACTTTTAAGGCTAGTCACTTATGGACTGTCTGATATTTAAAATAAGTTAAAATGTAAATTAAAAGTAAAAACAACTGGCCGGGCGTGGTGGCTCACGCCTGTAATCCCAGCACTTTGGGAGGCCGAGGCAGGTGGATCATGAGGCCAGGAGATCAAGACCATCCTAGCTAACGTGGTGAAACCCCATCTCTACTAAAAATACAAAAAATTAGCCAGGCGTGGTTGCGGGCGCCTGTAGTAGCAGCTATTCAGGAGGCTGAGGCAGGAGAATGGCATGAACCCGGGAGGCGGAGCTTGCAGTGAGCCGAGAATGCACCACTGCACTCCAGCCTGGGTGACGGAGCGTGACTCCGTTTCAAAAAATAATAATAAAATAAAAATAAATAAATAAATAAAAACAACTATTTTAGTTGACTACTCATAAAACTGTTTAAAGACAGAATGCTTGATCTAGAAGAGGGATTTGGCCAGGTGCAGTGGTCCAAAATACAATCTCCCATTTCCAAACTTCCTACATATTTTCAAATTAAGCATAAACTTTGGAGGACTTACTTCCTAAAACTTCGTATGCAATTATGAGTCCCAACATCTCCTTTTTTAACAGAAGACTTATTTATACTCCAATCTTCTACAATATGACTTCCCCAAGACACTGACCTGAAGGTCTATTTGTCTTTTAGAAACTTCATTTTCTCACTTGCAGGACCTCTTAGACGAAGAGACTGCATGGCCTTCTGTGCCCAGGGTCCTCTGTAACCAGGGATTACCACTGTAGTGACGTAAGCTTTCCAAACACAATCAGAAAAAAACACTAACTACATGGGTCTTCTACACTACTCTAGCGGAGACTTTTTTGCTATTTTATTAAATGTATTTGGAATAGGTAAGTATATAATAGAGCTTACTGGTACACAAATCAAATCATTTTTTTCCTCACATATCCTGGCCTCAGGATGAGATCATATTACTTGGGAAATGATGCTGTATGCATTCACATTTTTCAAAGGGACCAGGAAAATAAAAAGATTTCAATATTGTTCCAGGTATCCTTGAGACGGTCAGTCAGATTATTTCTGGATGGGTTGCTGATCAAAACTGGATTAAGAAGTATCATTACCACAAGTCTTACCTCATCCTCTGCGGCATCACTAACCTGCTTGCTCCTTTAGCCACCACATTTCCACTACTTATGACCTACACCATCTGCTTTGCCATCTTTGCTGGTGGTTACCTGGCATTGATACTGCCTGTACTGGTGAGTAGACACACTCATTAACATTGTTAAACCATTTAGTAAAAGCAAGTATCAGTAACAATCTCCCCAAAATACGTATTTTGTATTAATTTTGTAACTTAAAAAATCATTTCAAAGACCTTAGAAACTCTGCAGCTATATCCTGTCCAGTTACTCATCTTGTGTGTGAGTGGGGAGGGATGGTGAGAGGACTATCCACATGGGACAGGAATAAAATTAAAGCAAAAAAGGGATCAGCAGGATTCCTTTTTACTTATCAGTCTCCTAGATTAGGATTGTGTTCACGTCTCTCCTTCAGCTCCAGAAACTTGTTTGGCTCCTTTTAAGACACAATCTTAAAGAAAAGATCCCTGAGAACACTTCAAGAGAAAAAAGGATTTCCCGACCAGTGTGGTTTCTCTCTTGAAGTTATTGCCTTGGTCCTGTGTACTTTCACAGGGCCATTGTTTTATACTTCCTCTCCATTTTTACCCTAAACTGACGCAAAGTCCTCGACCCAGATGGAACCAAAATACTTATACAAACACTTCAGTGTTCTGGGAACCCCTGGGAGTCTCATGGGTTCTCCTTAGAACCAGGACCTAAACATGCTGGAACAGATTTCCTAGAAAACTTCTGTTCTATCAATATTAGCGTAAGTGCTACAGGATATTATATGAAGTGCAGGCAAAAATCAAGCTTCCTAAAGCTGAAATTAACTCCTTGTGATATCTGATTACTTACAAACCAATGGTTGATACTTAGCCTTAGAGGATTCAAGAATATCACCGTCTGGCCGGGCGTGGTGGCTCACACCTGTAATCCCAGCACTTTGGGAGGCAGAGGCAGGTGGATCGCTTGAGCTCAGGAGTTGGAGACCAGCCTGGGCAACATGGTGAAACTCCGTCTCTACAAAAAATAAAAAAATTAGCCAGGTGTGGTGGCACGCACCTGTGGTCCCAGCTACTTGGAAGTAACTGGGAGGATCGCTTGAGCCTGGGAGGTGGAGGTTGCAGTGAGCCAAGATCACACCACTGCACTCCACTCTGGGTGACAGAGTGAAACCCTGTCTCAAAAAGAATATCACTATTAATTCATATTGTAAATATCATTTCCTAATAAGAGAAAAGCAGCAAGGTTTGGGGAAGAAAAAGTACCCATGAACCACCTAAAAAATTAAAATGAAAATAAAAACTTGTGTTCTTACTAATAAACTGAAAACACTGCCTGCCTAGCATTTACTGTTCGCTATTAGTCCTCAGCTCTTTCACAATATTGGGGGCAAAAAGCCAACCAACTCACCCCAGAAGTCACTGTTCATAGCTTGAGATGATATAAATAGTATTTGTCCCTTTTAGGCATAGGTCTCTATAGAATTTCACCCTTAATATGGCTAACACTGAATTCTAATTCCTACAGGTTGATCTGTGTAGGAATTCTACAGTAAACAGGTTTTTGGGACTTGCCAGTTTCTTTGCTGGGATGGCTGTCCTTTCTGGACCACCTATAGCAGGTAACACCTTCACCACATTCTGAACAAATTTCAATAGCAATAAAAGAGAAAAACTGATCCAGGATTAATGGTAACATGTAATGATGGTATCAGGTTAAAAGAAACAGATTATTTCTGCTTTTCCTATATCTACTCACTCCACCACCAATGCAGGAAAATCTGAAGGCTCAGATTCTTGTATTATCTTAAGATGTGCCTTAAGCAGATTCTTATATTCTTGGGAGTTGTAGGGCAGACACTGGATCTATGTCTACTTGTCTGGGGAGACAATCCAGAGTTTTTTCAGAGCCTCAAAGACCCATGATGCTTTAAAAAAAAAAAAAAAAGGCTGGGAGCAATTGCTCACGCCTGTAATTCTAGCACTCTGGGAGGCCAAGGCGGGGGTATCACTTGAGCTGAGGGGTTCAAGACCAGCCTGGGCAACAGACAGACCTTGTCTCTATAAAATAAAAAACAAAACAAAACAAAACAAAAAAAACAATGAACGACTAGCATCTTGTATCTAAACATGAGTCACTTTTATAGAGCTTGAAAGGTATAGGCCTGACACTTTTGTTCTTCTGATGTGCCATATGGATGTCCAAGATTGCCTGTTATCTGTTAAGTATCTCTCTTTGAAAAGAGGCCCTTCAAATTGTCAGTACCAAGGATGGGAGGATACTTGGCCTAAAGGCCCCATCTCTATGGAGAGGATATTGGGGGCTGTTGGAAATTATTATATACAAGTACAGTAAACATTTGGGGAGTTCTGATATGTAAGTTAACTTTAAGATTCAAATTGTAGTTTTACATTCACTTTTTACCTAATTAGACATTCTGTACTTGCTGAATATTTAATCTAATACTATTACAAACTTGAATACTCACACAGAAGTATTTCTAGGGAACAGACCTAAACTTTAGTTTCTCACACACCACAGGTTCTCAATGTATTTCAGTGTACAAATTACTATGACATTTCTAATCATCCACATAAAGGAACTTAGCCTAAAACTTACTTTTGCTTCTTTTAGTCCTGAAGTAAGACAGAAGGGAGTTAATCTTGTCCTACTATCATTTTTTAAAAAATTAAGTTTCATAATGATGTTAAGTTTATACCTCTTAAGACTGAGAAAGGGGCCAGGCGCAGTGGCTCATGCCTGTAATCCCAGCACTTTGGGAGGTCCAAGTGGGTGGATCACCTGAGGTCAGGAGTTCGAGACCAGCCTGGCCACCATGGTGAAACCCGGTCTCTACTAAAAATACAAAAATTAGCCGAGTGTAATGGCAGATGCCTATAATCCCAGCTAACTTGGGAGGCTGAGGCAGGAGAATTGCTTGAACCCGGGGGACAGAGGTTGCAGTGAGCCGACTTCACTTTGCACCACTTCACTCCAGCCTGGGCAACAGAGCGAGACTTCATCTCAAAAAAAGACTCAGAAAAAGTAAATATTAAAAGAAGGAGACTATAAACTAAGGATAACAAGAATTGTTACTGAGAGGGCCTGGCATAGTAGCTCACGCCTATAATCCCAGCACTTAGGGAGGCCAAGGTGGGAGGATTGTGTGAGTCCAGGAGTTCCAGACCAGCCTGGACAAGATAGTGAGGCACCATCTCTACAAAAAAATTTTAAAAATCAGCCAGGTGTGATGGTGCATACCTGTAGTCCCAGCTACACGGCAGGCTGAGGCAGGAGGATTGCTTGAGCCCAGGAATGAGTGCAGTGAGCCTTGATCATGCCACTGCACTCTAGCCTGGGTGACAGAGTGAGACCCCATCTCAAAAAAAAAAAAAAAAAAAATTATTACTGGGAACAAAAAATATGCCAATAGCTGAGGTTCAATTAAGGCATACTTATTCTAAAGAAAAAATTTACATAAATATGCAACCAACTCTCTTATTTGCATTTATGAACACACCCCTTCCCATGCTATCTAACACTTAGCCTACGTTTCATACCTGGAAAGCAGGCTAGAATTATAAAGTAAAGCCCAGAATTTTTATATAGGGACTAGTAAAAGGAGGCCAAATACCAGAAGTACCTTGCACAACTACTCTATGGCTAGTACCCAGGACAGTGAAATACAGAAAACAGAGCTCAAACACAGTTTGCTGATGCATTTTTTTCAATCTTGATCCTTCTTCATTGGCTGTCCCAGTAGTGCCTTGGAATTTTTCAAGCCTATTGGGCCAAAAGTACAAGGAAGTAACAAATACAAGGGCATAGAATATCTTACTCAAATGAAAAAGACAAGCAACAAAACTATAACATGTTTAATGTCCTATGTGTCTTTGTATACTTCTTAAAATAAAATGTTTAAATAGTTCAATACTCCGAGAAGACAAGTCAAATTTCTGAAGACCATTACCTGAAAAGAAAAAGCTACAGGTATATATGTGAGTTCTGAAATAAATTTGTTGGGTCATGATCTCATTGTTTTTATGGAAAAAGATAGACTACCACAGAGCAGATTAAAAAAGAGTATATCACTTTATTTTCAAACTTTTATTTCATACACACACACACACCTATGTAATGTAAAATATGAGATATAAAATACTTCTGTCAATGAGACAAAAAAAAGTTAACAAGCTTTTGTTAGCCCAAATCCAGTATAGCCTAGCACCATACGTGAGGATAAAAAACTCATAATATATTTTTTACCCATTAATTCAGAGACTATTACTTAGGCAGCCATACATTCTGTAAGCTCTACAAAAAAGTCAAAGGAAGCTATAAGGTTGTTGCTAAAGCTTATGTAGAAATTTTTAGTCCAGGACGTGCTCCTAGTATCTTAAACAAGATTCTAACTGCAATGCTGTGCCATTAGCCATCTGTTGAAGAAAGAAATCACAGGAAAGCTTTGTTCCTCTAAGTCATTCCTCCGTGAAATGACAGAGGACATTACAAAGGCCATTAGATTTGTTCCTAACTTCTGACTCCAGCAGCAACTACCAAAGAAACATCAGAAATGTTGATGTACAGATCAACTCAGTTCTTGCAGGTGTAGGCAGAACTGAGTCTTTAATTGAATCAAAAGTCTTTAATTGAATTTACTGGTGATGAAACATTAAATTCTCAACCAAACTTAGATCTTCAGAACTGTATGAGATTCTCATTTTTTACTTACCTAAATCTGTTATTACCAAATTGCAAAAGTTGAAACTCCTATAAAAGAGTATAGGCATTTTTAATTAGGAATCTAACAAAAGTAAAACTTTTCATAATAATCTTCAGTCAAAACACTAGTTAAAAATGGTAACATTTCAGCCATGCTCTTGTAGATCACACAGACAAAAAAAGGTAACACATTACATGAACAATATTTCTCTCCTTCCTGTATAAAAATAAAAAAGAAAACAATATTAGTTCTATGCAACATATTTTAATAATTCAAGGAAAGCAAAAATAGCACAAGAAATTCATAGAACCATATTCTTATTTTTTTTTAATATAGAGAATACGGGCAAGAAAATTACACACCTCAATTGCTTACATTTCTTTCATGAATTTAAGAAAGCAACAAAATTCTTTATAAGATCTTTGCTGAAACTGAGAGATTGAAAGGATGAAAGTTAAAACTTACCGGTCCCCACACCTCCTCTGTAAGACAATGCCCTGCTCACCCACTCCACCCCAAAGTCCCTTCTTATTCCAATACTCAGTGACAATTTCAATTTTAATTAAAAAATATGGCCTGCATTAGAGTAGGTGAGTTTTAGGATTGTTCCAGGTTCCCTGACCAGGGTGGTGAGTAGACCTACGTGTAGGCCAAATGTCACACAGCTCATCCAAACCCAACTGCTGCTTTTGCGGTTAGATGGCACCCAGAGCCACACACTGGCACAAAGATGGAAGCCTTGGAAGGCTGTGGAAAAATGAGAAGTATTGATATTTTAAGCCTTATTTCTCACAGACCCCTGTTAACAGAAGTAAACCTGCAAAAAGCAATATAAATACAAAAATAGTGCCTTGGGCAGAAAAGCAAGTATATCTAATCACATTCTCCAACATACAGGGCAGATGTAAGCTACTTACATGAAATTCCTACTCTTCCATTCAAGGCATTTGACATGAAAGCTCAAAATGCTCAAGGCTCAGTTTCATTTTAAAATAAAACCAAAGGACCATATTAGTTGCCTATAAAATAAAAACTGAATGCAGTTCCCCACTTCTCCATATTCCCCTCTTTCCCAACTGACAAATGCATACAGTATGCTAATATACATATATAATCATTTATTTAATCACAAATATCTTCTGAAAACTCCCTAAAACACTATAAGTAATTATTTGATTACTTGGTAATCAAGTGACTATCAAATAAATATTTGAAACTTAGCATTCATTCAATAACTGTCAAGCAAATCACTAGCATAGTACTGTTATATGCTATGTGGGACACACAGAAGATAAAAGTTACTCACAGTCCTCACATGACTCACCAGGTCGTGAAACATTATTCACTCTGCCACATACACTGCCAGGACTTCATACTAAGAACAGTCTAGAACCTCTACAACTGTGAATTATTAGAATCTGTATCCTTCTTCTACTTCATTAACTGAACACCTGATTAAGCCACTGTAGCCCATCACCTTATTTTCTTACCTTTAATTGAAGACATTCTGAGTTGTGGGATAATAAAATGACTTTAAAATATGTTGAAGTTTAAGTCAAGGCAGGTATTTCACGAGTATTTTTCCCCCACCAAGCCCTAGAAAAATCATTTCTAACGCCAAATAGTTGTAAGTCAATTGTACTCCAGCATATGTTAAAGTCAGCTAGCTCCTAAAGAAGTATGTCTCTCTCTATTATTTACCGATCTCATCAGAAATACCATGGAGTGAGACTGGTAATTTTGCACCAAGTCTATTTGTGTTTTATGGAAAAAGGTAAGTGCTAAAATATATATTCATTCATCTAAGCTCATCTCTGTCCCATTATCACAGAAAAGTCATCTCCTCATGAAATGATAGGTCATTTCCTATCTATCCCATCCTCAATTTCAGATACAGTATTAAACAAAAATTCCATCTGGTCCTCGCTCCACTATTACCAATCCTGACCTCTAGAGTTTTATCAGTCACCTTGGCCTATCAATTGCGAATTTCTCTATGGCCTAAAATTTTACTTGGAAAACACACTCTGGAGGTTGGGGGTGAGTGGGGAGAAAGTGAGAAGGCAGAGCAAAGCCCTGTCCTCTATATGTTCTGTGGGGGGAAAAAAAGGCTAAAAAAAAGTAAATATTTTATGTATCTAGTGATTATTTTCCCCATAAACTACAAAGCCTTACAGATTTTTACTTTGATTCAGTTTTCCTAAGATTGATGAATACCTACAAAGCATCAAAAATAAATTCCAAATAGCTCTCTATTGTGGTTTAAGAAGAGGAGTTCTTCCCTTTTATAACACACTTTGCAAGGCCAAAGAATCCAGCTTCCACATCCTAATAGACACCACAATCCTTTTAATAAAAATTACAGCACAGAGCTAATACTTGAAGCATTCCTAGTAAATCTTATTGCAAATTTCTATCAAGGAAACTTTACTGAGTTCCCATCTTAAAAGGCCCTGAAATTTAAATTTGCTAAGCCAAGTTTCCCAAGATTTTTCCGATCATGGCACATATAGAAAATATTTGCACAATACACCCAAAGTAAAAGAACAAGATTGCCAATAGCCAGCTGGTGGCTCCAGTGGCCCCAGGGATGAGAGGAAAATTGTCTTTGCACACCTTGGAAATTTGCCACTATGCTACAACCCAACCACAGGAGTTCTGATTCAACTCTGACCAGTCACCTGCAGAATTTTCAACCACTTTAGAACTAGCACCAAGAAACTTTGGAATTAAGGACCTTCTAAGTTTTTTGTTTGTTTTTTGTTTTGAGATGGAGTCTCCCTCTGTCACCCAGGCTGGAGTGCAGTGGTGCAATCTTGGCTCACTTATCCAGGTTCAAGTGATTCTCCCACCTCAGCCTCCTGAGTAGCTGGGACTACAGGCGTGTGCCACCATGCCTGGCTAATTTTTTCTATTTTTAGTAGAGATGGGATTCACCATTTTGCCCAGGCTGGTCTCGAACTACTGAGCTCAAGCAATCCGCCCACATCGGCCTCCCAAAGTGCTGGGATTACAGGTGTGAGCCACTGCACCCGGCCATGTTAAGTTTCAATAAGATGACCAATAGTAAACTTACATAGTAATCCTAATAAAAATGATTCATGACTGGGCACAGTGGCTCACGCCTGTAATCCCAGCACTTTGGGAGGCTGAGGCAGGTAGATCACGAGGTCAAGAGTTCAAGACCAGCTTGACCAACATAGTGAAACCCCGTCTCTACTAAAAATACAAAAATTAGCTGGGCGTAGTGGTGTGCACCTGTAATCCCAGCTACTTGGGAGGTTGGGGCAGGAGAATCGCTTAAACCCAGGAGGAGGAGGTTGCAGTGAGCCGAGATTGCACCACTGCATTTCAGCCTGGGCGACAGGGCGAGACTCCATCTCAAAAAAAAAAAAAAAAGATTCATAACTTAGCTTAACAATCAAGTTCTGAGATTCTGAGATGTCTGAAGGTATGAATACTTTTTAGACAGGATGCTAAATTCCTTTTGAAACATGTATGGCCTAACACATAAAATAATGTGGAATAGTTTTAAAATATTAACACTTAAAAAATGAGTTCAGAATCCTATATTAAATATCTAACTTGAATGATTATTCTTATTCCTTTTTAACTGACTGTAAAAAAAATGGTTTGCACCAGTATTTAAAGAAGCTCAGCCCAATCTTCCTATTTGTTTTAAATTATCACAGGAAACATTACTAGACATTTCTGCCTAAAACAAGTCCTATAGCCATAGATATAAGAAAAGAGTCTGGACTAGTAACTTCAAATACAATAATTATTATTGTTAAATAATAATTTTACTGTGCGTAAGAATCAACTGAGTGCCACCCAGGATGGAGTTATGCTTGACAGAATCCAGTGAATCTGCATTATTAACATGCATCTCAGGTAAATCTGACGCAGGTAGCCTGTAGACACCAAGGAAATGCTTACAGAGGTCTTCAGCTTAATAATTCTGCATCAGCTGCCAGTTTATTCCTCAGAGTGCTGGCTACATACAGTAATACCAGGCATAGAGTGAACATTCAGATACATGCACATTATCCTAGATTATAACTGGTATGTAATCTTGTCTTTCTCTGACGTTCACAATGCTTATGCTATGACCACAAAGGAATCTAGTCTTTTGAATGTCAACTTATGTGTGTGCTTCCATTTAAAATGGTGAGAATACAGTGGCTTCTGAACTATCAACAATACTTTCTTTTAAAAATATTTACTTGGCTGGGCGCAGTGGCTCACGCCTGTAATCCCAGCACTTTGGGAGGCCGAGGCGGGCAGATCACGAGGTCAGGAGATCGAGACCATCCTGGCTAACATGGTGAAACCCTGTCTCTACTAAAAATACAAAAAATTAGCCGGGCACGGTGGCGGACGCCTATGGTCCCAGCTACTCGGGAGGCTGAGACAGGAGAATGGTGTGAATCCGGGAGGCGGAGCTGGGAGTGAGTGGAGATTGCGCCACTGCACTCCAGCCTGGGCAACAGAGTGAGATTCCTCTCAAAAAAAACAAAAATTTACTTAGAAGCATTAAACCGTTTAGGGTCCGAAGTGCATCTGAACAGATTTTTCATCCTGTTACCAAAAAAATACAGAGATCTAATAAAATCAGACACTCGTTCTCTCTCCCTATATATATATATTTTAAATTTTTGAGACAGGCTCTCCCTCTGTTGCCCAGGCTGGAGGGCAGTGACACAATCACAGCTCACTGTAGCCTCAACCTCCTGGGCTCAAGTGATCCTCCCAACTCAGCCTCCTGAGTAGCTGGGACTACAGGCATGTGCCATGACACCTGGCTTTTTTTTCTTTAACTTTTTCTTTATTCTTTTCCAATATTTTTCTAAATTTAATTTTAATTTTTGATAGAATAGGGACAAAGTCTGACTGTGTTGCCCAGGCTGGTCTTGAACTCCTAAGCTCAAGTCATCCTTCTACCTTGGCCTCCCAAAGTGCTAAGATTATAGGCATGAGCCGTCACGCCTGGCCAACACCCAGCTAATTTATTACTTCTTTTTTGTAGAGATAGGGTCTCACCACATTGCCCAGTCTGGCCTTGAACTCTTGGGCTCAAGTGATCTGCCTGCCTTGGCCTTCCAAAGTGCTAGGATTACAGGCATGAGCCACTGTGCCTGGCCAATCCTTTTACTTTCAGCAGTAGAGAATGGCTAGTTATTCCAATCAAATAAAGTAGATGTTTCAATAGCAACGAAGCTCAAAACTTAACTAACCTAGTAGCCACTTAAATATAAGCTTGATTTTAACAACTAATACTTTCATAAAATAATCAGTCATATGTATATTTCTGCATCCTACATTTTACCTCATATTTGCTAGTATAAACAGCATCCTAAAACTAAATACTCAGCTGTATACTATTATCCTATTGAATGGCAATTGGATCTTAATTTAGAATCTAAAAAATACAAATATCTCAATGATCAAATATGACTGGGAGAAACAAATTTACAACAATTATTTCATCCAGGTTTTATTTCACCTAATTTTGCATGGAAATACATAGAAATAATTCTAAAACATGCTAAACAATTCCCCGCCCTGGTAAGAAAATATATTAAATATAGTCATGAGTTATTTAACAGGGATACATTCTGAGAAATGTGTTAGATGATTTCATTGTCATATGAACAGTATACCTACACACACCTAGGCTATATGGTAGAGCCTATTGCTCCTAGGCTACAAATCTATACAGCATGTTACTGTGCTGAGTACTGTAGGCAACTGTATCTAAACATAGAAAGATACTCGTGTATCCAAACAAAGTATTCATGTATCTAAACATAGATACAGTAAAAATGCATATCATAACCTCATGAGGTTTGTCCTGTTATGTGCCACATGACTATATTTTAATACTTAATGTTTCAGAAACAGCATTCTAAGAGTGAGTGAAATCCAAGCACTTTAGAAGGCTGAGGCAGGCGGATCACCTGAGATCAGGAGTTTGAGACCAACCTGGCCAACATGGCGAAACCCCATCTCTACTAAAAATACAAAAAAATGAGCCGGGTGTGGTGGTAGGCACCTATAATCCCAGCAACTCATGAGGCTGAGGCAAGAGAATCACTTGAACCTGCGGGTCGGAGGTTGCAGTGAGCCGAGATTGCGCAACTCACTCCAGCCTGGGCAACAGAGCGAGGCTCTGTCTCAAAAAACAAAAAAAAAAGTGAGTGAGTGAGAGAGAGAGAAAGAGTGTGTGTGTGTGTGTGTGTGTGTGTGTGTGTAAAATGAAAGGCTTGGTCGGCATGATGGCTCACACCTGTAATCCCAGCACTTTGGGAGGCCAATGCAGGAGGATGACTTGGGGCCAGGAATTTGAGACTAGCGTGGGTAACTTAGATCCAGTCTCTACAAGAAATTTTAAAAAAAGAAAAGAAAAGAAAGAAAAGGCTTATAAACAGTTTTTCTCTTCAATCCATTTTTACTATTTTTAGCTGTGCTATCTGACATTTTAGTAGCACTGTCTACCTTTTTGTCCAAGAATTCCTAGTCTTTCCCCAGGGTGTTACTTCTGAGACCACTATTTTATAATTCACAGGTTTTATATATACACATATACATACACAGACACATACACTCTAATACATTTGCTGTGTTGGCAGGACTAAGGCAAGAATGACAAGGGATGGGAGGGTAAGGACTGCTACCTTCTATACTCCTTCCTTTCTAGAAATGTCTACAAGAGTTCAGAGACTAGTCACCTATTTCTTAGAGATCTATAGGTCAATAACAATCAACATAACACAAAGACTTGTCCAGTTGTTTTCACTCCAGTAACTCCAAGAAACATTTAATAGAGGTCACTAATCAAACAGGAGTCAGTAAGTAAAAAGCAACTTAAAGTTAGTTGAACTTAAGAGGTTATAAAACATTCTATTCACTTATTTTTTACATTAACAATAGGAAACACAGAGCTATAAAACAAAAATAAATTAAGTCAATTTTTTCTGGTCTGCTTGTCTCATCTCCTCTGTGTCCATAACAGAACAAAGAGGAGATGAAACAAGCAGACCAGAAGAAAAAGGTGGGGGAGGGTATACTCTACATATCCAGTGAGGCATCATGATCTAAGATAGAAGGGAAAAATCAAAGACACAATGTAAGCTCCATGAGGGCAGATATTTTCATCTATTTTGTTCAGGGGTATATCCCTGAAACCCAGACCTGTGCTGCCATACAGCACTGAAATTTCTTGAATAAGTGATCAGATATAATATACATACTATACTTTGGAAAAGAACTTCTCAAAGTGAGGTCAACAGACCCCCAGAGATCCTTGAGACCCTTTAGGAAGTCCAGGAGGCCAAAATTATTGTCATGATAATACTAAGGACATTATTTGCTTTTTTCAGTGTTGACTTTTGCAATGATGTGCCTTAGCATAAATATTCTTTGCTATCACCTACTCAGTTAAAAAAAAAAAAGAAAAAAAAGTGTTTCGCTTAAGTTTTAGTATGTGCCATTAGCCAAAAGACTTTGAAGACCCTCCAACTTATGCTTTTAAAAAGCACTTAGGACCAGGTGCAGTGGCTCACGCTTATAATCCCAGCACTTTGGGAGGCCGAGGTAGGCGGATCACTGGAGGTCAGGAGTTCAAGACCACCCTGGCCAACATGGCGAAACTCCGTCTCTACTAAAAACACAAAAATTAGCCGGGTGTGGTGGCGGGCACCTGTAATCCCAGCTACTTGGGAGGCTGAGGCAGGAGAACTGCTTGAACCCAGGAGGTGGAGGTTGCAGTAAGCAAAGCAGAGATCGTGCCACTACACCACTCCAACCTGGGTGACAGAGCAAGCCTCTGTCTCAAAAAAAAAAAAAAAAAAAAAGCATTTAGATTTCAGGGGGGAACTTGTCATTGTTTAACCCACGTGATCAAGCAGTCAGTTCCTTCTCATATCTTCTGATAGCCTCCTGCACCTTCCCTTCATAGCACTTATCACATATCATTTATGTGGTTGGTACCTATCTCCCCACTAAAGTTCTGTGAGGGCAAGGACCGTATCTGTTTTGGCTCACTAGTGTATCCTCAACACCTAGCAATATTAACAGGAATATAGTAAGTACTCAAGTCTTTGTTTAGTAAAGGAAAAAAAAGAAAACTGATTATTATCACTTCTTTTTTTCTCTGGAAAACAATAATTTATGATTATTTTCTTCATAATAGCGGCCTTCTAATAAAATTCATGGTAAAATAAAACGGTATGTGTTCCTAATTTTCTCCAACTTCCACTGTAAGATTGGAGATGGTGTAAGTCCCTAACTCAGGTGGAGCTGATTCAACTTCATCAGTGAAAAATAGGGCAGCTAAGAAGCTTCACTAAGTTCAAATGGGTCACAATACAGGAGGCTCCTTGCTTTGAGGAGCTATTCATGGCTGAGAGTTACTAATGGCAAAATTTCCTTCCCTAACAGAAATCATTCCTTCCTTCCAGGCTGGTTATATGATTATACCCAGACATACAATGGCTCTTTCTACTTCTCTGGCATATGCTATCTCCTCTCTTCAGTTTCCTTTTTTTTTGTACCATTGGCCGAAAGATGGAAAAACAGTCTGACCTGAAAGAAAGAAGACTGCAATCAAGTGAGAGCTAAACAAAAGAAAACCTAAACTAATGTCATTGGAAACAAAAGCTTGAAAGAAACACATCGCATCTACATTTGTAACATGAGAAGGAAAACAATTTTTTTTTTTTTTTTTTTGAGACGGAGTCTCGCTCTTTCGCCCAGGCTGGAGTGCAGTGGCGCAATCTCGGCTCACTGTAATCTCCGCCTCCTGGGTTCAAGGGATTCTCCTGCCTCAGCCTCCCAAGTAGCTGGGACTACAGGCACACGCCACCACACCCAGCTAATTTTTTGTATTTTTAGTAGAGGCGGGGTTTCACCATGTTAGCCAGGATGGTCTCCATCTCCTGACCTCGTGATCCGCCCGCCTTGTCCTCCAAAGTGCTGGGATTACAGGCATGAGCCACTGGGCGCGGCCAGATAAGTTTTTAAGGTTCCTTCTTGCTTTAGCATTCTGAGAAATGTCTAATTGGTAGTAAGACAAGAGTAATAGCAACCTGTATTGTTAGTATTTAACCAAATAGGCTAAAATTTTAATCAGGTACCTTATGTATTAAATAGAAATCGGAATGTACCATAATAAATCCAAACTCTCAATTACGCCATGGTAATTCAGTCACTAAAATATGTAAAGATAGAAAATTTTTTAATTTAAAGAAGTGTGAAACATAGCCATTGATTGATCAGAATTCTGGAATCTGAATATTAAAACCTTACTTAGTGACTGGAATGGTATATGCTCCCTCCAAAAGTTTATCTTTGTTTATTGATTAAAGGTAATCCTTACTTTCTTTGTATTACTTAGGTTCTTAATTAAAGGTAATCCTTACTTTCTTTGTATTACTTAGGTTCTTAAATTTCTATGATAAACATGTATTGCTAAATAATAAAAAGTATATAAAAATTGCTTTAAAAACTTCTTTATTTCAAGATCATCTGAACAGCAATTTTGCCCATCAAAGCGTTATTTTTCTGCTACATCTAATTAACAAAATATTCACACTAAATATTGAAACGTCTCTTTACAAGATTTACATGAAAGTTGAATAGGTGGTTTTAATGGGAAATATGTTTAAATTAAAAGATGTTTCTTATACCACCAACCTCCCTTAGCATCTCCTTCTGAATGCTTTTTTTTTTTTTTTTTTGAGACAGGGTCTCACTCTGTCGCCCAGGCTGGAGTGCAGTGGTATGATCTCAGCTCACTGCAAACTCCGCCTCCAGAGTTCAAGCTATTCTCCTGCCTCAGCCTCCCAAGCAGCTGGGATCACCGGCATCGGCCACCATGCCCAGCCAATTTTTGTTATTTTTAATAGAGACAGGGTTTTACCATCTTGGCCAGACTGGTCTCAAACTCCTGACCTCAAGTGATCCACCCGCCTCGGCCTCCCAAAATGGTGGGATTACAGGCGTGAGCCTCCATGCCTGGTCCAAAATGCTTCTTAAACTATTACCATCATCGTTATTCCACTCTTCCATTCCTCTCTGCTTTAAAATGTCTATTAACAACTTACAGAGAAAAACTCTAGAAGACTGGTTTTAGCTCCATACCCTGTCACTGCCTATGTATGCCTTCTCTACCAGGCACCATTTCACTTTTCACTATCTGACTCACTCAAAGGCTACCTCCTTTGGAAAAATCTTCCCCAGCATTGTCATTCTCATCTGGAATCCTATCTAACTTTTAACAGAGTACTACATGAACTCACATGTCAATCCTTTCCATTAGTCTGCAAGATCAACAAGATGAATGGGGTTTCATTCATCTTTGTATTCTCCAAGGCCTAGCATAAGCTTTGGAACCAAATTAATCTCGGTTCAAATCTCAGTTATGTTAAAAAACAGTAGTTGATCCTATTTAAATATGGTTTTTATGGCTTTCTGACTAAAGCAAAAGAAAAAAGAAAACTGGTTTTCTGACTTAAAAAAAAAGAAATATCATTTTTACATTTAGATGTGGATGTCTAATATTTTTACATTTTACATGTAAAAAAAATGAAAAAAAAAACCACCCCTTACACATACAAACAGCAAAAATAGTTAACTAATAATAAATATCAGCTCTGCCACTTGTTACCATATGCCCTCATGAAAGTTACTTAAAATTAACTTATCTGAGACCCAATTTCCTGCTCTGTAAAATGAAAATACCACCAACCCACCTCACAGATATACTGTGAGGACTAAACCCATGAAAATATACTTGTGCCGGGCATGGTTGCTCACACCTTCAATCCTAGCACTTTGAGAGCTGAGGCGGGTGGATCACTTGAGGTCAGGAGTTCAAGACCAGCCTAGCCAACATGGTGAAACTCTGTCTCTACTAAAAATACAAAAATTAGCTGGGCACAGTGGCGCACGCCTGTAGTCCCAGCTACTTAGGAGGCTGAGGCAGGAGAATCGCTTGAACCCGGGAGGTGGAGGTGGCAGTGAGATCATGCCACTGCACTCCAGCCTGGGCAACAGAGCAAGACTCCGTCTCAAAAAAAAAAAAAAAAAAAAAAAAGAAAAAGAAAATATACTTATACCAGGCAAAATGCCCTTCATATATAGTAGCTGCTAATGTCCATTCTGCTTTCATGTCAAAACAAAAAATAAAAGAAATCAATGATTTTATGAACCACTTTCATTAATTCCTTCTTCTCTTTAGAGTAGCAATTATTTTTAAAAGGGACTTCAACTACCTAGAGCAACCTGATCCTTCCTCCTAGCTAAGCAAGCTGTACATTTTAAGTGGGACCAACTAAAGAACTCCAAATTGAATTCTTAGGTTTTATGAATCTCATGCAACAGAGAAGTTCTTTATCCTACTCAATAGTAATAGGCCCTCTAAACCTGGGTGGTGTGAATTAAGAAAGCCTGAATCCCAAGACTACAGAAAGCTAACGACTTCTATAACTAACGCGTTCATCATATTAACAATTAACTTATGATGTTCCTGTTCATTTACTGCTATGTTGTCATTTTTGTGGACAATAAGATGCCATATAAAACATTTCTAGGAATCCATAATGCAGGAATATCATCCCAGCTATATATGGAGTTTCAAGAAAAGCATAATAGTTGCTGATTTTTTCTTCCCCCTCAAGAGATTCCATAAAACAAAGAGGAAACAAATATTACACAACTTACATATGAGTAAGTGCGCTTGGGGCAGTAGGGTGGTGAATAACTTCACTTCAACATCTAATAATACACCAGTTACTGAGGTAGACACATACCTTTTTTAAAAAAATAATTTTCTTTCAAAAAATTTTTATTTGAGACCAGGTCTCGCTCTGTTACCCAGGCTGGTGTGCAGTGGCACAATCACAGATCACTGCAGCCTCTACTTCCTGGGCTCCAGTGATCCTCCCACCTCAGCCTCCCAAGTAGCTGGGACCTCAGATGTGCACCATGCCTGGCAAAGTTTTGTATTTTTGGTAGAGACGGGGTTTTGCCATGTTGCCCAGGCTGGTCTAGAACTCCTAGGCTCAAGTGAATCTCCCGTGTCAGCCTCCCAAAGTGCTGGGAATACAGGTGTGAGCCACCGCACCCAGCTGACAAATATCCTATTTAGTCTTCATGATAACCTTCAGAAGCAGATAGAGATACCATACTATGATGCCCATTCTACAAATGAAGAAACTGAAGGTCAAATAAATTATTATTTTTTAAAATAATTCAGTTTTATTTGAGATGGAGTTTCACTCTTGTCACCCAGGCTAGAGTGCAATGACATGATCTGGGCTCACTGCAACCTCCACCTCCCGGGTTCAAGCAATTTTCATGCCTCAGCCTCCCAAGTAGCTGGGATTACAGACGCCCGCCACCAGGCCCAGCTAATTGTTGTACTTTTAGTAGAGATGTGGTTTTGCCATGTTGGCCAGGCTGGTCTTGAACTCCTGACCTCAGGTGATTTGCCCACCTGGGCCTCTCCAAATGCTGGGATTACAGGCATGAGCCACCGTGCCCAGCCTGAAGGTCAAAGAAATTAAATACCCAGTGAGTAGTGGAGTAATAATTCAAACACAATCTAACACAAAACCCTACTCTTTCTCCTTTACATTACTCTGGCTTCTTGGCAGTATCAACAGATTATGAAGCTGATTTAATTGAAAGCAGTTATAATAAAAATCTAACTCAAATTGGCCTAAAATTTTAATGTCTGTATTGAAACAAAAAGGAGAATGTGGGCCAGGTGGCTCACACCTGTAATCCTGGCACTTTGGGAGGCTGCGGTGGGAGGATCACTTGAGTGATCAGGAGTTCAAGACCAGCCTGGGCAACACAGTGAGCCCCATCTCTACAAAAAATTGTTTAAAATTAGCTGGACAGGGTGGCACACGCCTGTAGTCAAGCTACTCGGGGGGCTGAGGCAGGAAGATCACTTGAGCCCAGGTGGTGGAGGCTGCCGTGAGCTATGATCGTGCCACTGCACTCCAGCCTGGACGACAGAGCAAGACTCCATCTCAAAAAAAAAAAAAAAAAAAAAAAAAAAAAGAATGCAAATATGCAAAGTACCTAAGAACCACCCCCCATCCTCCACCTCCGTCAAAATTAAAACCACAAAATACATCTGCTACAATGCAATAATAATGTAGTTGTTAAGATAATTAACTTTCTTAGGTCTCCCAATACTCAGTGAACCTGATTAAAGAGAAAATAATGCCTACGTACAGGGCCACTTATAATTCCTTAATACGTTATTATTAATAGTTGGAGTGTTTACAAATTATAAGCCTTAAAATACACACACATATCTAGTAGAGCTATTGTAATTTGAACATAAAAGTTCAGTATACTTCAGTATACTTTCTTCTCTGCTACTTCTTGGGTTATGTTTAAAACTGTTAGGATATTTCCATCATTATAAAAGAAGGAATTTTCCATATATGTCATTGTAAAATACTATATCTGACACTAAAACTCTACCTTATGGTACTGTTAACTATTTGGAGTTCTTTCCCATCTATTACCTCATTATCATCACGTTAATTCTGTGACAAAGTATGGATAAGTATTATTATTATTTCTATTTTATATATAAGGAACAAAGGCAATTAAGAACAAGTTATTTGCTTAAAGCTAGCCCTTAACAAAGCCAATTTTAAAACCTAATTACTGGTGCTGATTAATTAGCTCATGGCCCCTGGCTTTTCTTCTTTAATGATTCTCTAGGAGTTTAACTTTATTAAAAGCAATTATACTTATATGGACTGAAATGATACTTTTGTGATTTTTTTCAAATAATTGAGGTATGTGTTATGTCCTGTTTGCAAAATATGTTTAGTAAATACATTTGTCTAACTGTAAAATCAGCTTTTTCCATGTGAGGAAAAAAATCATATACTATTATTTTAATTGTTTTTAAGAGAGACATAGTGCAAAACTTGGACGGTGGTTTCTCTGAAGACCTCATATAAAACCAAAGCCCAATACTTTTTATTGAGACAGGGTTTCACTCATGTTGCCTGGGCTCTAGCGCAGTGGCGCAATATCAGCTCAGTGCAACCTGTCTCCCAGGCTCGAGCAATTCTCCTGCCCCATACTCCCTCAGCCTCCAGAGTAGCTGGGACTACAGGTGCACACCACCACACCTGGCTAATTTTTGTATTTTTAGTAGAGACGGAGTTTCGCCACATCGCCCAGGCTGGTCTTTAACTCGAGTTCAAGTGATCCTCGATTCAGGTTCCCAAAGTGCTGGGATTACAGGCATGAGCCACCACACCTGGCCCAAAGCCCAATACTTTTTAAAAGCCTTGAGTGTTTCTCTTAAGCCAGAATCACCTTGTATGAGGCTTTATATCTATATATTTGCCTCATGTGGCTACTCATTTGCCACAAATATCTACTCAATTGTTTCACATTTGTCATCTATGGTCTTAACATATACACAAACAAAAAATAACTAAAGTGCTTGAAAGCAACTTTTAAAATCCATTTAAAATTCTTCATGTTTTATTTCTGTGAGAATTAGACTAGCATGACTTAGGATCAGAGACAAGTCATCTCTTGAAAAAAGTACCTGGGGCCAGGCATGGTGGCTCGCGCCTGAAATCCTGGCACTTTGGGAGGCCGAGGCGGGTGGATCACTTGAGCTCAGGAGTTCGAAACCAGCCTGGCCATCATGGTGAAACCCCGTCTCTACTAAAAATACAAAAATTAGCCAGGCATGGTGGTGGGCGCCTGTAATCCCAGCTACTCAGGAGGCTGAGATAGGAGAATCACTTGAACCTGGGAGGTGGAGGTTGCAGAGAGCCGAAATGGCACCACTGCACTCCAGCCTGGGAGACAGAACGAGACTCCGAACCCCCAAAAAATAAATAAAAATAAAAATAAACAACCTAATCCCTGATACATTCCAACAGAAGCTAGTATATTATGAAATCTCCTTCCATTCAAAATGATAATCAATAACAACTTAGTGAGGCCTTTTTAGGGATACAGAGAGTGAACTAGGATTAGGGTGACTGTCTGGGTCTAGACAGAAACAAAGGAGTTCTTGAGACATAGAACTTTCAGTTTTAAAGCCAGGATGAGTTGGCTACTCCTTATTAAGTAGTGGAGAATACATCTGAATACTTGATAGCACACAACGAAAGACTAAAGTTTTTTCTAGCCACCTTCCAAACAAACAAACAAAAAATCCACAAATTCATTTCTATTTTTACCTCGTGCAAGCACTAATGAGCAAAACAGAAACCAACAAAGGAGGCATACAACACTTTTAATGAGAATTCATCAGAATAGAATTAATTAAATTAAATTTTAAAAAAGAAGCCACTTTAAGGCATTATTTGCCTTGTGAAAATAAATTTTTAAAAATGAGTTTACTTTTCCTATTGACAAGCTTCCAGCTTTTAAACTATTTTTAAAAGTGACAAATTGAGCAGAAGTAATGGCAAGGTGTTCCACCCTTTGACTTCTGTCAACCAATCTTATGTCTTTTAGCAGGAAAAAAGTAAGTCCATCCCTTAAGGGTAGTACGCCAGGACCAAGGAAATAAGTGAGACAACTTTTAAAGAGCAACAGCAAATATTACCTTCCTTCCACTACCTCAAAACTAGTCACAGTTCAATATAAGTTACCTATATATGGCAACCTGTAAATCAGAGGAATGTGCTTATCATACCTAATCAAACAATTTCAAGCCTAAATACTCCAGCTGTACAGCAGTCCTCTGAAGCCATAGCAATAAGATGACTCACCAACTGGCAGGTGTCTTAGGTTCTACAAATAATGGGTGTCTGCCCAGGTGAAAACAAATGTATGTGCCCCAACAGACGAACTCATCTTGCTTGGCTAAGAGAGTAGAGAGACTAAAAAAACTGATCAGTAGTATAGTACTTTATAATGGAAAGAAGAATCAGACTTCGCTACAACAAGATTTTATAATCCATGCAGACTTTCAAAATGTCCTTCCAATTTTCACTTACCAGAGAAGTACAAGAGAATAAGATCTAAGATAATAAAAAACAATTTTCTGACCCCCAAATTAAAAATAGCTCAAAGTGCGAATTGACATTGAATTCACTGCTTCAAGAAATGTGAAGTCAGTCACAAGAAAAATAAATCCATATTTAAACCCTCCTATTATATTTAGTGACTTGATGTCAGTTTCCACTCAAGTGAAAATAAGTAGTACATATTTGAGTTCTAGTTCGAGGATGTATATTCTTATGTGAAAACTGAAAACATGTCACAGTTAATAAGATATGGGTTTATAAATATGGAATTAAAAGAAACTTACCCTTTCCCTTTGTGCAGCTCTGACTTCCAACCCAGTTTCTATAGAAACAGGAGGACAAGTGCCAGTGCCAGAAGTCTGCCAATTAGAACTCATCTTTGAGTTGCTGAATAATAAAGTCAGATCCCAAAGTCGACTATAGGTTTTTGTCAGTAGTTCCTAAAAAGAAACCCAGGGGGAAAAAAGATGTTTAACCAATTACTGTACTTAGAAATGCTCCCTTTAAAATTGGCTTTAAAAAAAATTGAGGAGGGAGATCTAACACCACATGTTAAAAAAATTTTTATTAGGGCTTCAGACTTTACTAAAATTAAGGAGCAGCAAACAGAAGAGAGGGTGTCTCTGAAGGTCCAAAACCCTTTTAAACTACTACATTAAAGGAAAAAAGCACTCATACATTATAAAGTAGTTTCATTCACTAAACCTTAAAGTTCAGATGAATCCATTCCTTTTGTGGAGTGAACTTTCAGTAAGGTTACAGCACTGCAAAGGGTAAACTTCACAAATGAAATTTGTCAGGAGAAATGATGACATAGGTTAAGTCACCACTAAAAACCTCTCATTTCTAGGAGAAATCTATAAATTACAAATGAACCTTTGAAAAGTCTTCTAGAGACGTTGGCATTGTTGTGCTTGATGAAAAAAAATCCCTCTAAGTCACATATACCAATTTAGAAATTTTAAAATTGTGGGATTGAGTACAATTTTTCAATTGAAATCCACATGGTTGCTTGGTGAATGTATTTGAGATTCTTTTATCATAAAAATTTACACATTATTTTATCTCTTCATGTGCCTCTGAGTATGAAAAACTTACATATTAAAAGTATCAGGCCGGGTACAGTGGCTCATGCCTGCAATCCTAGCGCTTTGGGAGGCCAAGGCAGGAGGTCAGGAGTTCAAGACCAGCCTGGCCAACATGGCGAAACCCCATCTCTACTAAAAATACAAAAATTATCCAGGCTTGGTGGCTCGTGCTTGTAGTCCCAGCTACTCGGGAGGCTGAGGCAGGATAATCACCTGAACCTGGGAGGCGGAGGTTGCAGTGAGCCGAGATGGTGCCACTGCATTCCAGCCTGAACAACAGTGCAAGACTCTGTCTCAAAAAAAAAAAAAAAAAAAAAAAAGTCATTCCTGGCCATGCGCAGTGACTCATGCTTGTAATTCTAGCACTTTGGGAGGCTGAGGCAGGTGGATTGCTTGAGTCCAGGAGTTCAAGACCAGCCTGGGTGACATAGTGAAACTCTGCCTCTAATTAAAATACAAAAATTACCCAGTGTGGTGCATGCCTATAGTCCCAGCTACTTGGGAGGTTGAGGCGGGAGGATCACTTAAGCCCTGGAGGTGGAGGTTGCAGTGAGCTGAGATTGTACCACTGCACTCCAGTCTGGATGACAAGAGTGAGACACTGTCTCAAAAAAAAAAAATAAATAAAATAAAATAAAAATGTCATTCCTGAACCTAATTTGATACACTGCAATTTAGAGTACTATCTGAACACTCATATTGAACCATTCCCTTTAATACATGAATCTTAATACATTATTTGTCTCTGAGCATTCATACTGAACCATTCAATACATATGAATCTTAATACATTATTTGTCACTGTGTACTTTAATAGGTATTTGATTCTTGTTATGTAAGGAAAATTGATTTATGAAGTTAGTATACTACACTTAAGAAACAAAGGCAATTAGGAACCATTCCTCAATCCTGCCCATATCTATCCCCTCACAGAAAGCTCTAAACCTACCACTACCAAATTTCCTAAATCCTGCGGCACCTATTAGCAGAGTGTCTCCAATATCTGCACCTGTACTTGTAAAAAAGTAACATTTTCTATCTCATAAAGAAGACAGGTGACGAGGATAGAATGGGAAGGCAAGAAAAGAGATAAGCAGAGCAAAGTAATCAAGAACCAACCAACTAGGATAGGCAAAATAGTAACCCTTTCCCCTACCTTGGTGACAGAGACCTCTGGTAATTTTCTGGTCACCTGAGGCTCACTAAGTAAGAACTACTTTGTTCCACTTTTCTTGTTGAAAGTATTTTTAAAAATGCTTTATAGTAAATGTCACTGACTAATGCACAAATCTGAGAATCCTATGCACATGGAAGAAGATTCTAATTATCAGTTTTTATCACATAGAACATTTATATCTACATCTAAAGTACTGCTTCTCAAACTTATATATGTACAAATCACCTGACGATCTTGTTCCATTCAGTGGGTTTGGGATAAGGCCCTGCAATTCTGCATTTCTAATAAGCTTCCGGCTGAGACTAATGCTGTTGGTCTGAGGACCACACTTCAATAACAGATTCTAGAAGACCGAGCAATATACATACTGTACTGAACCCAAATTACATTCTCAAAGTTTTGTGTTTTGATTTTCAAGCAATCCTTAAAAGGCTGATTGTGTGTGTTTGTAGGTATAAAATGTGTCTCTAGAGCAGTGGTTGTCAACCCTGACTGCACGTTACAATCACCTGGGAGCACTTAAAACAAAATGAAAACAAAACTGGGCCTTTGCAGAAACCCACTCAATCTACATCAATTTATATGAATCTCTGAGAGTGGGCCCCAGTCATTGGTATTAAAGTTCCTCAGGTGATTCCATTGTACAGCCAGAGTTGAGACCTCTGCCATAGAATGCAGAAAAATTACAATTAAGGGGTCTAGTTTACTGAAGTGTTTCTGTACATAAATATACACAAATGGCATATATTAAGATACTTATCGTAGGCTGGGCGCGATGGCTCATGCCTGTAATCCCAGCACTTTGGGAGGCCAAGGTGGGCAGATCACGAGGTCAGGAGTTCAAGACCAGCCTAGTGAACAGAGTGAAACCCCAACACTACTAAAAATACAAAAAATTAGCCGGGTGTGGTGGCAGGCACCTATAATTGCAGCTACTCCGGAGGCTGAGGCAGGAGAATCGCTTGAACCCAGGAGGCAGAGGTTGCAGTGAGCCAAGATCACGCCATTGCACTACAGCCAGGGCGACAGTGCAAGACTCCATCACAAAAAAAGAAAGAAAGAAAGATACTTATCTTGGGAGCTAGGTAAAACTATTGATACTCAATTTTTTTTTTTTTTTTTTTTTTTAAGAGATACGTCTTGCACTCCTGGGCTCAAGCAATCCTCCCACCTCGGCCTCCCAAAGCGCTGGGATTACAGGTGCAAGACTCAGCGCCCAGCCTGATAGGCAATTTTTTTTTTTTTTTTGAGACGGAGTCTCGCACTGTCACCCGGGCTGGAGTGCAATGGTGTGATCTCGGCTCACTGCAACCTCTACCTCCCGGGTTCAAGCAATTCTCCTGCCTCAGCCTCCCGAATAGCTGGGATTACAGGCATGCGCCACCACGCCCGGCTAATTTTTTGTATTTTTAGTAGAGACACGTTTTACTATGTTGGCCAAGCTGGTCTCAAATTCCTGACCTCATGATCCAACCACCTTGGCCTCCCACAGTGCTGGGATTACAGGCGTGAGCCACTGTGCCTGGCCTCTGATAGTCAATTTCTATATGCTAAAATGAAAATCAATTTTATGAAACATTAATTTTCCCAATAGGTCTTAAACTGTGTAATAAAAAACATATACGAATACAGCATCCCAAAGTGTTAATAATTTTACCTGTAATAATTATATTGCAGACACTAGTGTAATGACTTAGGCTTATGCATAAAAATTTTTCATTAAGTCCTTTTCCTAGGTAAAAAGGAATCTGCTGGTTACCTCAGAAAGGTCAGATAAATTCAGCACTTAAAAACTGTATACACACATGTATCTTATTTGCATAGGATAACAGCCATTTCACAAAAAGACCCTCTAAACTATTTTTTAGCAAGGGAGTCTGGTTAAATATCACTAGAAAAACTGCAAGTTATGAAATATAGAAAGCATGGTCAGTGTGTTATATCAGTCATATATATGACTACAGTGGAAACTGTCATGACAGTTTATTGAAAGCAGAAAATATGAAGCAGCACATTCAGAAAATGAGGCATCTTCAGAAGGGAGACTGCTTTGAAAGTTCAGAATGGTCAACAACTATGAGCCCTAAAAAGAAATAAAATCTTTATTATTGTATTTAAATAAAAGAACAGTGCTGATCTCTGAACAGGAACATAGTTACAATCTGACAGAGAATCTGTGAAATGCTAAGTAACTTATTTTCTTTGGCATTTGAAGGAAATTTATTACTTTCCTCAGACAGGTAGTCAAATATTGATCAAATCACATCACTCTCTGCTTAAAAACCTACAATGTCTTCCCATAGCAATCAGCACTTAGAATACAATCCAAACCCTTTGTCTGGAGCCTAAAGGCCCTAATTTATAGCTTACCACCTCCTTTCTTCCACCAGACTGTAAGCTCCACAAGAAAAGAGAAAAACGTCTCTTTTTTTTTTTCACAAAGACACTCCCAAGATCTAGAATAATGTCTGATATATAATATGTACTCAAATATTTGAATAGTTCATTGGCTATACTTATCAAACACAAATGCAGTATAGATACTGTAATTCAAAATAATCATTTACAGGACAAAGATACACTCAACTTTACCTATAATGCCTTTGTCTCAATCCTATTGATAACTTAGGAGTAGTAGATATAGGTGATGGTCCATTAATGGAAATAAGTTTCATGTGTACACACTCAATCCCAGCATCACTTTCAATTTTAAGACTATAGTCACAGTATTTTTAGATAGACATCTGAAAACTCAAAGATACCTCAATCAGTTCCTGGCTGTGTATCCTTCAGTTAGTCACAAAACTTTTCTGGTGTCCCTTTAGCATTTCATAAACAAAACAGTGGCCCATCTTCAGGACTGTTATGAGGCAAAATTAAATAGTAATCTAGATTGAGTTTCTTGGAGAAATAATTACATGACTAGAAAACTGTTATGTTACTTAAGTGGCAATTTTAAGTAATAAATTCCATGGCAATTGCAGTTTTGTTCTCCTTGCCTGCTGCAACAGCTTTAAAGTTATCTTCTAGAAGCTCCTCTCAGTTTCTGAGACAACACAATTCTTTTTTTCCTATCTAGGCTTTTTTCCAGCACCATCTTCTCTTCCCATGCCTCAAATATGACATTATCCTAAGTTTACCTTAGTACTCTACTCTCTATGGGCCAGTGTTGCTCAACACATGGCCCACTGACCACAGAATATATCAGAATTACCTGAGGGGTTTGTAAAAGAACAAAGACTCCTAAGTCATGCTGGTCCTAACAAATTCCAGAATGTCTAGGGAGGTACCAAGGGCCTGTACATTTCCCAAGTACTGCCAATGTTCATAAACTATAGTTTGAAATCCATTGCCCATTTTTTCAGGTTTGCAGCTTTAATCTCATTCCTAGCCTCCACGAGTACGGTAACCAAGAGAGCCTTAGCTGGGACAAAGGCCTGGTTAGAACTGTGGCTCTATCACTAAACTGTCAAATTATGGTCTGTGGTGAGACTTAAATGAGACAATGTGTGTACAGTACTTGGCAGAATCCTTGGCTTGAAGTAGACAGTCAATAAATGACTGCTATCAATGTGCCCCAAATGATCTGTTTCCACTCTCCACCCCTCAAACTGGCCTACCCTTCAGGATTCCCTATTTTTGTTGACCCAATCATTTTACTAGTATTCCAGGCTTCAGTTTGCATCTTATCTTTCCCATCAATCCATAAGCTGCTATATTCTTACTTATGCTTGTCTGCCTGACACGTCCATCCCAATCTCTCTCCACCATTCCATGTCCTACTCTAACAAATTCTTTTGTAAAGCCTTTCTTGACCATCCCAGTTTCAAGTAACTTGTTCATATGCTCATTCATACACCTATATCACCCATAAAAATTCATTAGAGGCAGGGCGCAGTGGCTCGTGCCTGTAATCCCAACACTTTGGGAGGCTGAGGTGGGAGGATTGTTTCAGGCCAGGAGTTCGAGACCAGCCTGGCCAACGTGGTGAAACCCTGTCTCTACTAAATTACAAAAAATCAGCCAGGCGTGACAGCACACACCTATAATCCCAACTACTCAGGAGGCTGAGGCAGGAGAATCGCTTGAACCCCGGAGGCAGAGGTTGCAGTGAGCCAAAATCATGCCACTGCACTCCAGCCTGGGTGACAGGAAAAAAAAATCATTAGAAATTAACTATTCACCTGTTTAATAGTTTCTCCAATTAAGAGTACAAGTTGCTGAAGAGAATAGATTGATCAAAATAACTTATTTATTGCTAAGACCAAACTTGTCTGAGGTTTGAAGGAATTTTGTTATTCAATAAATTCCTCTGCCAAGATTTTAAAACTAGATAATTCAAGTTATTAAGTTAAAGGATCTTTAAACAGGGAAGCTCAAAAAGACTAAACTGAAATAGGAGATAGAGATGATGGTCAGAAGCCATAATCAGATATACTATTGTCAGAAGAAAAATAGATGCTCTATAAGCTGTAAACACTAAATATATTGCCTCAGATAAACAGCTTATAAACAATTATACAACTTAAGCTATGGAAGTGGCAATTTATAAAATTTGGGTTGTTTTACTGAAATCAGGGTAATCCTCATTTTCAATTTTAGTACTAACAACAAAGCTTTTCAAATCGAGCCCAAGTCAACTTGGAGGTGTTCCTGGAAGTAGTTCCTTTACAGAACCCTAAATTTAGATCATATGAAGGACACTGGGAAACCACACAAATACTTCAAAAGAGAAGTTTCCAATTTATAAAACCAGAACACTGAATCTAACACTCAGTCCAGTTAATTTTTTTCACAGTGCAGCTGGGAATAAATAAAATGATTTCATGAGTAATTTCAAAAAACTGTCATGCTGTGTACCTTCCCATTTTGTATGACATGGTTTTATACACAAATAAACAAATGCCCTGTCTGCAACTTTTTTTCCTTGTTCTTACTAGAGAGATGAAGCTTGAAACTTTAAAAAGATACCAGACATATAGAAATATGTAGAAAGTGTAACATAATCTTTCTAAATCTCCATAGTGATTTAAAATATTTGCTTACTAACTGGAAAAAACCACTCAGCAGGCTCATGGTGTGAACTAGCAAGAAAAAGAAAACACACTGAAAACTGACATTTCCAACAAGTATAAAATGTTTAAAGAAATGCAGGGGAGAGACCATTTAGAAAAGCCTCAGATGGCAGCCATCATCTCATAACCAGCTGTTTTAAAAATTCTTATGACACACTGAGAACCTGAAAAATTCCACTGTACTTCATTTTTTCCCTTTTACTATATCAAAGTATGGGTACATAAGCTGCCTAGCAAAACAATCCAAGGAGCTCTATCTTGTGGAAAAAGTAGCTAGTATAGATCAGCTATTGTAGTTACTAGATACTGGATGTCTTCCAGAAGAGATGAAAAAAATAACAATTCTATTCAAAAATTTTGATCCCATTTGAAATAAAGCAAGGAAACCTAAGTTGTATTATATACTAAAAAAGCTGGGCTTGTGATAAGTTGCCAAAGCTTCAAACTTGATTAATGTGGGGAAGAAGGGCTCAGAAGGCTGGTAAAACTAAATAAATACTGAAAATGTTAAGGGGAGACAAAAAAAAGCCAGACTTCTCAACACTGCTTATTAATTTCCCTAAAGTTAAGGTTGCCTAATTTTATAATCTCTCTGTGGGACAAAAAGAAAGAAAGAAAGAAAAAATCCTGGCTAAAATATGTATCATTCACAATCTGATGGCATACTTTTGTTGCTGTTATACACTGTAATGTCTTAACTCTGAAGTTTAGAAATCAGTATTCGTAAACAAGCAACGTTTTTACAGCAGTAAGTCCTCCTGCATCATTAAATCATGACTAAGGGTAAAGGCCAAGGTTAACAGCAAATGTCAAAATTTTAAAGGACATAAAGGCTATAGGTCCCAAATCCATAACCAAGATTTTAAAACTTTGGCTCCCACATTAAAAGTATTTTTTTAATGTTAAAAATAAATTTAAAAATATCAAGTAGAACAAAAGTTCTGACCTGAAATATGACACTTCGGTGAAGGAAGCTAGTAATGGCAGCAGAGTGCCTTAAGGCTTCCATCTAGAGAAACAGACCCAAAACATTAAAAGCCCTCACCCTATTAATTATAATGCATTTTGACCTCTAAAAACCCTCTTACCTGTTTACAAGAGTTTATACAGCTGTTTGCCACTGGAACACCACCTTGCAGAGTATAACCGTGGCATCCTTTGTTGATAATCACCTGTTGCCTAGCAATCATCATCCCGCATGGAGACAGACAGCACTAGGGCTCTTCCATCCGAGGTTAAAATTCAAAACAAGCCCAACAAGCCTGCATTTCAAGGTGGTCTTCGTCTGCAACTAGTTAAGTTTAAAACTGGCAAACAACAACAATGGTGTCTGAAGCCAATGGTGCAGCATTGCTGGCTTCCTCTTGAACTCCAGCGTTGTCACCGTGCACTGAAGTCTCCTGCTGCAAACAGGGGAGTTGTTCTCCTGTACTGGGAACAGGCTTCCAAAACTCAGGAGCCCCTCTGTACAGGATAATGCAGGAACTAAAGGCAAACATTTTTCCTCCTTAAGGATGCCTCCATCTTTTTCCTCACAATCTGTACTACCAACCGAAGTGACTGGGCCTGAGTGTGCGTTCGTACCTATGAAACCGTCACGGTGCATGCACATCCAAGGCATGTGGAACCAAAGGTCAAATAAGGCACAGATACCAAGTAACGGTTCTAATTACAAACGCTAGCTCTCAGGAACTCTTCATCCATTCAGAACTAAACCCATCACTGCATAACTCTGGTAAGAAGCCCCTGGAGACGGAGGAGCTCCTCAAATGTGTCAGGAAAGGCTTTATTAACATCATCATTAACATTTAAAAAGCAAACGGAGCATTTCTCCTTCTTTTGGCAATTTGGTGCAAATGTTAAGTGCAAGATAAAGCAATTTCAAACTTTTCTTCAAATTAAAAATGAAACTAAGGCCAAACGTGATGGGTGAACAAAATAAATCAAAACTTAAATTTCAGCAACTCCAGCTCTTCAAACCAGCAAAAGCCCCCGACTCAGGCACTGTGGTGAGGCTTAGGGTGCCTGCCCCGGCTTCTTGCGTGCCAGCAAACAGCACCATTTCCTCATCACGTTGAGAACCGAGAAGCAAATGATCCCCTTCACTGCAAACAAAGGGGGTCAACAGTAACACTAGTGATCCTTCAGAATTGACACACCGTGATAGTCAAAATGAAATTGATGGTCTCCCTGCTTCTTGCTCAAGACATACAAGATCTGAGCAGCAGCAAGCACCCCCTCGGCTGCAAACAAAGGGGTCAAAGGTTTGCCGTCAATTCACTTCCAGGCAGAAAAACATTTTCCTCAAAAGAAACAATTTATTTAGAATAAAACAAAAGCAGCTCAACTGTGAGCGCACGTTTGAGAGACAGCTACTCTTAAGCTGTGTGAGCCATAAAAAGGGTTTTTCTTTACTTTTCCAGAAATCTTGTGTACACAGCACAAATCAAAGAGGTCATTTTTTTTCCACTTAAAACACCGGCATTGGCATCACAATAGCAGATACACAACTTTAAGCTGCCATTTTAGTAAAATGCACAAATACTAAACAGATTAGCTTTCTTCCATCAGAGGCCCATGTAAACTCCACATAAGCCACAACTTCTCTTCAAAAAGGTCCATTAGAGCTTTGAATTCCATATCTTCATCCGCTGTTCAACCAGTTTTGCTTGCGGAGGGGGGGAAAAAAAGGTTATTCAGTACAAATGTTTACAATATTAAAAATATATATATTTCCCCTATGCCATTATAGATGAACATAACATTAACAAGACCTTCCTGGATGGTTCACCTCAACTTCAAAAAGCACCAATAATACCCACTGGCATAAACCTTGAAATGAATTTACTGTATGAATAGACATATAACAAGTAGAACAATAGGGTGGGTTTTTTTAAAGACTGCAATTGAAGATAACAGGACTGAAAATATCCTTTAACTCATGTAACTGAGTAAAACATGTTGAAAAAATTCAGAAAAAAGTTTCACAATCAATTTATAATCTATCAATATATTCTAAATATAACTTAAAAAGTGAAACTATAAAAAGGTAAAGTTTAGTCAAACTTTTGCCCCATCTATTTTCATTCTGTAATTTATATGGAGCAACATAGACTACTCCATTATTGTAGAAAGGGGTCGATACAAAGCCATTTAAAAATCCACCCTCATCTATGTTACCAAAGACAGCAGCCGTTATTTTAATAAAACACTCATACAAATAATTGTTAAACAGCCAAAGAACACTTCAGGAATCTCACTTTTCAACTCTGTTTAAACCATACATATAAAACTCTTCATTCAGCTTAACATTTCACTGTGGTTACCTGAAATCATTTCCTCCCTTTAGGGACACCACTATAACCACTATAACAGGGTCAGCGCCAAGTTTTCTCTCTTCTTGTTCTCATACCTAACTCCTATCTGAAAACCAAACCCTGTGAGAGAGACAGAAAAAAAAATGTCCAGAAATTCTCTCCAAAATTTTTTTCACATAAAAGGTCATTAAGGCCCTCTTCTCAAGAGGATTTCCTAATTCTGTTACCAGAGTTTTTGGTGATTGGTTCCTATATGGACCCAAACTATAGTTCAAGCTGTATATGCATAATGAACAATCTGCCTTAAAAAAGTGGATTTACATTTTTTATTTTTAAAAAAGCATTGTCAGTGAAAACCTGCTAATAGTTTTTAAATAAACCTAAACAATGTCTGACTCTGAAAGCAATAACCAAACACCTGACTCTTATTACTGGACCTAAAATGACCTGTAACTGAGTCAAGAAGGGCCAGAGTATATTTTACCTTCAAAAGGTGACAAATGCTTATAACCAGCCAGGCGATGGACATTTTAAGATGTAATCCTCAAAAGAAAAACTCTATCCACTCTCAGTTGAGAGTCAAAGTACACCAGAAATTTAAAACTTTGTGTGAAAAATTATTTATAGGAATCCCAACAAAATACTTAACCAAAAAGTTAAGCAGAACTATTGGCTAGGTATTGCTTGCTTAATTTTCCATAAAATTTGAAGCTGTGATCTAAAAGTCTTATCTTCACGTTTTTACCAATAATACTTAATAGTCATTAAATGATATCCTGAAGTTTTCTTTCCATTCATTTTAACTGAGTTCCAGAAAAATCAACTACATTAAAATAATTAAAGAAGAAAGATAGAAAAAAATTGGTTGTTACAAAGAACATTCAACGTTGGGATTATTAAATCCTGGCTAATGAGAAGTAGAACCGGTTTTAGACTTTTGCTTTCATTTGAATTCTTAAGGTTTAACTAGATACTTTATGGATATTATGAACCTGCACAAAAGAATGGGCAGTACAAATATGAGGTTCATGTGGACTATGGCACTCTGTAGGTAATGACCAACTAAACATAATTAGTTTTTTATAATACATACATTTAGAAATGGTATCAAGCCATTGTTTCAAAAACACTGAAGCACAAATTGCCCAGACCTAACAAAAGCGGCAATGTCAGGTAAAGATTCAAACAAACATGGAGCAAAAACACAGTACTCTTCTGTACGCTGTCACACTAACAAAAAACAAAAAACAAACAAAAAAAAAGAAAGTAAAAGAAAAGAAATAAAACACACATTTTGGATGACAGTAAAATTAGATGTCATGGACTTCACTCTCCAAAAGAGCAAAATCATTTGTCCAACTATCTCAACAAAAGATATTCAAAAATTAATGGTTAGTGAGTTTATTTAAACTGGAAAAATGTAGCTGGCCACAAATTATACTATGAGCCCACGTATGTAGACTCCACACTTGCATTAGTTTCTGAACAGGTGTCTACTCCAAACCAACCACAGCTTTTTGAAAGCAAGAAGCATCAAAAGTCTTCATTATAGGATTTCAGGTATTTTCCCAAGAGGCACAAGGACCTTCATGCTCATAGCCTAGAACCTTCCTTCTCTCAAAATGGCTAGTTTTTCCAGTTTAAAAACAAACAAACAAAAACCCCCACAAAACCTGCAAACTTAAAAAATTATAGATGCATAGTGAAAACCAAGAGGGATGACACAGCAGTGATGACACTTTTGTGCTGACATGCATTAGACACCTGTCATAATGGAAAATAAAAATTACATGACATTTCCCTGGGTTATTATTGGTGCTATTTCAAAACTACCAGCTTTGATAACAGAAAGAAAACAGTTGGGTTCTGCCAGGCTTCAAGTTAAGTCACTTTCATAGAACAGAAACATGACCATGATCCAGAAGGTCCAAAAGTCTCTAATCATAATTAAATATCAAGGGCCTTAGCTGAAGTCTTCAGCACTTAAATCAAGGGAGAAAAATATACTTACTAATGACCTGACAAATTAGGGGTGGGACAGAGGGGATAGATTAAAAAAAAAAAATCCATTACTGTTAAGCAGCAAAAGTCCTTGTTGAGAACCAGAGGTTGATATCATCTCACCTTTGAAAAAAAAAAAACTGTGAGGCTAAGTTAAATGATCCTGTATTAATTCCGGGTGTCTGGGAAAATAAAACAATTAAAAAAGGTTTTCCTACACTGACATTTCAATTCCGTAGCTGGACAGCAGTGAGAATATTGAACATAAAATTTCCAAGATGTTCAAAACATTTTCAATAATGTAATGTCACTACTGTTTAAATATGAAAATAAAAAGACAAGCAAAATTTTAAAAGAGCATGTCAAAGGCATTTTATGATGACTTTTTAAGAAATTCTGCAATCCAAATATGGCTGATTTAAATGCCCACTGAAATAAAAGATGACTATGAGCCTGCAGACAACTCTTCTTTCTATTATTGAAACCAGAAATTTGAATTGATACAAAAACAAAAACTCATCTTTGATGAAGAACACTTAGTTTCGAAATATGCACGATTAGAACTGTACCTGCTACACCTCTCTGAAAAAGTCAGTAAAAACACCACCACACACCAATAACTGACCAAAGAATTCTGATTTTAAAAGCACCTACTCACTTCTTGCATACTAGTGTAAGCATAAGACATATATGGTTTGTAACATAGTCCTTAATTTTTACTGAACAGTTACTGCTACAAACCAAAAGTGCATATATGGGATACAGAACTCTAGAACAAATGATTTAAAAAATGCATGTTAAAGCAAACTCTCTGGGAATAAACTGTATCTTAAGAAATACTCAAATACCTGATTAAAATAATTACATTGCTATACAATTTACCAGCATATCTTTGAGATCCCTGATCAAATTTCAGTCACACACATTTCTGGTAAAAGAATTATTTACCTACACACCAATCGAGTCATTTTTAGGTGGCTATTACTCTCTTTATATGGTCAGTGGACTCCTTTCTCCAAATTCTGACTTTTCAAAATTTTGGTTTTGTAACTCTGAGGATTTTTTAAGCTCAAGATTAAAAAAAAAACAACTGAATAGAGAAAAAAAATTACTCATAAGGGTGGGAACTCCTAATTAAAGCAAATCTGTCTGCCTGCCTGCTACCTTTAGGGCATCCCTTTCACTTAAAATAATAGCTAAACAAACAAAAAAATAGCTAAACTGTCCTGATTTCTATTTTAAAGACGTTTATAAAAATATAAAAAAGAAAATGCTACAACTAACAACTAAAAAGAAAATTGCATCTGATGCTGTATCCCATTACACATCACAAAACAGGAACCATGTCAAAGTAGTAAATACAAGTTACACATGGACTTTAGGACGCACCACGGACAATGATCATGACCAGGTAATCTTCTTCAGATTTGGCCAGTGCCTTGGCAGGGGAATCCAGGAACTGCTGGGAGAACTCACAAGGTGGGAAGGCATGAAGGACCCCGGTGTTTTCCTTGTCTTTGTTGCCCCCCACAGGGAGGCTGATCACCCCGGCTGCCTGCTTTTGCTTTAAATAGGACACAAGGTTCCTAAGTGGCCTCTGAGTAGAAGTGGCAGTGTCTGATGCAGCTGAGGAAGAGGAGGACCGGCTGTCAGAACTTCCAGGCACAGCCAAAAGAATGGCATAACCATTGGGCCCTGCTACTTTGATGCGTCGAGTTACTTCATCCAACTTGGGCTGGTCCAAACGGAGACGCTGAGTGATCTTGAGCTGGGCCACTTTGCCTCCAGTTGAACCCTCCACAAGAAGACTACTAGCCACTTGGAGGTCACCCTGCAACAGATGCATGTTGGAAGGAAAGTTGCTGTTCTTCAGTAGAAGCATGCCCTGCCAGGCCAAACAGAGTTTGGGAGAGGCTGATGCCACAGGGGCTGTCCCCCCATCCTGTTTCTGGGACGGGGACTTCAGCTTGGAGGAAGCAGTGCTGGTGCTAGGTGCACTCCCATCAGAGCGGTCTTCTTTTTTCAGAGGGCTTTTTCCCTCAGTGGGAGCAGTTGTCCGGTGCTTCCTATCTCGTTCAGCTGATGCAGAGTTTTTACGGTCTCGCTTGTCACCCTGGCTCTTCTCCAAACTACCTCGTCTGTCTCTGATTGGAGAGGGCCTTTCCAAGAGAAGACGGGAAGATCGATCATTGTCGCTGTTGTAACGATCCCGGCTACTGCTCAATTCTGGACTGCGGTCAGGAGAAGGAGCGCAGTGACGTTTTCGTGGGCGGTCACTCTCAGGAGACCTATCCAGATGACGTCCTCCACTCTCCTCAGGCAGCCTTCGCTTCCTAGGCTGGTCTCTGCTGCTGGGCAGATCTCGATCACCTCTGTCCCGGTCCAAGGACCAACCATCCCGCCTGCGATCTAGGCTATCCAGTGGCTCGTAAGCAGGCACAGAAGTAGCTGCAGTCCGAGTGCTGCGTTCTCGGACTGGGGGTGGGGGTGGCACCCAATCAGAGTCAGGATAAAGGTCCCTATCACGATCTCTGTATAGTAAGGGTGGTGTCCTATCCCGAGCACCCCTCAAAGGGTCTGGTGCCCGATGTCCAAAAGCATCTGTCACCAGCTCATAATGAGTCAAGGGCAGAGGCTGCAGATACTGCTGCTGGTAACGATGTTCGGTGTCGGCAAAGTCTACTCTAAGGCGTCGATCTGGGCCACCAAGTGGGAAGCCCCGCATATGGGTCCAGGCAGCATGCGCTGCATCCAGGCTTTCATACTGGATATATGCCCAACTATCACCTTTTCGGTAGTCTATGGTGCGTATGGTGCCAAATCGATCAAATTCTCGTGCCAGGGCAGCAAGAGGAACCCAAGGTCCCAGGCCTCCCACCCAGAGGCGGGTGGTGGGTGTAGCTTTACCATAACCAATTTTGATAGGATTCCGAATTATAATTTTGCCAGACATTGCTAATTTGGCCCGGTGAGACATATCTAAGTTCTCAAATTTGAGAAAGCCGTAAGTACTAGTCTGGCCGCGAGAAGGCCTCTTGATATCTACTTCTGTGATGACTCCAAAGCGATCAAACGCCCTTCTTAAATCACTCTCCGTTACAGTGATGTCTAGGTTGCCCAAGAAGAGCGTCCGGTTAGCTCGCTGATCATCCTCGGGTGAAATCTCATCCACTTCTCTGAAAGGAGCAGCACCTGCTCCAGCTCCCACCCTTGGCTCAAGACTGTATGCAGGGCGCACTCTCTCATAGAACGGGTAGTCTCTTTCTCTCTCCAGGTCTCGAGGCAATGGTGGCGGAGGTGGAGGGGGCAGGCGGCCAAGAGCCAACTGCTGCAGCCGGTAGTCTCTGTATCCCAAAGCAGCGCCACCAGGGGAAAGTGATCTCTGGCCTCCACCACCTCCAGGGGGGTGCCGGTGACCACCTACAGAGGCCCCGACCACACTGGCTGATGGAGGATAAGTATCTTTGTCTAAAGGGGAGCGGCTGCGGCGCCGGCTCACATACACAGCTTCTATCTTCAGAGGCCGGTCATAGAGCACCAGGCGGCCTCTGGCATGCTTGGCCGCCCGCGCGTCCTCTGGCCGCCGGAAGTTCACAAAGGCTACCCGCTCATCCCCGCTGCCAGAACCCGACAGATGACTGATTTTCACACTTACATCACCGAAGCGTTTGAACTCATGAAACAGGCCGTCCTCCACCGCTTCGTCACTAAGCTGGGACCCCAACTCGCTTATCTTCAGAGTCTTGTATTCCGCGCCGTCCCCGCCGCCGGGAGCTGAGGAGGCGGCCCCAGAGGAACGTGACTCCCCGCCTCCACCCCGGGAGCTGCTGCGCGATTCGCCCCCGCCCGAAGAATTTTTGGTGCTCGGGGAGCTATAACTATGCAAGCGGCTACTGGAGCTGCCCCCACCGGTATCATACTCGCGGCTGCCACCTCGACTGCTGGACTTGTCCAGGTGGAGACTCCGCCGCGACCCACCGCCGCTATCGGTCTTTCCGCTGCTGCTCCCATTGCTGCCACCAGAGCCCCCTAACTTCTTGCTCCGCTCACCGCGGGAAGTCGAGTCCTCACCACCACGGGAGCGTTTGGCCTTCACTGGCGAGCGCTCTTTTCCCTTCATTGTTGCGGGTCGTCGGAGGTCGTCTCCGCGGAGCTGAGTAACCCGCCGCCCCGCGCTCGTTTCACACAGCGGAACCGCACGCCGCCATCTTGGACTCCGCCGCGGCACAGGGTCCCGCCCCGCAGTCCTCATTGGCCAATTGCTCTCTCTTCTACAGTCTCATTGGGAAAATTATTTGTCTATCTTTACATCTCCCCGCGCTCCAGGAAGGCGCCCGCCCAACCACTGTTATTGGGTTCCCAACCCCCTAGTCGGAGTACCTCATTGGTTACATTTGTTGTCTATCTTAACGGTTCCTCGCGCCAGACTGTAGCTCCGCCCCTCGCACTCTGCGGTCACGTGACCCAAAGTGTTGAGGTGTTGATTGGACAAAAAGTCTGCCCTGTAACGGTACTTCTTGCTCAGTGACAGCAGCAACCCACCTCCTTATCCCTTTCATTGGCTTATAAACCCGTCCTTTAAACCACTATTTGGGAGGTCGGGCCATCAGTTTCGGCGTTTTTTCCAGAGAGGCAGGCTCACAGCGATATCGCGAGAGACGGTAAGCTCCCTCTTTCGACCCCCTTTTTCCAACTCCTCCGGCGGCTAAAAGAAGTTTAAATCTGATTGGATGTCGGCAAGGAAGTTGATAGGCTGAAATAACTGTCCATCACTCGCTTAAAGGGGTAGGCCTGTATAACGGAGGAGGCTGACTGAAGGTGAAAGACTAGAACACGTGCTTGCTGTGCGACGTCACTTAGATGTCGCGAGAGGGTGACTGTGCGCCAGCCCCGCCTCCCCGCGTTTTCGGCGTTCTCCCCACAAACATTTGTTAAGTTCCGTGGGGTGTTTGGCTGTGCTTCGGCCCTTGGAGTTCGAAACTTCTGAGCTCCCCGCCGTCGTACCTGTGCCGGCCAAGGGGCGGGGCAGGCTTTCCGGCTGTCGGGGCCCTCCAGTCCCTCAGGAAGCCGTCCTGGGACGCCTAGCGGACACCATTTTACGTCGCTGTGGTAGCTGAGTGAACAGCCGGGGGGAGCCCCGCCCCCCGCGCGCGGGAGAGCGCCGCCCGCGGTCACCTGGGCCCGCGGGGCAGAGAGTTCACGGTTCCTGCAGCCTCGGGTCATGCTGACGCCCCCGGGCGGTGCTAACACGTAACACGCGGGACCTCGAGAGCTAAGAAGCAGGGCGACTAAGACGCAGCCCTCGCCCAGGAGCCCGTCTCTCCCGCGAGCTACCCGTTCCCGCCCAAGTACTCCGGGTAACCGAGGGGAGTGACCGTCGCTCCCCGCCTCGTGGCCCGCGGGCGGAGCCGGAACTGTCGGGACACCGCGGACGTGTCTTTGGGCGGCATGTTTTATGTTGCGAATCTGTGTGGATTTTTAAATTCTGTATTCCCCTAAAATAGCAGTGTTTTTAATATGTAATGCTTCTACCCTGAAAATCACCAAGCGAAATTTAGGCTCCATGCAGATATGTCACTTGTTTTTCCCCCTGTGGCTTCTTGTATCCCTTGGCACTCTTATTGTGTGTTAAAAGCCAGCAGCACAGGCACCTTGCGGCCGCTCCAGATCCACCTCGTTTGGCTCCTTCAGTCGTTCGCCGTACAACTTTCCTTTCCATAGTGCGTTACTGTGGCGGACAGAGCACCTGTGAGAGGTGCAGGCGATGCCGAGCTTAGGGGGGTATGGCCTGTGCCCCAGCACTCGCCGGTTGCTGGAGGGACGCAGCGCTGAGGTCACCACAGCCTTTAGACTGTCTGCAGCCCTCCCAGGTTCGCGCCGGGGCGGAGGTTATGAGGATTCTTGTATTGATCCGGTCCTCAACCCTATTTCCCAAGATCCAATCTATAGTAGAGGGTGTGAGGTGTTTTTAAACGTGACATTTTTCAAGGTAACAATAATATCCCAAAAGCTGAAACCTAAACTTAAAAACTGTGTTAAGATTAGGGACTGTAACCTAAATTTAGCCTTGGCTGAGCCATCCTTCTTTTTGTAAATAATCGTGAGGAATGTGAAGCTGGAGGCCTTCTATCTCTTGATTAGATCAAAGAAACTCGAAGGAAGAAGCTCAATTGTAAAGCATAAAAATCCACAATATTGTAATGTGTAGACATCTTCATTGTATTAAAATGGGAAATAAAACTTCATAAGGCATAAAATAATGTGTATAATACGCTACCATTTGTGGTTTTAAAAATGTTTGTATTTATGAGTATGTACATTTAAAAAATATATTTTCATGGAAACTTTCTTGACAAATACACGGGAAATTGTTACTAGGATTGCCCTGAAGAGGTGTGCGAGGGTCTGGAGTAGGAGGGAGACTTTACTTTTCTTTGTAGAAATCTTTTGTTTCTACAAAGGGCGCTATTACTCCTTCAGTTTAAAAAATAACATTTTTAACTTTCCTTAAACTATTTTTATGGAAAAAGTTTAAAATATATAAAAGAATACTTTAAAGAACTCCCATGTGTACCCAACACCCTATTTCAGCAATTATCAAATCATGTCAATCTTGTTTCATCTGCATCACTCTTCCCACTCTTCTTTTCTCCATTATTTTCTTCCAGACTTACCTGATACATTTCCTGCCCCAGTTGTGGAATCAGCCATTTCTCCAGAGAGCTCTGGTTCCTTTTAGTGGGAGATGGTATTTAAAGATAAAAATCTGGATGCTGGAGGATAAAAAACACATGAACACATTATTTGTAAAAGCATGAAATAAAAAGTTATAGCTGGGTTTAAATCTGTTTCAAGGTTATATTAATAGACCACAAATGGAAATTGAAGTTAAGCCATTATCTGATTACTCAATGTAATAACCAATCGAGATAATAAACCAGGCACCAGAGTGACTTTTTAACCTAAATAGACCTGCTAAGGTGACTCACTGATCAAAGAAAAAGATAATGACCAAATCAGTAGTTTTCCAAACTTCAAGATAGGGGTTGAGGGAGCACAAGATTTGAGAGAAATAATTCAGGGAGATAAACAGACACCCAGTCTGTGTGAACATGCACCAGAGGCATGCCAAGTTTAGTGGCTTGCCACTTCAAATACCAGGGAGCTTGATGGAAGCTACTGCCTGCAGCTGGCTATAGTACAAAGGCTTGCCTAGGGGGACTGGAAATCTGCCTGGAGCCAAGAGTGCTAGTAAGTTTTATGGTTAGATGGAAAAGGCCTAGATTCCATTAAGAGTAACAGCCAAAATATTGCCTGTGATGTGTATGTGTGTGTGTGTGTGTGTGTGTTTCCACAACAAATGAATAAGTTGGATCCATGCTGTAGTTAAAATAAGTGATTGTTTTCATTTCCTTTGTGTTATTGCCCCCAAAATTACCCCCTCCCCTGGCTTCCAGCAGATACTACCTGAAAATCCTTTGTGTTCTTTAAAGCAGTGGTCCCCAAACTTTTTGGCATCAGGGACCAGCTTCATGGAACTGTTCCACCTCAGATCATCAGGCATTAGATTATCATAAGGAACACACAACCCACATCCCTCACATACTCCATTCACAATAGGGTTAGCCCTCCTCTGAGAATCAAATGCCTCTGCTGATCTGTCAGGAGGCAGAGCTCAGGCAGTAATGCTCCCTCCCCTGCCCCTCACCTGCTGTGCAGCCAGGTCCTAACAGGCAACTGACCATTACTGGTCCACAGCCTGGGGTCTGGGAACCCCTGCTTTAAAGCATAAAGCTGCTTAGTGAGTTTTTTATTTTTTTTGTTTTTTCTTTTTTGTTGTTTTGTTTTGTTTTTGTTTTTGTTTTAGAGACAGGGACTTGCTCTGTCACCCAGGCTGGAGTGTAATGGTGCAGTCATAACTCACTGCAACCTCAAATTCCTGGGCTCAAGCAATCCTCCCGATTCAGCCTTCCATGTAGCTAGGACCACAGGCACACACCACCACACTAAGCTAATTTTTTAATTTTTTGTAGCAATGGGGTCTAGCCATGTTGCCCAGGCTTATCTCAAACTACTGGCCTCAAGTGATCCTCCTATCTCAGCCTCCCCAAAGCACTGGGATTACAGATGTGAGCCACTGCACCCAACCAAGTTAGGTTTTATCCTCTGTTTACATGTGTGCTTTAGAGAGGGCACATGTGTAAAAGTGGATAAAAGTGACCCATGGTTTAGTTGGCCAGGACTTTGAACCCTTCTTTTGCTGTTGCTGTTGGAATTGTTAAGGTGCAACCTGAGCTTTCATTTGATCTCTTTGTGATCAATGGCCAGATTTGTGAGGAGAGCTGACCTAGGTGAGGAGGATTTTCGGTGGTCATGAAAACAGGGCTGGACAAAGTGGCTCACGCCTGTAATCCCAGCACTTTGGGAGACCAAGACGGGTGTATCACTTGAGGTCAGGAGTTGGAGATCAGCATGGCCAACATGGTGAAACCCCACCCCGTGTCTCTACTAAAAATACAAAACTTAGCCAGGCCTGGTAGCAGATGCCTGTAATCCCAGCTACTCGGGAGGCGAAGGCAGGAAAATCGCTTGAACCCAGGAGACAGAGGTTGCAGTGAGCTGAAATGGTGCCACAGCACTCCGGCCTGGACGACAGATCAAGACTGTCTCAAAAAAGAAAAAAATGAAAGAAAACAGAGTTAAGTTACCAGCAGATTCCCTGAGCATCAGAGCAGCTCTGTAAGGATAGTAAAAAAAAAAACAAAACCACTGAATTGTATACTTTATTTATTTATTTATTTATTTATTTGATGGAGTGTTGATCAGTTGCCTAGGCTGGAGTGCAGTGATGCAATCTCAGCTCACTGAAGCCTCCACCTCCCGGGTTGAGGTGATTCTCCTGCCTCAGCCTCCAAAGTAGCTGGGATTACAGGTATGCACAACCACGCCCAGCTAATTTTAGAATTGTGTATTTTAAATGCATAAACTTTATGGTATATAAATTAAGCTTAATAAAGATTGAAAACATACTGGCATCTTAAACTTATGTGTATGTTTTCAATCAAATGTCCTCTTTCCACCCTCATCTTTCCTAGGTTTTATTGTTTGTGTATCCTCAATATACGCACAAAATATTACAACTGCAATATGAAATTTATCTTGAGAGTTGAGAGCCATCCAATTTCCTGGCAGATGCAAAAAAGAGGCTAAAGCTGGGAATTGAAAATTTTTTCCTATCCATGATAGCAGATTAAAATTTTCTATTTCATCTTCCTTCATAAAATGAGTGGTGTCTTGACAGTGAGGTTTATGTTGTTTGGTCTCCAGAAAAAGTGTATCTTTTTACCCTTAGGCAAATATTAAGTCCCACAAGTAGCAAACAAGCATTCAGGACCCAGTTTGTGTTACAAAATCACTATTTGTGGTCTGTGAGGGTTTTTTTTAACAGCTTTATTAAGATATAATTTATATACCATAAAGTTTACCCACTCAAAGTAATACAATTCAGGGGGTTTTAGTATCCTTACAGAGCTGTCCATGTGGTTCCTCCTTTAATATTGTTATAGAAAGCACTCTGCTATAACTTTTTCATGACTAAGCTGTAATATAATTATCTCTTTTATTTATTTAGACACCTTATAGGGTAGTGATTAAGAGTACAGACTCTGGAGGCTGCGAGCCTGGATTAAATCCCAGCTCTGCTATGGGCCTCAGAAGAGTTACTGGTAACCTCTCTGGGCCTTGGTTTTCTCCTCACAGGGAAAATTAAATGGGTTAAACTATATAAAGAGCTTAGCACAGTGCCTGGCACATGGTAAGCACTATATAAATGATTGCTATTATTAATATATTTTCTCTTTGAACTTGGGTACATAGAATTGGATTAATTGTAATCTTTAATTCATGGTATACAATCATCAATGGTCCATATATGGGCCATTCAATGTTTATTATTTATTAATAACATAATGAATATCCCTGAACCCAGCACTCAATCCAGCACTCAAACAAATAGAAAATTATCAGTAATTTACATCTACCTAAATGCTGCTCCTCTATCCTGTCTACTGCCCATCTTCATAGATATCCTGAATCTAGCATTTAACAATCCTTGCCTTGTAAAGGAATTTTTAAAGGAATTTTAAAGAGTTCACGTGTGTGTGCTTGCACATGTGTGCACACACATACTTTAAAAGTATATTCTTTTCATTTCGGTTGTTTTTGAACTTTATACAAACGTGTATTCGAACAACACACTATATATAATTCCTGAGATTTGCATTTTTCATTTATTGTGTTACTATGATTCTTGCATGTTATCATACATAGTAGCTATAGTTTATTTCCATTGTTGTAAAATATTCCATTATATTGAATATACTACTACTTATATATCCATTCTTCTTTTGATTTGGGCTATGAGTATTTTTTACTTTTTGTGCTATTATGAAGAGTGCTTGATATAGTTTGAATGTTGTCCCCTCTAATCTCATGTTGAAATGTTATCTTCAGTGTTGGTGGTGGGGCCTGGTGAGAGGCATTTGGATCATGGGGGAGGATCCTTCATGGCTTGGTGCTGTCCTCGTGATAGTGAGTGAGTTCTCCAGAGTTCTGGTTGTTTAAAAGTATATGTCACTCCACTCTCTCTCACTCCCACTCTCACTATGTGATATGCTGGCTCCCCCTTTGCCTTCTGCCATGATTGTAAGCAGGCCAAAACCTCACCAGAAGCTGAGCAGATGTCAGCACCATGCTTCCTGTACAGCCTGCAGAACTATGAGCCAGTTAAAACCTCTTTTCTTTATAAATTACCCCAGTCTTGTGTATTCCTTTATAGCAACGCAGAATGGCCTAATGCAGTGCTATGATGAAGATTCTCATTCATATGTCCTGAGGCACACATGCAAGAATTCCCCTGGGATAGGATGGAGAGGTGAAGGATACCTAGGAGTGGAATTACTGGATTAAAAAGTTATATTGAAGCTGGCCTGTAACCCCAGCTACTCAGGAGGCTGAGGTGGACAGATCACTTGAGCCCAGGAGTTCAAGGCCAGCCTGGGTAATATAGTGAGACCCTCCCTGTCTCTTAAAAAAAAAAAAAAAAAAAAAAAGGTTATATTGAATATTCAATTTCACAGGATAATGTCAAATTGTTTTCTAAAGTGGTGTTTAGCAATTTACAGTCTCATCAGTAGTGTATAAGAGATCTTATTGATCCACGTCACTAACATTTTATAACTTTTTTTAATCAAATGGACATAAAATAGCATGTCTCTGTGGTTTTGATATTTTATTTCCTTGATTACTAGTGAGGTTGCATATCTCTTTATAAGTTTACTGGCCATATATATTTCTTCATCTATGAAATATCTACTCATGTATTTTGCTCCTCTATTGAATTGTATGTTTCTTATAGGTGTATGAGTTTTTCACATGTTCTTGATCCTAATCCTTTATTATAGAGTGTATGTATGGCAAACATCTTTTTCTAGTTGTGGCTTATCTTTTCACACAATTTAAGCTGATATTTAAGATACAAATTCTTAATTTAAATAAGATTGAATTTATCAACATTTTATAGTTAGCACTTTCTGTATCTTGTCTAAGAAATCCTCATCACTTTCCCCAACCCTGCCACCAGTATTTGACTATATTAAATTTTTGTTCTTTCTTATAAATTATAAGGCAGAGTGGTTCATACCTGTAATCCCAGCACTTAGGGAGGCAGAGAGGGGAGGATAGCTTGAGCCCAGGAGTTTGAGATCTGCATGGGCAACACATAGCGAGACCCTGTTCTCCACAAAAAGGAAAGAAAAAGACAAAAAAAAGTCTCCCTATAAAAAAATTATTTTTCCTTATTAAAAAAGTATTTCAGTGAATATGGATTTTTTCATTTAATTAGGTCTTATTTCGTTTCCTTCAGCAAAATTTGTATACTTGATGAATACTCTTGCATCTCTTTTAGTATGGTTCGTAACTATTGGTAATGGTGTCTTTTTAAATTAAATTATGCTTTTTATTTGTCTGTTGTCAGGATTCGAAATACAGGCCCTTGCTAAATTTTTTTTTTTTTTTGAGACAGGGTCTCACTCTGTTGCCCAGGCTGGAGGGCAGTGGTGTGATCACGGCTCACTGCAGCCTCGACCTCCCAAGGCTCAGGTGATCCTCTCACCTCAGTTTTTGTATTTTTAGTGGAGATAGGGTTTCACCATATTGCCCAGGCTGATCTTGAACTCCTGGGCTCAAGCAATCTCCCCACCTTGGCTTCCCAAAGTGCTGGGATTACAAGCATGAGCCATTGTGCCTGACCCCCTTTTAGTTTTTTATGTAGGCAGTCATATCATCTACAAATAGTAAGAATATTTCTTCCTTTCTAATCCTTATGATTTTGCTTTTCTGGTGTTACTGTGCTGACTTTGACTGATAGAATCTTTGATAGAATGTTACATAGAAAGAATGATGGTGAGCACTATTATTCCTTATTTTATTTTATTTTTATTTTTTGAGACAGAGTTTCACTCTCGTTGCCCAGGCTGGAGTGCAATGGCATGATCTTGGCTCACTGCAACATCTGCCTCCTGGGTTCCAGTGATTCCCCTGCCTCAGCCTCCTGAGCACCAACAGGTCTGTCTAATTTTTTCTATTTTTAGTGAGGAGAGAGGCCATTTCTCCTCCTGTCCCGTCTCCAAAGAAAAGGAGGAAGTAAAAACTGAAAAATAACAGACTGATCGGCGCCACTGGCCAGGCCTGTAGGTTAAAGATTAACCCTCACCCTGGCCAGGCATGGTGGCTCGTGCCTGTAATCCCAGCACTTTGGGAGGCCGAGGAGGGCGGATCACGAGGTCAGGAGATCGAGACCATCCTGGCTAACATGGTGAAACCCTGTCTCTACTAAAAATACAAAAAAAATTAGCTGGGCGTGGTGGCAGGCACCTGTAGTCCCAGCTACTCGGGAGGCTGAGACAGGAGAATGGCGTGAACCCGGGAGGCGGAGCTTGCAGTGAGCCGAGACTGTGCCACTGCACTCCAGCCTGGGCAACAGAGCAAGACTCTGTCTTAAAAAAAAAAAAAAAAAGATTAACACCCACCCTAACTGCTCGTGCTATCTATAGATCACAGACAATGGTATAGAGAAATACTTGCCTTGCTTACCCCTGCCGCTAGTGTTTGTGGACATAGTCACACACCTCTTGCTTGCTCAATCTATCACGACCTTTTCACGTGGACTTCTTAGAGTTGTAAGCCCTTAAAAGGGCCAGGAACTCTTTCTTTGGGGAGCTCGGTTCTTGAGACGCAATTCTGCCGATGCTCCCAGCTGAATAATGCCTCTTCCTTCTTTAACCTGGTGTCTGAGGGGTTTTGTCTGCAGCTCATCCTGCTACGTTAGTAGAGACGGGGTTTCACCACTTTGGTCAGGCTGGTCTCGAACTGCTGTCCTCAGGTGATCCATCCGCCTCGGCCTCCCAGAGCGCTGGGATTACAGGTGTGAGCAACTGCACCTGGCTTATTATTCCTAATTTTAAAAGGAGTACTTCTAACGTTTCTCCATTTAAGATGATGTTTATTACGCATTTTGTTTGTTTTCTTATTATCCTTACCTTAAGAAAATTCGCTTTATTCCAGTTAGCTATCAAGTTTTTAATTATAGAAGTTGAATTTCTTCCAGAGTAGACGAGAGACATGTCAATAAAATCAATGCCTAATGCTACCTTATATCCTAGATGGGAAAAGAAGCTATAAAGCACAAAACAAATGGAGTATCTCTTATCCAAAATGCTTGGGTCCAGAAGTGTTTCAGATTTTTTTTTCTGGATTTTGAAATATTTGCATATACATAATGAGATATCTTGGGGATGGGACCCAAGTCTAAACATGAAATTCATTTATGTTTCATATATATCTTATAACTTTTAAATAATTGTGGCTGGGCGCGGTGGCTCATGACTGTAATCCCAGCACTTTGGGAGGCCAAGGCGGGCGGATCACCTGAGGTCAGGAGTTCGAGACCAGCCTGGCCAACATGGTGAAACCCTGTCTCTACTAAAATACAAAAATTAGCCGGGCATGGTGGCATGCGCCTGTAATCCCAGCTGCTTGGGGGGCTGAGACAGGAGAATCACTTGAACCCGGGAGGTGGAGGTTGCAGTGAGCCAAGATGGTGCCACTGCACTCCAGCCTGGGCAATATGGTAAGACTCCGTCTCAAAAGAAAATAAAGTAATAATAATTTTGTGCATGAAACCAAGTTTGTGTTAACGTTTATGTGTGGAAATTTCCACTTGCGGCTTCATGTCAGTACTCAAAAAGTTTTGGGTTTGGGAGCATTTGAAATTTCATGCTAAGGATGCTCAACCTGTACTGGGACAATTAATACAATTTGAATATGTATTATGAATTAGTTAATAGTAATGTACCAATGTTATAGTTCCTGATTTTGATCAGTGTTCTGGGGTTATTAAGATAATGCCTTTAAGGTCAGAAACACATGCTGAAATACTTAAGGTGTGAAAGGAAAATAAATTGTGGGATCCCCAAATCACTAAGCCAAAGGGAAAAATCAAGCTTGGAACTGCTTAGGGCAAACCTGCTTCCCATTCTATTCCTAAAAAAGATAGCTACTAAGATAAAAAAGCTACATACCTCACTCACAATTTGTCCACAGGGAAATTCCTTGCGGACAAAGGACAGACAGAACTCAAAGTCATCCCTCTGCTCACTAAGATAAATGCATATCTGATTGCTTCCTTTGGAAAGGCTAATGAGAAACTAAAAAGAATGCAACCATCTGTCTCTTATCTACCTATGACCTGGAAGCTGCCTCCCCGCTTCAAGTTGTCTCACTTTTCCCAACCAAACCAATGTACATCTTGCATGTATTGATTGATGTCTCATGTCGCCCTAAAATGTATAAAACCAAACTGTGCCCTGACCACCTTGGGTACATGTTGTCAGGACCTCCTGAGGCTGTGTCACGGGCATGCGTCCTTAACTTTGGCAAAATAGACTTTCTAATTGATTGAGACCTGTCTCAGATACTTCCAGTTCACAAAGGGTAAAGTAAAGGGATATCTCCAACTTCCTCTAAATGACTCAGAAAACTTTCAAGGAACAGATTATTTCCTTCTATTTTGTGGCTCTGCACTTCTACTGAATTATGATCTGACATGGCTTCTCAAGTTGCAGCCATGATAAGCATTCCAGTCAGCCAACAGGAAAGAAGGGAGGAACAGCAGCATGCCAGCTTCCTTTTACAACACTACCTGGAAGTGACACACTAAAATTCCACCTATATCTCATTAGCCAAAACATAGACATCTGGCTACATTTAGCTGCAAGAGAGGCTGGGAAGTGTATTTTTAAATTTATTTTAGCCCAGCTGAAAAGCAGAGGTTTTATATCTAAGGAAAAGGGGAAGAGCAGACACTGGGGCCAACCAGCAGTTTCTTCCACAGCTCCATACTGGGTGAATTATATGACACAATGCATGTAAAGTCCATGGTACTTAGTAGGATTCGATTATAGCATGTCATTTCATGATTTGACTTACATTATCTAATTCGATTCTCACAGTAATCATATGAGTAAAGACAAACATTAATATCTTAATTGCAGATTAGAACACTAAATTGCAGATTTAGAAAACTAAAATTCAGCTAATTATGATTATCGTTGGTAGTATTTGTTTTTTTGTTTTTTTTGAGATGGAGTTTCGCTCTTGTTGCCCAGGCTGGAGTGCAATGGTGCGACCTCTGCTCACTCCAACTTCCGCCCTCGCAAGTTCAAGGGATTCTCCTGCCTCAGCCTCCTGAGTAGCTGGGATTACAGGCACCTGCCACCACGCCTGGCTAATTTTTTGTATTTTTAGTAGAGATGGGGTTTCAGCATTTTGGTCAGGCTGGTCTCAAACTCCTGACCTCAGGTAATCCACCCGCCTCGGCCTACCAAAGTGTTGAGATTACAGGCGTGAGCCACTGCACCCGGCTTTGTTTTTTGTTTTTTGGGTTTTTTTTTTTAGATGGAGTCTCACTCTGTTGCCCAGGCTGGAGTGCAGTGGCATGATCTCGGCTCACTGCAAGCTCCGCCTCCTGGGTTCAAGCGATTCTCCTGCCTCAGCCTCCCCAGTAGCTGGGACTACAGGTGCCGGCCACCACACCCGGCTAATTTTTTGTATTTTTAGTAGAGATGGGGTTTCACTGTGTTAGCCAGGATGGTCTCCATCTCCTGACCTTGTGATCCGCCCGCCTCAGCCTCCCAAAGTGCTGGGATTACAGGCTTGAGCCACCATGCCCAGCCTTCCTTGTTTTGTTTTTAAAGAGGGAGGCAGTAGAGTTGAAGGGAAAGGAGCAGTGGCACCATTCAGGAGCCCCAGATTCTCTAGACAGAATCTCTCCCTGTCAAGTCCTGTAATTCTATGTTTTGTGACTTTCCCAATTTGGCACATAAGTCTGCAAGGGACAGAACTCAAGTCCACTGACTGCCACCACTGGACACTTTCCACTGTATCCCATGTCAAACACGTTGTTGGAAATGACATGGGTCTTGAGAAGCTGCCTCTCCTTCCCAAAGTAGAAATGTGAACAAATAAATCATCACATGATCCATTCACTGACAAATAAAAGCCAGCCTTTATTGAGCACATACTACATGCCAGGCACTCCACTAAAACTTTCCTCACATTAGCTTACTTTACCCTCACAACAACCCCAGGAGACAGGTAGGCTTATAATCCCTTTTTCTTCAGAAAAAGAAACTGAGGCTTAGAGATCTAATATATTTTACAAATATTTAAGAAGAATAATATGTGTACCCTGATTGATCCCCTGGCTGCCACCACAGTCTGTGCAAAGTATTTGATTTTAAGTCATACTTCCATATTGTGGATGACACTGCTTGTTGTGTAACCAATATCCATTCTCCTGTTCTTTGTTGTGAATAGGTGCAATATTTTAACGGGAAAGTTGATAACAAGTGGTGCAGACAATTCTATAGAAATGTAATGTAGAAATATACAATAACTATGTTATTAATTGCCTGCTTCAAGAATGGTACTTTAACCTCAGTAGTTTATAGAAACCACAAGAGAGTATTTCACTTGATTGTGGACAGTTTAGAGGCAAAATTTAGGTGTTTTGCAAAGGAGATGGAGATTCAGGGACTCTCAATTATTGGACAAAGCGTCTACAGTCAGAGACAATAAAAGTTTGATTTTCAGCTGTTTATTGGGTATTAGGCAAAATTCTCTTGCTGTTTCTAGTGTCTGGTGGAGATATCAATTTAAAGAGCTCTTCAGAGTATATTCTATGTAGTCTTCCTATCTCTCACATCTGAAATTCCACCCACCTATAAAAACTGGTATGGTTATAAAGTTGATAGAATATGAGTACATCTGTTACCAACTGTGTTTCTTTTTTCTTTTTCCTCTTCTTTTTTATGGTTTTAAAATTAATTACATAGAAGACTGCCTTGGCCTCCCAAAGTGCTGGGATTATAGGCATGAGCCACTGCTCCCAGCCAACTGTGTTTCAGTTGGACAAAACGTGGTAGATTCAGATATTTTCTGGGGTGTTTTAGCACATCAAGTCTGTCACACAAATGCAATCAACTTCTGAGATCTCACAAGCTATTTCTGTGAGCCCACTATTAGCGAGATGAGACAAAGTTTAGAGAAATCCAGCCTCTTGAAACAGCTGTAAATCATCTAGTAGAAAAAAAGTGGAGTTTTGGCTGGGCACGGTGGCTCACACCTATAATCCCGCATTCTGGGAGGCCAAGGTAGGTGGATTCCTTGAGGTTAAGAGTTCAAGACCATCCTGGCCAACATGGGGAAACCTGTCTCTACTAAAAATACAAAAATTATCCAGGTGTGGTGGTGTGTGCCTGTAATCCCAGCTACTCAGCGGGGTGAGGCAGGAGAATTGCTTCAACCCAGGAGGCAGAGGTTGCAGTGAGCTGAGATCGAGCCACTGCACTCCAGCCTGGGCGACAGATAGAGACTCTGTCTCAAAAAAGAAAAAAGCAAAAAAGTGGATTTCTGCAAATGTTTGTATATATGTAGCATGAGTAAAAGCAGTATTGCCATGAAATTTTTAAATTGTAAGTTCCAGGCAGGGCATGGTGGCTGACACCTCAAATCCCAGCACTTTGGGAGGCTGAGGCGGGTGGATTGCTTGAGGTCAAGAGTTCGAGACCAGCCTGGGCAATATAGCGAAAACCCGTCTCTACAAAAAACACAAAAGTTTGCCACGCATGGTGGTGGGCACCTGTAGTCCCAGCTACTCGGGAAGCTGAGGCAGGAGAATCACTTGAGCTCAGGAGGCAGAGGTTGCAGTGAGCCAAGATCACGTCACTGCATTCCAGCCTGGGTGACAGAGCGAAACTCTGTTTCAAAAAAAAAATAAAATTGTGATTTCCTTTAATAAATCAACTAATTAATCATTATTAATCATGTTTTATGTGCCTAATAGTTAAAATACAGGGAGAAAATCATGATATGATTCCTACCCAGAATTTGCTTATATGGGGACAAAAACCAGGTACACTTAAAAATTAGTCAATGAATAATTAAAATATAAATATTTATAAGTTAAGCCTTCAAAATATCTTGTATGCGATAAATACATAGAATTTTATCTGTCAAAAAAAAAAAAGTTGTCAAGTATAAAAATTTAGTGAAAGTAGACCAGCACAGACTGGGAAAACCAGGCCAGTTATATGTGTTCATTGTAACATTCCAGACAGTACAGAATGCACAGTATAGAATTCTGATTACATTCCAAGCAATGTTTTATGAGGGGTGCTGACTCTAAGTGTCCTTAGTGTGTAACCTTGGGCATGGCACCTAATCCCTCTGTAAACTGGAGTTGTTGTGAGTAAATAAGAGAGTAGGTAACTGTAAGAATGTCAGGAATTGCTATGGGCAGTTGTGAGATGATGCTTAAACTCTAAAGACCCCAGAGGCTTGGGGACAGGATGAAAGACTTGTATTTGTGATGCTAATAATTAGTATAATTGGGTATAGAATGAGTTGACTCTTGTTTGAGATGTTTTTCAGAAATATAGGAATTTTTGCATATGGTTGAGGGTGATGATAACTTCTATAATCCCTCCCAGCTTTGAAATTCCCAGGTACATAAATCAAACTTGCAGTCATGAAGAGTAAATGGTAGGCCCCAAAGTGCATGGTTACAGGTGGGTGTTAGGCTGGAAAGAGAGTCCTGGGGCTCTTTTTAGATCCTAATAATAGATGTTCCAGAGAACATCTCTAATTTTAAGACATGTTTCTGCACAATGCTTTGCTTGAATGAATTGAGGTAACAGCAGACCACTTCTTTCCCCATTCCCAATCCTTTAGGTACAGAGGGGAGATTTCTGGAGAAGTGAATGGTTATCTATGAGTTATTACAAAGCCAGCTCTGTGTGGGTTCAACTGCTTTGTAGAAGAGGGATTGATCTAGACACATGAATTGATTTTTTTCAGCATCTCTTCCACCACCGTCATCTTAGGCTAAGTTACCACCATCCTGAACCACTTCAATAGCTTTTTAAACAGCTCACCTAGATTCACTCTGGCTCACCTCTGATGAGTTCTCCACTCAGCAATTTGAATGGCTTCCATACTCCTTGGATAAAAACAAATTCCCAACATGGCCTATAGCGCCCTATATGGTGTGGCCTTTTCTATCATTCTAGCCTCATCTTGCTCTCCATTCTTTCACTGGCTTTCTTTCTATCCCATCCTGGGGCAAATGCTCTTCTCCACCCTCATCCCCATGTGAACTCCTACTCATACTTTAGATGTCAGCCCCAGGTCACCTCCTCAGAGCAGCCTTCCCTGACCAGACTGAAGCTCCCTATTATAGGCTCTCATTTGGCCATGTAATGTGACTTTTCTTTATTGCACCTGTCAAAATTACAATTTCATATTTCTTATGATTATTTGATTTACAGTTTAGTGCATTTGATTCATGTGTATCTCCCCCCAAGTCTTCATAATGTCAGGACAGTATGTCTGGTTAGTCACCATTTTATCCAGTCTCAGCACACTGCCAGGCACATAATTGGCACACAAAAATTGTTGCTGAGTGAATGAATGAACGTAATCTATGATAATATTTTCAAATATCCTATAAAATGAAGTTGAGTAAAAAGTCAAATGACTTTAGAAAACACTTTATACCATATTATTTAAGCCTCCATCTCTACCCCCCACACACATATTTTCATATAAAAGACTGTCAAATCCTGCAGTAAAGAAGCCCTCAACTTATTTGACCACAGGATATAAACCAGGACCTACTGGGGGCAGCACTTCTACTTAAGAGAGACAACTTGGATGCCAATGCTAGTGCTGTTTCTGGAAGCAGCAAATGGCAGGAAGTGTTCTAAATGTGTACTAAGAGAAATTTCCCAAGAATTGGCCAGGCACGGTGGCTCATGCCTGTAATCCCAGCACTTTGGGAAGCCAAGGCAGACGAATCACTTGAGGTCAGGAGTTTGAGACCAGCCTGGGTAACACTGTGAAATCCCATCTTTACTAAAAATACAAAAATTAGCCAGGTGTGGTGGTGCACACCTGTAGTCCCAGCTACTTGGAAGGCTGAGGCACAAGAATTGCTTGAATCCAGGAGGTGGAGGTGGAGGTGGCAGTGAGCCGAGATCACGCCACTGCACTCCAGCCTGGGTGACAGAGTGAGACTCTGTTTAAAAAAAAAAAAAAGAGAGAGAGAGAGAGAAATTTCCCAAGAGTCAAGCTGCCTTGGGAATCCAGGCAAGTCTAGGATTTAAAATGTTTTAAATGGCGCCACAAGCACAAACAAGTTCTACAAATAGAACCTGCACAGTTAGCTGAAGAATGGACTCTACTCAGCACAGTATGTAGCACAGTAAACATTTGTTTGGTGAATGAATGGAGAGAGAAAGTATCTGGGGTGATCACACCTTAGCTGGTGGTCTCATCTTTTCATAGAAAATACAATTTTATTGTTAAACCTAAAATTCAAGTGTGAGTAGATCTTTATGTGTGAGCATTTTAACTGGCTATGTAGTAAAGAGTGAGGCATAATAAACCTGCACCATTCACAGGAACTTACATACCTAGTAACTGGATTTAAAGAAGTACCATGAACACGCTGAAGACAATTAAATACTGATCTTGTTGGTTTTGTGATAAATGTTTTGTCCATCGCTGCTAATGCTAGGACTTAATATTAAATTCAGTTTCATCAAATCCAATGTTTTCTCTTTCTTTTTCACCCCAGTGCTAACCCTCTTTGATCTTTTGGTATCTTTTTGACAGTGTCACAACTCCTCTTTCTTTAAATTCTTTCTGCCCTTGTTTCTGTGACCTGCACTTTCAATTCAATTTCATTTCAACCAATATTTATTGGTCATCTATGCTGTGCCAGACACTGGACTATCATCATTGGTTTATTAACTCATTCCTCCACATTAATTGAGTTCCTACTGGGTGTTGGGCACTGTGCCAGTGACGGATACAAAGATGAACAAGATGTAGTCCCTGACCTTAGAGGCTGCACAGTGTAGTGAAGGAGTCAGCTAACTATATCATGGAGTGGAGAGGCTGTTATAGAAGTGCACACTCAGGGCCTGTGGCCCTCAGAGAAAGAATCGATTACTTCTCTATGGGGGGAGGGGGTACATCGCATAGCACCATGCCTGGCACGTGCTAAATTTTCAACAAATATTTGTCAAAGAAACAAATAGTCTTCCAGGTGGAGATAACAGCACAAACAGGGATCTCTAGGGAGCCCTCACTAGCTAAAGTAGTGGTTTTCAACACAGTGAGGCAGAGTATTACGTTCTCTGGAGGCATGGAAGGGGATGGTGAAGGGAACAATGTGTATCTGAAGGGGGATTGCATATGAAAAATGTATTCCTACTGTTGCAATTTAACTTATAAATTTTACAAACATGCATATTTAAAACCACATTACATAAAATATTAATTTATAGATTCAATTTTATACATTTATATAACAAGAATGAGAATAAAATTATTGTTTTCATAATATGAATTACAGAAATTAAAGCTCAAACTAGGAAAACTGGATAAATATAGGTAAATATAGAAGTTCCAGAGGTTCTGCAGCAAAACCATTGTCTTCTTGAGGATGGTGGTGAGATTTTTATGTTTAACAAAAGGGGGTGTAGAATAATGGGCTCTGAAGGACTGTATTTTGTAGGTTAAGGTTTGTCAACTGGTGTCAGAATCAAAATCAAAATCACCTGGGGATCTTGTTTTTTTTTTTCCATTTTATTTTATTTTTATTTATTTATTGTTTTTGTTTTGGGGATGTTGTTTTAAAAAGCAAATTCCTGGATCCTATGTGTTACATAACAATAGGGATACATTCTGAGAAAAGCATCATTAGGTGATTTCATCGTTCTGCAAACATCATAGAGTGTATTTAAAGAAACCCAGAGAGCATAGTCCACTATACACTTGGGCTATATGGATAGCCTATTGCTCCTGGGCTACACACCTGTACAGCATGTTAACGTACTAAATACTGTAGGCAATTGTAACACAGGAGTATTTGTGTATCTAACATATTTAAACCTAGAAAAAGTATAGCAAAAATACAGTATTATGATCTTATAGGACCATTGTCCTGTAAGACAGTGTTCGTCATTGACCAAAATTTCATTATGTGGCTCATGACTCTGTGTGTGTATACATATATATATAATTTATTATAAGGAATTGGCTTATGCAATTATAGAGGCTCAGAGGTCCCGAGATCTGCAATCAGCTAGCTTGAGACTCAGGAGAGCTGATGATGTTAATTTCTTTTATTTATTTTTGAGATGGAGTTTCACTCTTGCTGCCCAGGCTGGAGTGCAATGGCGTAATCACAGCTCACCACATCCTCCGCCTCCTGGGTTCAAGTGATTCTCCTGCCTCAGCCTCCCAAGTAGCTGGGATTACAGGCATGTGCCACCACACCCAGCTAATTTTTTGTATTTTTAGTAGAGACGGGGTTTCTCCATGTTGGTCAGTCTGGTCTAGAACTCCTGACCTCAGGTGATCCGCCCGCCTCAGCCTCCCAAAGTGCTGGGATTACAGGTGTGAGCCACCGCACCTGGCCTCAATGTTAGTTTCATTCTGAAAGTTGGCAGGCTTGAGACCCAAGAACAACCAATTTTTTAGTGGGAATCTGAAGGCAGGAAAAGACCCATGTGCAGTTCAAGTGGTCAGGCAGAAGGAGTTTCCTTTTACTCCTTTTGTTCTATTTGGGTCTTCAATTGATTAGATGAGGTTTACCCACATTAGGGAGGGCAGTCTGCTTTACTCAGTCTACTAGGTCAAATGTTAGGTGTATTTTTGTTTGTTTTGTGACAGAGCCTCACTCTGTCACCCAGGCTGGAGTGCAGTGGTGTGATCTCAGCTCACTGCAACCTCCACCTCCCAGGTCCAAGCGATTCTTGTGCCTCAGCCTCTTGAGTATCTGGGATTACAGGTGCCTGCCAGCATGCCCACCCGGCTAATTTTTGTATTTTTTGTAGTGATAGGGTTTCCCCATGTTGGCCAGGCTGGTTTCAAATGCTTGGGCTCAAGTGATCTGCCTGCCTCAGCCTCCCAAAGTGCTGAGATTACCGGTGTGAGTCACTGTGCCCGGCAAATGTTAGTCTTACCCAGAAACACCCTCACAGACATACTCAGAATAATGTTTGACCAAATGTCTGGACGCCCTGTGGCTCAATCAAGTTGACACAAAAATTAACCATCACACAGATGATTACTGATACATACTGTGTATCATATAGATGCTTTTGAATGCACACTGTAATCTGAGGACCTTTACAAGCCATTAGGGACCATGGAAGGTTTTCAAGAAAAGTGATTTGATCAGATTAGCTGGGAACTGCTTAAGAAGGATCCCTGGTGGCTATGTGGAAGGTAGATAGTGATAGGGTAGGGTAGGTGAAGCAGGGCAGAGTGGGGTGGAGCAAGACTGGAAGACAGGAAGGTATTGTGCAAGACAGAATGATGAGGTTCTATTCTTTTCTCTGCTAATGACCCTTTCCCCCTTACTATTGCTACATAACAAGTTACTCCAGTGCTTAGCAGCTTAAAACAATTGTGGGTCAGAAATCTGGGAAGGGCTCTGCTGGGTGGTTCACACTTGAGGTCTCCCTCATAGTTGTAGTTGGATGTTGGTTGGGGCTTTATTTATCTTGTCTGTGCTAAGGTAAATAAAGATGCATGGTTGGCAGTTGATGCCAGCTGTCATCTGCTGTACACAGCCTCTCCAGCAGGGTAGTCTGGGGGTAGTCAGACTTCTTACATGACATATGGCTTCATTTCAAGAGAACCAGGCAGAAGTCTCATGGCCTTTTCTGATCTAGCTTCAGAAGTCATACAACATCTCCTCTACTGTACTCAATTAGTTGAAGCAGTCTCAAGTGGTCCAGATTCAAGGTGGGGTGGGAGGAATTAGACTCCACTTCTTGATGAGGGCAATGGCCAGTTGACAGTATAGAAGAACATGTGGGATGGGAACACGTGTTGTGGCCATCTTTGGAAAAAACAATCAACATAGCTCCCAAATTGACTTATTTTATATACACAATTACCCCCAAGATATCTCCACTTGGAAGTTTTGTTGTCAACTCAAGTCTAAAAGAGAATTTATCACAACAAACCTCCATCCCATTATTATTATTATTATTATTATTATTATTATTATTGTAATATGATAACTTTTTAAAAAAACAGACTAAAACATTTTTCTTTTCTTTTTTCTTTGAGACAGGGAATTGCTCTGTCACGCAAGCTGGAGTGCAGTGGTGCCATCTCGGCTCACTGTGACCTCTGCCTCCTGGGCTCAAGCCATCCTCCCACCTCAGCCCTTCAAGTAGCTGGGATTACAGGTACACGCCACCATGCCCATCTAATTTTTGTATATTTTGTAGAGACAGGGTTTCTCCATGTTGCACAGGCTGACTAAAACCTTTTATCTTTGACTTTTCTCTCTCTGAAAATAATCTGCTACAAAGTCCTATTTTTCCTTCTTCCTTTATGTTGGTTCCACATCCCACTTTCCTAATTCTGGAGTGGGCCCCTAACTGAAGTCCATTTATCTAAATTTCTAATATTGGGTTCCCTGGGAAGTGAACTCTGAGGCAGAGCTTAGCATGCAGGGTTTTTCTTAAGGGGTTACTTTGAGATGGACACCTGTGGCAGGGAAGAGAAGGAACTAGAATTGGGAAGGATAAAAAATGGAGCTGCAATACAGGCCCAACACAGCCTCAGCTGACTCAGTGAGGAGCTCTGGAGTTAGAATGTTCCTTCAGAGTTGTCCCACAATGGGCTAAGACGGATGAGCTTTTATGTTTCTGCATTGTCCAGTCATTGGATGGGCCACCATGGAAAGGAGCATGAGCTTGGGCAAGGCAGCTCTCTGCAGTTGAGGAAATCCCCGAGTGGCTGACAGCTGCTGGTTGTGCACTTACAGCACTCCCAGGAGCTGGAGCAACAAGTCCTTCCTTCATTCAGTCTTCAGTAAACTTCGTTCCACATCATTCTCTCCTGTTGACTTACCCTCTGATTATTTCATGGCCGCTATTTTGCCCCACTCCAGTGCAGCTAGGTTATGAGCTCCTTGAGGGAAGGAATGGAGGCCTGCCTTTTCCCCACGATATTCAGCACAGATGAAGTACAGATATATGTATAGTCAGAGCTCAAAAGGTGCTTGGTAGTCAGTTAACCAGGGCTTCGGACTGATGCAGAGATTGCTGACCGTACTGTTTGTATTACCATTACCATAGCAGAAGAAATACTTTAGGGGACCTTCACCTCATTGTCTTTCTGAGGGAGAAGAAAACTAACATCCTTGTTATTAATAGCTGCCCAGAGCTTGTGGTGCTGGGCAGGGAGTGGCAGCAGGTCCCGGAAACATTGCCTCTCTGATTCAAGCTGCATCTGAGGTCCTACTCCCCACCCGGCCTTTCCCCTCCACGAAGTAGAGCTGGGATCCTTCTGGTTCTCACAGGGTGCTGTGTGCATTTAACTAATTAGTGGCTATAAAGTGTTGTCCAAATGTCAAGTATAGTTATGGTTAGCAATTACTTTTGCCTGGAGAGGCAGCATTCCAGCCATTGTCGAGGGAGGGAGATAAGTGATAGAGTGTTCTATTAGAGACTGGGGGAGCAGGAGCTGCTTTCCTGCCCTCAGAGGGTCAGGAATCTGGATGCAGCTTTCACACACACACAGGACACACCTAAGCAGGAATCCCCTGTGGAGTCATATTTTTCTTTATCGATTCATTTCCAATGTGGAAAGAGAGAAAAACATTTCTGAAGTGCACTGCCCGGAGCCACCATCAAGGTAGCTTCTTAGAGTGTGGTTGAGCTCTGAAAGCCACTCATGAAGACCCCCTTCCCCGGGCCCCTTCCCCGGGCCCCAGAGATGTTGTGGGTGAAATCCACCTGCAGGTTTTCTTGCCACCCCCACAGCGTTACCTCAGCATCTGAAATTTAACAATAGCCTCTGCAATCATAATAATACATTAAAAATAAAGTACTTTGGGGCTCCCTAAATGGAAATTTCTATGTGATTTTTATATTTAGAATTCTTTCTCTCCCTCTGGGTAAATTTTATAAATAACCATTGGGAATGTTGAACAGAATTCAATTTCCATATTGATTCTCTTTTGTCTTTTCACATAGGAAATACCAAGCAATTTTTTGTCACGTGACCTTTTCCCATGAAGGTTTATAAAATTAGATAATGTAAATTGGCAGGTAAATAGGAAAGGAAGGAAGAAAAGAAGGAAACAATGATGTGGAAATAAGCAATGGTTTGCTTAGAAAGAAATGAAATTCCATGTTCTATCTTGAGATAAATACAGGTTCATCTCACTATCCTGCCCGTTTGTAGTTAGAGTTGGAGGCTATACTAGCTAACATTGATTGAACACTTGCTGCGATCCACATAATTCTCAGGTACCTCCTATGTCTTATCTCATTTATGTCTCACATTAACCCTGCAAGTAGATATTATTATCAACCCATTTTATAGAGTAGAAACTGAAGACTCTAGAAATTAAGGAATTTACCACATGTCCATCTGGCTCCAGAGCCAGCCAGGGCTCCTAACATCACTCTGCTACTAAAGGCTGGGTGGGGCATGCCGTGAATGTGTAGGGATTGTCATTTCTAGAAACAAAAGCCAGAGCACTGTAAGTTCCTGGGATCAATGAAGATTCCTTCATGCCAGCTCACTATGGACACCCCAGAAGCATTTTTGACCCTCTTTACCCCAGGACTATGCAGTCTCAGAAGTTTCTTGGTGAAGCTTTCCTGTGTCTAAGTATTGAAACTCTAATTGAAACTTGAGTCCATGTCCATTATTTACACTAACTCAGAAATAACCTTAGAAAAATATATATATTTTTAAGGGATAGGGTCTCACTCTGTCACCTAGGCTGGAGTGCAGTGGCTGATCATAGCTCACTGCAGCCTCAACCTCCTGGGCTCAAGTGATCCTCCCACCTCAGCCTCCCAAGTAGCTGGGACTATAGGCATGTGCCACCATATCTGGCTAATTAATTTTTTGTTTTCGTAGAGACAAGGTCTCACTATGTTGCCCAGGCTGGTCTTAATCTCCTGGGCTCAAGCAATTCTCCCTCCTCAGCCTCCCAAAGTGCTGGGATTATAGGCGTGAGCCACTGCACCCAGCCCAAAGACATTCTTTTATATAAAAACCTACAGGCAAAGTTTTTCCTGACACATCCCTCCCCCACCCCACACCCCAGTCTAGGGCAGTTCTTGCTACCCATAATGCACTCTTAGAGCATTCTAGTCTTTTCCTTCATAGCATTTATTGTAGTTGTGGATTATATGTTGGTGTGACTATTTGACCAGTATCTCTCTGCCTCACCAGGTTGTAAAAACCCCATCAGGGCAGTGACTGAGTGTGTGTCACTGTGTGCAGCATCCCCAGAACCTAATACCATGACTGCATGGAACAAGCACCCGGATATAGGAATGAAGGACGCTACTGGTGGCCCCGTCCAGTTCTGAGAAAATGCTGCCACAAGCTACAAGAGAAATCTGCTTCTCTGAAGCCTTTAAAGATTTGGTTACTTTTTCAAAATGAATATTCTTTAATACACAATTTCAATAATTTCTGAAATGAGGATAATGGCTGGGTTTTTTTTTTTTTTTTTTTTTTTGAGATGGAGTCTCGCTGTCACCCAGGCTGGAGTGCAGTGGTGCAATCTCAGCTCACTGCAACCTCTGCCCCCCGGGTTCAAGCAATTCTCGTGCCTCAGCCTCCTGAGTAGCTGGGATTACAGGTGCCCGCCACCACGACTGGCTAATTTTTTTATTTTTAGTAGAGACGGAGTTTCACCATCCATGTTGGCCAGGGAGGTCTTGAACTCCTGACCTCAAGTGATCCGCCTATGGCTGGCTTTTTATAATAGTTAAGAATACTGCTCCTGGAGTCAGAGGGTCTGGTTCTCATCCTCTGATTTTGATCACAACTTGCTGCATGATGATGATCAAGTGTTTGAACTTCCCAGTGCATCCATTTCCTCCTGGGTAAAGTGGGGCTAATACCGTTAAAGCAATGATGTAAAAATTAAATGAGCTAACACAAGTGAGCGTTCAGAATTGCATCTAGTGCATGGGAATCCCTCATAAGTATTAGCTATTATTATCAGTGTGCTATCAGCTTGGAACTCATGTAGTTCTGCTACAGATTTGTATTGTTCCTGAAAACAGAATATGAGACCAAATTGAGGCCAGGTGTAAAGGCATCTGGACCTTATATCCCTGCTGTCTAGTTTCTTCAAGAGGCCAGAGAGAACCTCCCTCAACTCCAGCCTACCAAGTGTCATTTATTTTAATGCAGTGTGCCCCCAGTCTTAGGAAATGGAATTCTTCATCTTCCAAGGCCTCTGGCTGAGACTGGAGACTTGTGCCTGCTCCACTGCTTGGCTGGATTAGATGCCCTAGAAAGATACTTTTAACTCAGAGAAACTGTGACTCCATGAAAGGGTCAGATCCCACCAAAAGTCATCCCAGTTCTCCATCAGTTTCTCTCTCCACTCCACCTCCCCCAGCCCATCCTCCGTCTGGGCTCCAGGGCTCTTTCCTTCTGTGTTCCCACAGGATGGTGCCTGCTTTTACCCACCCTCTAGACTTTGCCCCAGTCACCTCAAACAGCCGAGGGTCCAAATTTAGTAATAGAAATTCACTTCTCTAACCACTTTACAAAAACATTAACTCATAACTCACGGAAACCCAATGAAGTCGGTGCTGGTGGCACCTCCATTTTACAGATGATGAAACCGAGGAGAGGAGGGAGGTTGAATAACTTGGCCCAAGGTCACTTGCTGAAAAGTGGCAGAGCTAGGATTCACTGCCTCTGGTTCACTGCCTTGAAAGGAAGGAAAGTCTCCCCACTCCCACCACTGGGGAACTCTTCTTTAACTTTCTCCACAGTATCATTGGTCCGATAAATGAGAGGCAAGGAGAGAAACAAAGATGGATGTATGTATAAACTTAGGCAAGCATGGAGAGCCATGGTGATGTGGTTAAGTGTTAGTTCTTGAGCTGAATTGCACTGGTTAGTGTCCTGGATTTTGAATGTACTAACCCTGGAAAATAAAATTAGAATAATAATAAGTGTACATACATACCTTACAAAGTCATTTTGGACATGAAGTTAATAAATATTAAGCCCCTTAGAACAATGTCTGGCATATAGTAAGTGCTCAATACTTGTTATCTGCCTTTTTTTTTTCTTTTTACGTTCTCAAAAGGCAGAAGCAGCAATGCCTTTGTATAAAGAATGGTAGACTTGGAATCAGAAGATTGAGTCTGAGTACCACTTAGCTTTTGCTTCCTGTATGATCACCAGTGAAGCATTTTTCCTCTGTGAGGCCTTGCTGTTTTCATCCCTAAAATTGGGATGATGATACTTTTACACACTGAGATGGTGGCCTATGAAAGAGCTTTGTAAATTTGCAAGCTGTGGCCAAATAATTATCCCATTTTGTGATTTAGGACTTCTCCTAGAGTAGACAGAAAGTTGCCTTTCAGAAGGTCTTCAGACTCGCTTCTTGGCCTTTTGGCTAAGTTCAAGTGCAGAAAGTCTTCAGACTGAAAATACCTTCATCTTTTAGAATTCCACCACTGGAGAGTCATTGTCCGAGTCTTCCAGACTTACTAAGATAAATGGCAGGAAGTAGAGAGCCCAGTGTGTTTGCGGGGAGAGAAGAGAAGTCTCAGGAATATGACTGCCGTCTTCAAGGAGTTGAAAGGCTGTCACAGGGTGGCCTGGTCAGACTTCTGAGTGACCAACAGGTAAGAACTGGGTCTCTAAGTGGAAGTGTCAGGGCTGATTTAGTGTGAAAAAAGAAGAGCATTCTTTTGATTATAGCTCTCGGAAAGTGGAAAGGGCTACCTGATAGTGAGTGCCTGCCATTGGAGGCATTCAAACAGAGATTTGAGACCACTCCATGGGAATGTGGTAGAGGAAATGTAACGAGTCAGGTGGTGATGAAACTAGTTGACCTGGGCCTGGGAAGATCTAATTCATCCTAGAATGGCAGCACGCTGTGAGGGAGGGGAGCGCCTCTGAGGGAGCGGAGAGCTGGTTATGCAGGGACGCAGGAGGAAAGTATAGGGGGAGGCCTGCTGGGAACACAGGCCCAGCTCAGCAGAATTCACTCTTTTCCCAGAGTAGCTCCTGTCTCTTCGGCCACTTTAGGCCCTAAAGCCTAGAACTGTACATGATACACTCATTCATTCAGTTAATTCAGCAAATATTTACAGGCCTGAGAGTCAATTCCCACAGCGGACACAGTGTGGGATTGCCTGCCCTGGCAAGCCTCCTGCCTGGTGACCAGCAGAGGGCAGGAGAGACGTGCAGATGCCAAACCCTGCACAGCCCACTAGCCAAGTGAGCTTCCCTGCCGGGGAAACTGGGTCACTCAGTCCTGCCAAGCTGCAAACATTCCGAGGGTTGTGAGCATGTTGGGCCTCTCCGGCAAGGGCCTCTCCAGCAAGGACCTCTCCAGCAAGGGCTATGAGGCCCTAGATGTCACCTGGCAAGGCTGAGACCTCAGACCTCTGGACTGGCAAAGTCGCTCCCTCCTGCATGGGGAAGGAAGGAAGGATGAGGCTGATAACATGCGATGGCTCAGGGAGAAGGCTGAAGGGATCTCTTCCCAGCAAAGTGTTTCAAGTAACAGGGACAGCCCAGTCTACATGTCACAGAGGAGCCATGGGAGGCCAGGCCTGCCACGGTGGATGGGTGGGGCCGTTTGCTTCAGAGAATGCCTGGACTTCACTAAAGGAGTTTGAGGCTCTCCTTAGGCTGGGCTGAAACCCCCATTTGGAAGTGCATAAAAGGCTAACTCTCTGGATATGAATGGGTGAATGCCAAATCTGATACCTGAGTGGTTAGGAGGCAGGTTTGGAGTCAGATTTGCCTTTGTGTCCTGGTTTTCCATCTATATGTCATGGGACCTTGGGTAAGTCATTTTCAGACTTGATTTCCTTTTCTATAAACTGGTGGTGCTACTGTGAGTATTAAGTGGAATAATGAAGCAAGTGTGCAGATTGCGATTCTTTCTCCTTCCCAGCTCTCTCTCATCCTGGTCGGGGGACTGTGTGCTTGGGATAACAGTTGAAGCAGATGTTTTTTTGAGAATGGAAGCGAAGAGTGGATGCCCACCATGCTGTCAGTCTGGGCAGGGTGAACTCAACCTGAAGGAATGCTGTTCTGGGTAAAGCACGTGGAGCCACCTCTCCCCAGGCTTCTCTGGCCCCCATAGAGTCCTGCTGCAGAAAGATGCGCAGTGTATGAAGGCTCGCGTGGCCTCTTGAAGTCTGAGGGTTAAGAAATCAGGGAGGTGAAATAGGCCTGGAATGGGAGGAAACTGGAGGATGGAATGGGAAGGAGCCATTCCCCAAATTCCCATTCCATTTATGGACTCTGACGGTTAGAAGGGCCACTTGAACCTGCAAGCAAGGACCAGTTTATGCACTCTTCAAAATGTGTTTTCTCAACTAATCTAAGACATTGAAGCAAGGACTTTGTTGCCCATTCCTCTCCAGGAGGGATGGTGGGTGCTGATGCTGCTATGTAAAGGCTCTCAGCACCGTGCTCAATACTTGTTTGCTATTGATGAGGAAGGAATCTTGGACAAGTAATTTGAGTTCCCAGTTTTACTGATTAAAAAATAAATAGAACTGAGGCTCAGAGAACTGTGGAACCAGGAGAGGTAAAGTTCCTCTCATTTGCAATTGCTGCTAGAATCCTCATCTGTGACCATCTGGAGAAAGTGGCTCGATCCCTATGGTGAGCTGCTCAAATCTTGGAGTCTCTCTGCCTCCTTGGGGATTTCTCTTTGGATACATCCTCTCTACTAAACTCTAGCCACTGCTTGTGTTACCCAACCCCAGATGGGAGACAGACTGAGTTTTCCTCATTCCAGCCTATCCTTTAGGGCTCCAAGGAGCAGCAAGTGCTTCTCAGGTTGAGGGGTAATTCACCAGGTGTGTAGTGCTGGCAGCACAATGTGATAGAGCCAGTCACCTGCATTGCAATTCCAGCACCACCATGTACTGGCTGTGGGACCTTAGGCAAGATACTTGATATCTACAAGTCTCAGTGTCCCCATCTATAAAATAGGGACACTAATAGTATTTACCTTATAGCTCCTGTTCTTTCCAGTCCCTCTTAATCTGAAATTGGAAGGATGAATAAATTAAACAGCCATCTTCTTCCCTGGGAAAGCCAAAGAGCAACTCAAAAGGAAAGAATCGGAAGCTGGGCTTTGGAGTCTTCTTGTCCAGGCACTAGGAGCTGTTGGGTGGTGTAAATAGCCCTGGGCTGGGAGAGAGGACCATGGCCTAGCACATCTCTGCTATCAGATTGCTACCTTATCCACATTGCCAAGCCTCTTTGGGCCTTAGTATCCTCCTCTGGACAATGACAAGGTTGAGCTTGCTGACCATGGAGGTCCCTGTAGCCCTGCCCCTACTGAGATTCTCAGCCGCAGAGCTGGGCCCTCGTTCTTTGGGATTCAGCCCAGGCGTCACACAGTCACAGTGGCTGAAGAGGCAGCACTTTGCTGAGCTCTGGCCTACTTCCCAGAGAAGGTCACTCGGCCCCAGGGAAGCCCCTGGTTTGCTGGTTTGGATGCTGTGGAGGGCCAGGCAACAGGGACCTTAGCCTATTGGCATCTGGTTCCAGCCAAAGCTTTTCAGGGACGTGTGAGGGTAAGCAGCAGGGCTGGCAGAAGCAGTGAAAACCAGCCCGGAGCTTACGTTCTGTGGCCTTGCTTTGAAATCTACAACCTCAGCCACCTGGGAAATGATGAAGCTCTGAAAAGAAACACTGGTCAGGGGCCCAGGGGAAGTTTCCTCCTGAAAGGCCTGTGTGAGGATGGATTCCATGTGAGGGGGAAAGTATTGATAGAAGGAGGCTCTGCAAAGGAAAGCAAGCAGGGAAGGAGCAGGTCATTAAAGGATTCAGATGGGCTGGCTTGGAGGACTTTCTGAACTGTGAGAACTAGATGTGGTGTGGACTATAAACATGTGGGGGTAGGAAGTTGGAGAAGAAAGAACTCAGTGCCAGAGGGCTGCAAGATCTTCCAGGAGGTGCCTTAGAGCTGGCTGCTCTCGGCTCTCAGGCAGGGGATTGGTTGGATTTCCTTCCTCAGGCAGTGAACTCTCCTAGATACCGGACTCATTCATTTGACAGCTAATGCCTGGTTATAACTGACTCTGTAAAGTGTACTCCCATGTGTTGACTCATTGGATCTAATGACCACTGTCTGGAGTCAGTGGAGACTGGTATGATTATGATCATCCGTGTTTAGAGACAGAAAAGCAAGGGCCACTCAGAAGTGCCTCATGCAGGGTCACCCAGCTTCCAAGGCTTGGGGTTGAGATTTGAACCCATGTCTATCTATCTTCGAATCCTGTGTTTATTACATCAAGATGCCAACTCCCAGTGTCCTCCTATTACCTTGTAGCAAGGGTAGACAACATCCTCCTACCTTTATCACATGCAGACTGGCCAGATTTTGGTGGAAATGTAGACATTTTCAGGGAAAACCAGATGCTCTGGTTGCCTATCCCCACTGTGAGCAGGAAAATAGCTCAGTATTCACAGGGTCACCAGGAGAATGCCTAGCATTAACTTAAAGTAGTCCTCTAGGCTCTCTCCTTCCACAGGCCCACATCTTGGGGCCTGATGTACTCTGAGGTCCACCTGGATCTTGATGCCTCCACTTCCGCTTGGTGACTCCACTCCAGGACTTTTTGGTGACTCATGCAGAGGGAAAATACATGGCCTTACAGAGCCAGGCAGAGCCACTGGAGTCCTGATGAAGGCTCTCTTAACCAGATGACCTTGAGCAAATTGCTGAGCCCTCCAGGCCTGGGTTCCCTCATTTGTTAAAATGATGACAACCAACTACACCAAACAAAACTTACAGCTTTGTTATGAGAATTGAATGAATTAACCCATGTGAAGCCACCTCATTCTAAGGAGATATTCAATAAATGCCCTTTTTCACCGCATAGGAGTGGGAAACTTTGTGGCAAGAAGAAAGGTTATGGGAATGATAATCACTGAGCACTTAAAACATACCCATTATTATGCTCAATTCTTTACTCAAAATGTGCTATCTCAATTAATCCTCCCAGCACTCCTATGACGCAGGTAGTATGCATCCTCCAATTTGCAGATTAAAAAACTGATACCTCAAGATGTTAGATTCCTTGTCCAAGGCCAACGTGATCAGGAATCTGATGCGGAGCTCAAGTACTGAACATCTAAGATGCCCTGCAACAAATCCTGCTCTCCTGTCGTGATTGGAGCATCCCTGCCTGAAATGCACTCTCATTCCATGTTTAGATTTTTGATTCAAAGAAGCAAGAGCCTCCTGTAGGGAGATTCCCATCTCTCATGCTAGGCCACTCCCTCTCCTAAGCGCTCAGAAACTGTGCTTATGTTTAACCCTTAGGCTTTCCATGTAGTGTTATACATACGTATGCATGTCTCCTACCCTAGGCGATGCTCTTTGAGGGCATAGACAGAATCTTATTTTCTTTCTGTTTCCTCCCCACATAACTATTACCCACAGCACTTTGTATGCAGTAGACTTTTCATAAATATCTGCTGACTTGGAGTGTGTGTGAGGCAGGGTGAACAGGGAGCATGAGAGAGCTGGATTGGAATTCCTCCTCCCACGGACTGTGGCTCTGGGCAAATTACTCAACCTCTGTGGTTCTCCCTCAGTTTCCTCACTCTAAAAGGGGGTGATAGCATTTGCTGTCAAGGGGTTATTATGAGGAAATGAAGTGAAAAAATGCAGGCAAAGCATTTACATAGTGCCTGGCACATATTCCACACTCCATCAGTGATATGTATTCTAGTAGCTGCAGGGTGGTGCCTGGACAAGGTGGATGGTCATAATGAGGAAGGAAAGAGCCCCAGGAGGCATGAGAAACAAGGGCCTACTAAAGACCACACTTCCAAGGGGATGGAACAGAGATAGATAAAAAGGAAGGAGATATTTTAAGGAAAGCTCAGTAAAATGGAGAGGAGCCAACAAAATGAATGTGAGGCTGCTGGGATAAGGGGGAAAGGAACTGATTAGAAGCAAGAGAAGCCTGGAGCCATGCCCCAGAGACTCTATCCAGGATGAAAGGAGGGGCCTGGAGAAGAGGTAGATGTGCCCAGCCAAAAAGAGAAAAGGGCCAGGAGTGGGGAGGGGGTGACTGGGAAGATGACATTACAAACTAAGGTGGCTGTGGAAGGAGCAGTATCTGCCTGGATCCAAAAAGAGGATCTGAAAGCCAAAAAGGATGAATAATCCAGGCATCGGGCTCAAGGCAGGAGGCAGCTGTTCATTTGTGGCTTGATGAGCACTTGACTAAGGTAGTTTAAGAAACTACTTCTAACGCAGTTTAGACTCGCTGGAGCATGTGCCTCACCGAAGACCCCACCCAGCAGGCATCACAGAGTAGTGGAAGCGGAAGGACCCCCAGACCCATGGACACAGTCTGAGGAGACTACCGCCCCTTTCATCCCTAGGGTGGGACAGCGGGAAATTGCCAGAGACAGTCCGAGGAAGGCCTTCTGTCCTGTGCCTCTTTGGTAAATCAAGCAGCGTCTTTCTGTGCATCAAATCTAGTCTCTGAAACTTGAATCCAAATTTGCTGACACAGGGGCTTCTATCTGCAAGAGGTATGCAGGGATGGCCAAGGTCAGGGGCTCCTTTGACCACTTAGAATCAGATCTGGTCTCAGCTGGAGTCCTTGGTCCCTCCTCTGACCATCACTTGGCCCCATTCTCCACAGCGAGAGGAAGAAGCTTGCCAAGTGGCAAGAGTCAAGTCATCGGCCTGCAGGGAAAGAAATGTTCTTTCTGGCCTCAGGATCTGAGCAAGATTGTCCAAAGCAATTTGCAGACTAACTTGAAAGGCGACATGGACAGGAAGGTGTCTGGGGAAGCAGAAGGCCCCTCATCCACAGATCCTTGAGGCAGACATGCCCTGCCTGTTAACTAGAAATAGTACCAGGCCAGGAGCCCAGAGGAGCACCCCCAACCAGATGTGATGACAGCCTGTGCACATATATGTATACATGTGAGTGCGCCTTGTCTCCTGGCTCCTTTCACTCCAGGGCAGGTACGGGTTGGTAGCATGGGCTTGTGCTCTACTCAGTTATTCAGGGACCTGGGTGGCCATGGTTTTGCCGTCTCCAACCAAGGCTGCCCTGGGATTTGGTGTCCAGTGGATGCAGAAAGAAAGAACATTGAGACCACACTGGGATGTTTTTACAGTCAGGTCTGAAAGTGGCACACATCACCTCACACTCCACTGACCAAAACTCATTCCCAAGAACACAGCTAACCTGCAAGGCAGCCTGGGAAATGAAGCCTAGCCATATGCCAGAGAAGGTGAGATGGATTTGGTGATCAATCAGCAATCTCTGTCACATGCCTAAAAGCACAGAGGACATTTTGCGATAGAGGATTGGGAAGAAGCACCTGAGAACGGAACAGATGGAAAAGACACGGGGAGCTTGGACAACATCCCAATGCTACCATGGGGTAGCATTAGTAGGCACCCATCTCCTCACCTTAGGAGCATGGTGTCCTGCAGGGAAGACATGCTAGGAGTATTTGACTTGGAGGCTCAAAGAACTGGGAAGCTCTTGGCCAAGGGGAAGGGTGTTCTCAAGGTCTAGAGGACCCTCTGAAGAGAGGCCTGGTAACCTAGGGCCAGCTCTGGGCTCAGATGAGGCAGGTTCAGGCAACCTTAGGTCCAGCCCAAGTCACCAGGGGAGAAAAAAGGCAGAGGCCCAGAACTTACACTCCACACTGCAATGCTCCCTGTGCAATTCTCCTGTGCTCCACTTTTGTGGAAGGGGGCCAGGAAGCCAAGGTCTAGGAGGAGGAGCTAACCGAGAGGTCAGCAGGCAAGGAATATCACTGCCTGCAAAGGTCTGGCCACAATGGAGCAGGGAACCCCAGGCATGTGAGGAGGAGGAGCGCAGAGAAAGAAAGGAGGAAGGGCTATACATGAGAAAAGGGAAATGGAGACAGAAAAGCCTATTTTGTACATGGTGTAAGAGGTGAGTCTTGATTTTAGTGTTGATCTTACTTTGGAGTGCCACAGACCTATCCAGCAGAACCTTCTGCAGTGATGGAAATGTTCTCCACCTGTGCTATCCAATAAGGTAACCACTAGCCACATGTGGCGACTGAGCACTTGAAGTGTGGCTAGTGTGACTTAGGAACTGAATTTGTAATTGCATTCAATTTTAACTAACTTAAATCCAATCAGACACATGTGGCTAGTGGCTACTGTACTAGACAGCACAGGCATAGTTTCAGACCAGGAGAAGTAAAGTAGCTGATAGTCATTTCAGCCGAATGTCCTCATTCTCTCTGCCTGTTACCACTCCTGGGCCCTCAGCTTCATCCCAGCTTTGCCCTGTGGATGAACCCTGGTGGATGGCAATGTAGTTCTACCCTTGGGCTTGGGCAGATTTTGGACTCTGATATTCTCATTTATTCCTGTGGGTCTCTGAGACTGAGCAGCACAGTGTAGGGAAGAGAGATTGGGCAGAGTGCTAGGCAGCCAGGAAGCATTACTGAATCTTCATGGTCCTAGTTCTGCAGCTTCAAAAGGGGCTTGAGCCTTGTGTTCTCTGCCCTTGGTTTCCAGTCATAGGGCTTTGGTCACCACCCCATTATCAGTAGGAGGACCTGAGGCACTGAGGCCTGATGTGGTAGCATTCTGCAAGATGCTTGGGGAAAAGTGTCATAACACAAGGATGAGAAATGTAATTTCATCTGCCACTCACCTACTACATGCCCAGACTGTCTAATGCCACTCACTTGCTCCGTACCCAGACTACCTACACTATAAATGCTTTAATATCCAGTGTCCTGGAGACCCTGCTTCATTTTGAATCTAACATGTCGTCTCTGACATGTTAACATGTGGTTCCCACATCAGCTGAATCAGCTCTGCTTCGAAGCCTATTGTCATCATCTCACATCCTCTTGTCACTTCAGAATATTGAAGGAGAACATTATCAACAGACGTGACTGTCCATTTCTGGTCCCTGAGAGAACTTTAGGCACAGGGCTGCCTTGCCAGTGCTTCAAAGCCAACATCTGAGTCCCTGGAGCTTGCTCTACCCTTGAGACTTACCCCTGCCCACCTCTTGGCCCAGGCACCAAGCTAGAGGGGCAGAACCTACACTGAATCCTTCCCCTCCTCTGTTGATTCATAGTTCTTTATCTCCTCTGTTATCCTCCCTCCCCTTTGGGGCACGGCTGATTTTTATCCTCTCTACAGGATACAAGGTTGGCTGGTCCCAAAACAGTATTTGAAAGTGGTGAAAGGGAGTTGATAGGAAAGAGATGGAGCACAGTGTGGCCACAGGGGCCATGGACCAGGGGCCAAGTGGGGTCTAGCCTGCTTCTTACTTCCATCCCCAGAGTCAACATTTCCTTAAGGCCAGAGTTTTCTCCCAGTCTTGAAGGCTGACCCACTCTCTCCATACGCCAGAACTGAAGCCACCCTCAGGTCCCAGTTTAAGCTTCACCGGAGTCCTCTGCCTCTGGCTGCACCAGCTCTCTGAGGCACCAGAAAGAGCTTTTCTTTTTCTTTTTCTTCTTGTTTTTTTTTTTTTTTTTTTGAAACAGAGTCTCACTCTGTCATCCAGGCTGGAGTGCAGTGGCACAATCACAGCTCACTGCTGCAGCCTCAAACTCTCAGGTTCAAGAGATCCTCCCACCTCAGCCGACTGAGTAGATGGGACTACAGGTGCGTGCCACCGCACCCGGCAAATTTTTGTATTTTTTATAGAGATGGGGTCTTGCTATGTTGCCCAGGCTGGTCTAGAACTCCTGGGCTCAAGCAGTCCTCTTGCCTTAGTCTTTCAAAGTGCTGGGATTACAAGCATAAGCAACTGCACCCAGTCCAGAAAGCTCTTTCTAAAGGGCAAAGCTAATGGTATCCTGCCCCTTGCAACATCCACCAATGGATGTTCAATGGCTCCCCAGTAGAGGCCAGACTCCTTAGCATGCCTTGGAAGATCTGTCATGCTTGTTCCTCTTCTCCAGCCCACACTCTAACCAGGCTGGGATGCTCAGCTTTTCTCCTCTACTCCACACTGAGCTGTGATGGTCCTATGGAAGGCCTAATCCTCTGGGCTTGGCCAAGATTATTCACAGTTCCCTGTGAGCTACCTCTAAAGTCTGCCAATTTCTTTTCTTCCCAGGCAGCGCCCTTACTCCACATTGCCTTTCTGATCTGCTCGGGCATACTACCTCTGTGGCATAGCCCTTGTCTCCCTAACGCCAGTCATAGGTGCTTTGACAGAACCAAAAAGGGCCTATCAGACGCTTCTAGGATCTTTTTGGTTTTGTCACAGCACCTAAGTGAGGCCTTACAATTTTAATTTCCTTATCTGTCCCTGAACCCACTCCTAGGAACCAGCACATGTTGGGCTCATTCATATCAGTTTGGCTAAATGGAATGAAGTCCACCCTGGTCACCAGCCCAGGAAGCTTTCTCTTGCCCAAAGCCAGATGAGAGAATGAATGCAGGACCTACAGTTGGTAGAGTTTACCAAGCACTTTTTACAAATTGGTATTAAGCTGTTGTTTCCCACATGTGGCCTCTACCCCTAGCCCTCTACTCTCAAGGGCAGAGACCCAGATGGGGCTGGTGCAGTCTCTTTCACAGAGTAGGTGCTCCATACATAGTTATTGGATGAAGCTGAGCTCAGACTTCAGTTTCGTTGTCCTCGCTGTTTTATTTTTTGTTTTCTGGTGTACAGAGCCATGCAAAGAAGTCTCATGGACAACTGGTGCATGCCCTTTCTCCTTACCCACTCTGCCCTTCATGAACCTAGAGTCAGAGACTCCAAAGCTGGGGCCAGCATGTTCTCCCCCATCTCTGGACTGCCCTCTTGGGACCCACTTCCCACAGCCTCCTCCATCCCCCTCCACATCTGATTCATGGATGCTCCTGCTCTGCAGGGCTTTGGTTGTGGCTGCTTCTCCACTGCTCTGCTGCTTGCTCAGCCAGAGCCCTGCCAAGCCTCCTCCTCCACACCTGATGGCGTACCTGGCTGGGTTCTCAGCCTCACTTGGGATTGCTTTCTTTCGTTCCAAGTTGGGACCAACTTGTCCTTTGAAAGAACCTCCATGGTGCCAGGTCTATCATCAGTTTGCCTCCCAACTCCTTCTCTGTCCCTTGGTCTGCTCCCTGGGTGAATTCTCCTAGAGCAACGTTGATGCCTTCCCTACACCATCCTTGGCACTAAACCACACTCGGCCTCCTTCAGCCTTGATTATGTGGGTGTTTTATCTCTCTCAATCATGTTGTGGATTCCTCGAGAGCAGGCTTGGGGGCTCAGCACAGCTTTGTAGCCTCCCACATTCTCCATCCCACAGACCCCTGCACATGGTAAGCTTTAATGCCTTCTTATTGATTACTCAGAAGTGGAGGCTCATTAAGGTGTGTGTGAAATTTGGATTCCCTTCTGTTAGGCAATGGAACGTGGGTTCTCTTTCGTTAGGACAGTGTTTCCCAAAGTGTGTTCTATGGGCTGTAGGCTATTAATAGGTGTTGTAGGACAAAGAGACCCGTGATTAACTAAAGCACATTTCTTAGAGCCCTAATATGTTAATGAACGTTGTGATATTCCAAGAAGAAAGGTGTGGGAACTCAAGATCAACATGGCTTAGGGCAAGCAGATACAGAACCCTAAGATAGTGCTCAGGATGGTGGAGAACATCTACTTATCTCAGATAAAGGTTAGAAGGCATTGCTTCTCAGCCTTTTGGCTAAGACCAAGTGTAAGATGGAAGGCAACTGGTTAGACAAAGACTAGGGTAAGATCAACTAATAAATCCAACCTCACACAGATACACTCTGAATCACAGGGCTCACACAGCTAATGCTAAATGGGGGTCCCATAGGGTGAGGGGAACAGGAGTCTCTTCTCTCTCAGGTGTCTATCTCCTCTTAACCCAAGGAGGTAGTGGGCCATCATCAATATCTTAACCAATAAACCTTCACTCAAACCACGTACACCTGGGTGCAACAGCCAGATTCCAGATACTGAATTTCTAACTAAGCTGCAGACCTAGGGATTTTCTAAGTCAGGACTTATTTGCCAAATAGGGGCTTTCTGAGATAGGACTGGCCATAGCCAGTGGCCATAGCCAACAAATTTGGCTAAGGAACTTTTTTTTTTTTAATACCTCATAGGATTGATATTTCTAGAACAGTACCTTGGTACATGTGTCTTGGAGGCACTCACCTGTCTTCACCATCAGAGAGGTCACCATTAATGTTTTGTGATCCTTCTGGGCAACTGTCCCATCACGCAAATCTCCCAGGCTCACAATGGATGGTAAGACTAGCATTGCCATTGTCCCCATTGAACAGATGAGGGAAGGCAGAGAGGTCACTGGAATGGCAAGTCAGGAGATATGCATTTGAGATTCTGCTCCATCATCTACTAGATGTGGGATATCTGTCTCTGAAATGAGAATATCTATCTCCCAACGGTACTGATGGGATGAAATGAAGATGTGTATTAGAGGACTGCATAAGACCCATCACTCCATGACATATTTATTGGACCCATGCTATGTAGCTGTCTATAAAGAATAGCTACTGTTTGCTGAGTCTGTAGGGTATATAGGGTATCATACACAATTCTTGGCTCTTTCTGTATGAAATTTAATGTAATCCTTACAATAACCTCATGGAGTTGGTTATTATAATCCCCATTTTATAGATGAGGAGACTGTGATTTGAGGAGATTTGCCCAAGTTTGTATCCTTATACTGATAACCAGAAAACTTGAACTCAGAGCCAAATTCAAAGCCCACATTCCATGCTCTTTAATATTAGGAGTTAAGACGCTAGTGCTAAAAAAAAAAAAAATTAAATAAAGCTTACTTCACATGCAAAAACAAATGAAAAAGATACTAGGTATAGGCTACACTGTATGTGGTTCTATATAATGAAGATTAACCATATTAATATTCATCTTTAAAATTAAAAGCAGTAAAAGTTAAAGCTGGTGTTAAAAGAACTATGTCCAAAGCTTAGTTCCAGGAGTTACTGGTGTAGCAAATATCTTTGCTGTCTGTCTCTCATTTTCTTCCTTTGGAACCCAGGGGGAAATTGCCACCTATTTCCCAAGGCTGTTACAAGAAGTAAATTGACCTAGAATATGCTAAGCAGCTACAGCAGTGCCTGGCTGTTGGCAGACACTCAATGAGTATAGCTGAATGAGATTCTTTGTAGCTTATAATCTAACAATGACACATATTAACATGTTGCAGATATACTGATTTTTAACAACTGAGCATAATACAGGTGAAAATATTAGTGCTTGTTTTTTTATCATTGTGTTTTAACAATCAGGTGATAAGACCTGAGGGCAAGGCAGGATCCCCGCACAATAACCTAGATAAGAGCACAGACTCTGAGCCACACAGCCTTGGTCAAATCCACTTACCAGCTTTAGGCCCTGAGGAAAGTCACTTAGCCTCTCTATGCCTGTTCCTTCATCTGTAGAATGATGGGGTGGTTGTGAGGATTATGAGAGTTAATGTATGCAAAGCATTTAGAACAGTGACTGGTATACAGTAAGTGCTATGGAAGCATCCCCTTCCCCTACCTGCTGTCTTTCTGATCCCTTCAGATACTTATAAATGCCAAGAAGAGGTTTGGATAACATTCCATGCTTTGGGTTTTGTTTTGGTTTGTTTTTTGTTTGTTTTGTTTTGTTTTTGCTTGTTTTGTTTTTTGTTTTTTGAGACAGAGTTTCACTCTTGTTGCCCAGGCTGGAGTGCAATGGCGCAATCTCTGCTCACCGCAACCTCCACCTCCTGGATTCAAGTGATTCTCCTGCCTCAGCCTCCTGAGTAGCTGGGATTACAGGCGTGCACCACCACACCCGGCTAATTTTGTATTTTTAGTAGAGGCAGGGTTTCACCATGTTGGTCAGGCTGGTCTTGAACTCCTGACCTCAGGTGATCCCCCTGCCTCAGCCTCCCAAAGTGCTGGGTATACAGGCGTGAGCCACTGTGCCCAGCACTTTGGTATTTTTGTGTTGCACGTTTTATCTCCCCTATGATATCTAAGCAACTCGAGGGCATGATTCTATCTGATTTTGCCTACACAGGGCTCACCTAAAATAAATGCTCAAAAACTGTGGAATCCATGAAGAAACCAATGAACATCCTGGGGGGTCCAGCTCTGAGGGGCACCCAGGGCTGTGTGTTCCCCCACCCCATGGCTAAGCTCCTTCACTGCTCTGAGCTCCCACATTTCCTGGCTGCAGAAGTCCCAAGAAGAGTATGTGTGCTCTGAAGAGGCCAACAGAGGCTGTAGCAGTCCAGCTGCTGCTCCCCACAACCCTTTGGCCAGTCCATTTACACTTAAGACCACAGATTTCGCCTGAGAGGCTGACAGACTAAGGGCTCAAAAGCACCTGGGCATTATGATGTAAGGAAAAGCCCCCTCCTTCCTGGCCCCCATCTGAAAGTCCACCATCTTTTTCTAGGCACCCTCTGGGGCACACTAAACCATTAGCTAAGAGACTTTCTGCAGCTCAGGGTAGGAAAAGGTGATCTGAGCCCTAAGGAACTAGGATGGGGAGGAGGGAAAGAGGCCAGCTTCTGGGGCCTTGGGAAGAGGAATTTTTGTCTCTCTTCTCCAGGACCCTGGCAGTTAGGGTCTGGCTCACAGAATATCAGAGGGAAAGGAGCCTCAGAAATTCTCAGTCCCCAAGCCTCCTAGGGAAGTGACCGGCAATGGCAGACAATGCTGTTCTCACATCTGTTCCAGGCTCATTCCTCACTCCTGTCTTCCCACACTCTCCCTAAACACTTGTGTTGATGTTCAACATATGAGCCATCCTTCCGGGAGGCCACGTGGCACGGCTGCCCAAGCTTGAGCTTTGGGAACAATCAGACCTGATTTCAAATGTGGACTCTGCCAATTACTGTCTATGTGATGCTGGCCAAGTTCCTCAACCTCCCTGAGCTTTAACTTCCAGTATTACTAATGTTACTATTTCAATTTGGCTAATTTCAAATATTGCCAAAATTGATGTGAGCTAATTATGTTAAGTCTCCACAATGCCTAGCACATAGTAAGTGTTCAGCAAATTATGATTGGGGCATACAGTGTCAAGTCTAGACATACTGTACACTCCCCCTTTTCCTCTGTTTTTATCTAACTGAAAGCCAGTCAGTCTCAACATGGCATCAGGCAGCCCAGGATGAGGGTGAGAAAGCTGGAGGGCAGGCCATCCTCTTGTTTGGGCAACCTGATAGAGGAAGGCCAAAGAGTTACAGGCTGAGTTTTCAACTGCACCTCATGTCTGGATGCATGTGCAAAGGCATTTGCCAAGCAGGCTGAGCCATTCTTATGCCATGAACCCATCCCCTCTGAATTAGCTGTCTCCCCTGGTCCCATTCCCTACTTGCTTTTCTCCAGCAAAGACTCTGGGGGTCTGAGTAGAAGGGTTGGATGCTTGATTGGGGAAAGATACACAAGAAACATCATAAGACTTATAATAGTAATGATCAATAACAACAAACTTTTGAGGGCCAACTCTATGCCTGGCACATTGTGTGCCCATGACTTCACTTCATTATCAACAACCCTAAAAAAGAGGTGCTTTTATTATCCCCATCTTATAGATGAAGAAACTGAGGCTCAGAGAGATCCAAAAACTTGTGCAAGATTGCATGGTTCATAAGGAGGGAAATAGGATTTGAAATTAGTCTAATTCCAGGGCTTACCTACCATAAGCCCAATACCTTAGTAGGTGCCTTACATCATTTCTAATCCTCACAACAATGTTATGAGTTGGGTAGTCCCTTTTTACCATTAAGAAAACAAAGTTGGAGAGGATACATAACCTGCCCCTGGTCATGCAGTTAAGTGACTTGTGGAAAGTCATGCAGCTGGTAGCTGTGGAGCCAGGGTCTGAATCCAAAGTTTGTGTGTTTCTTCCATTCCACTCTACTCCAGTGCCTCCAGTCCAGCAGAGCTTGGAAGGGGGGCTCAGAAGGGAAGGAAAAACAATCCTTATAAGAACCTTGTACATGGTCGGCACTTTCCCATAAGGTGTCTCATTTAATCCTCACAACTACTCCATCAACAGGGTATACTTAGCCCCAAGAAGAAAACCCAGGCTCAGAGAGTAAAGTGACTTGCCCAAGATCACACAGTTAGTAAGCAGGAAACTCAGGATTCATACTGACTACTGGTTTCCAAGGACTTGTTATTTCTACTGGGGTGCACCTTCTACAACACCCCATCTGCTGGTTTTGCAGTTTTGCTTTGCTCCCAGTCCAAGATCCATTTTCTGCCTGCTCCATGCTCCAGGAGACAAATCTCTGTGCATAGTATCACAGGGCTCTCCTGTCTTCTGTCTTCCAGTTTGGGTTAGATTAACAGGAAGCTTTGGCAGGAGATCAAAGGCAGGAGACAGGTCAGGATGTTTCTTCTGCTCCCTCCTTCCCTGCCTTGCTTTAATTCTACGACTACAACTCCTTCTGGGCAGCCCCCTTGCATGGCTCCAACACTTTCTGGGTCCTGAGGACTCCATTCTTCCATGCATCTCCTCAGGTTGAGAGTAGGAAGAGCTTCCTGTTGTTGCTGGTCCCTACCTGTCTCAGCATTCCTTGTTGATTCCCTTAACCTTGCCGTACTTCTGCAAATGGTTCCCTCATGCAATTACCTTCATAATCCCAGTTGAGGATCCTTCTGTTTCCTGCTGGGACCTGACCAAGCCTCCTAATGTTCATCTGAGGCCGCTCCTTTTGGAGCTACTTGGAAGGAAGGCCAATGGCTTCTTTGCTGATCAAACAGGTTCAGGTCTTTCCCAAACTAATTAGCAGATAGACAGGACAGTGGCCAGGGACTGGAGGCTGGCTCTTGATGCTGTCCCTGCCTCCGTCCATCTGGAATTACAGTTTGGAGCAGCTCAGCCTCTCCAAGTCCAATGCCCTATCTTTTTTTTTTGTTTTTTTCCAATTGATGCAACTCAGTAATTTTTATTGCAACTGGAAGACAATGCATCACAGAAACTTTATGGTGGGTCTGTGGAAGAGTGTTATTTACAAGAAATGATGAAATAGTTTGTCTTTGGCAATATGATTACATACAAAGAATGCAAAATGCAGGTATGGATGCCTTCCAAGCAACACCATCAAGTCCCTAGAGTTCGGCTGATGGCACCTGCCTCCACGTTTTTTCTTTAGGTTCACACGATCATAACTGAACATCACGTTCTTTCTCCTTTATGGTTCTCCCTTTCTATTCATGATATTGGCAGTTTCACAAAGAAAATACAGAAAAAAAATTGGCTTTTGAAAAATTATTACTCTCATAAATTAATTTGGCCGTGTAGGTCTATTGGCCAGCCAAGGTCAGACGACCCTAAGCATCAACAGTAAACCTCTTGGTCTTCTGATTGCTTTATCACTTTTTTTTTCTGTAAAACAAAACAAAACTGGGAAATGTTACAGAATCAGAGTATTAAAAAATATACAAGTGTATATGCTTCCCAGACACACATGGATACATTTTTCCTCCACATTTTCACCATGGCAGTATAAAGTAGTGAGTGTGAATGACACAGCATGAAACTGGTTACTGAATCAGCTATGAGCTCAGATGGCCTCAACATACATACTTAAGAAATGTTGCATGTTTAAATAACTGAGAGTGTGCTAAATCTCATCCAAAAAAAAGGAGGAGAGGGGCTGGGGAACTCAGGCCACAGTCATGAAAGGATGAATACAATTTCTAGGTTTAACAGGTTCACCATATTGAAGTCTTTGATAATCCAATATGGAATATCAATTATTTTGCAAAAGGTAGAGAAAGCAGTTCTCAACTTTTGCAAATGAAATACAATGGAAAAACACTGTTGTATATATTCCAAATAAATAGTCTTGATTTCATCACTAACAAAACAACAGGAAGGGTACTCGTGAGCATCTCACAGTTAAGTCAGAAATGATCATTCACACAGGTCTGATTTCAGAAGTACAACAGCAAGATGCAGCACCATAGACACATCGGTTTCGGCTGTTAAAAGATGGATCATTTTAAAAACTGCGTTTTCCTTACTTAATTTTTGGTCAGTGAAGCTAGCAGTTGTTTGCTGAACTGTGGAAGAACTGCAAGGTCACACACATTATTCATGATAAAGCAACTGAGCTGACATGTCTGTGCTTAATTCAGAATAACCATTAGTGGGAGGCTGAGGCAGGAGAATGGCGTTAACCCGGGAGGCAGAGCTTTCAGTGAGCTGAGATTGCGCCACTGCACTCCAGCCTGGGCGACAGAGAGAGAGAAAAAAAAAAATAGAATAACCAGTAGGAGAGAGAGAAAATACAAGGAGTTAACGACCATCGCCGGTGCTCTCTCAAAGGAAGAGGGGTTAACAGATGAATTTACAAAGGTATGCAGATCTATACAGAACACTGAATGCCATGTGTAAATCCTCATGAAACTCCAGAAACGGGAACACCACACAATGTATATACTTTGATTTACACATTCCGTTACAAAGGAAAAAAAGACACCATTACAACTTTGTAACTGTGTTAACTGCAATATAAACCAAGTCCAGAGTTTGGCAGGTAACTAAAAGAGGGTTATCACCTAGGTTATATGGCGAAAGTGTTGATGTATATTACATATAGTAGCATAATTAATAAAAAAGTATTATTTAAATTAGATCACAGTGCTGCATTATGTGCATAACAGTGTTTGATATAGTATTGGTGGGCTGGGACCTGCAACACTAAGGACTTAACTGTCAACACTGGGAAGTCATAATCAAGAGGAAACACAGAGTTCCATGTTTTCTTTTGGTGGCAAAAAAAATCCTGAAGATTAAAGAAAAGTACTTCTCTACAGAAACATAAAAATCAGTTGCAACATCTGGGCAGCTGTGATCCACCAGAAAGAAACGAGTCCCAACCTGAATTAAAGGGAAAGAGAAATCACATGGAATTTAATCCAATCTCATCTAGAAAAGCTTCCCATTGGTCGGGCGCGGTGGCTCACGCCTTTAATCCCAGCACTTTCGGAGGCCGAGGCGGGCGGATCACGAGGTCAGGAAATCGAGACCATCCTGGCTAACAAGGTGAAACCCTGTCTCTACTAAAAATACAAAAAATTAGCTGGGCGTGGTGGCGGGCGCCTGTAGTCCCAGCTACTCAGGAGGCTGAGGCAGGAGAATGGCGTGAACTCGGGGAGCGGAGCTTGCAGTGAGCCGAGATCACACCACTGCACTCCAGCCTGGGAGACAGAGCGAGACTCTGTATAAAAAAAAAAAAAAAGAAAAGAAAAAAAAAGAAAAGCTTCCCATAAATTGGAGTCACTTGTACGTAACTCCAATTCCTTCTCCAGGAGCCCTTCTAGGAGAGGTGCAAGGCCCCCCACACAGTGGAATGAGTGGAACCTGCGTCAGTAGCCCTTGGCCGGGGCAGTCCTGGCGTGGTGCAGGACTCGGAGCTGGGCACAGAAGGCGTCCACCTGGTTCTCACTCTACAGAGCCCACTACCTGATGCTGTCCCTCAGGCAGGAGCCTCCTTCAACACAACGGCCCCTCCCAGAAGTCTCTGTGGTAGTAACTGCTGTGGCCAGCGAGCACCAGACACATTGAATGCCTCTGCAAAACAAAACAAAACTCCATTCTTGGGAAAGGCCTCTGGCACATTCCTTCTTAAAAACTCCCAAGATTGAGACCTGCCACAATCGTTTTGGCCATGGTTTTCTCCAACCACCAGTGATATGGGTTTGGTTCATTTTAGTTTCAGATAGCTGGCTTCACCAAAGAACTCTTGAAAGAATACTGATTAGAGAGGAGCAGGGAAGTAGGAGCTTGTGGTATATTATAAAGCTGGGAAAAATCTATGATGCAAACCCTTTCCACATAGCACTAGATAAAGGTAAAAGACAATTATAATAGAATAAAAATAACTGTCTATGTGTATATCATTTAAGAAAAAAAGAGTGACTGTCTCTTTCTCTTAAATGTGTCCGAGGGCCAACAGCAAGTAATCGTAGATGTCGTGGTGTTGATGTGTTCACGGTTGGTTTCCAAAGCATCTTTAAATATTGCTACAGTTCCCCGTTTCCCCCTCCCCCCTGCCTCGTGTGAGTATGTGAGATACTGAATGACACATGAACTGCCACTTCTCCCAGCAGGAGAAATGAAAGCAAAAACACCACACCTCTTAGTGGTGTTCAGGTGATCTGTCAGACTAATGGATACATATGCTAGTTTGGAAGCTGAAAGAACACCTGACGTTTGGGAAGGAATTCCAAGACTCAGGTGAATGGCACTTAAGCAAAATATTCTTTCACAAATAGGCTTGTGCTTAAATTATCTACTGCTCTTGGAGAAGAGAATAAGAATAAGAGAGGGTGCCTCCTGCCCCTTAGCTTGTTAAGGACGCGGACAACCTCATTCTGCAATGAATTCACTACAAACAGCCACATACACATCGATACTTTTTGTTTTTGTTTTCAACAATCAAAATACAAAGTTAAACACAATTGAGCCATTGTTTTGGTTATGCATAATGTGCATGCCTCCAAAAACAGAAGAAAAATAGGAAGAAGTACCCTCACTAAAGGTTCCCTGACAAGTCTTCCGGCAGATCCAATGAAGGGAGACTCAGGAAAATCACAATTAGAAAGCCACCCAATGAGGTATTTATGCAAAAAGAGTGGTTCTGGAGTTAAGAACACACTTTTATATTTCTCTGTTTCTCAAAGAGATCAGAAAAGTAAATCACATAAATTGCATTTTATTATTTTTTAAAAGAGCCTCTGCCTCTTTAGAAAAATGAAATGAGGGGAGACAGCCCACAGTGGGGATTTAAATTGGAAGAAGTCCTCGGCCAGAAACAGTCCCGAATGTTTAACCTCTGCCTTTCAGGAGAGAGGTCTGAATTTTATCATGTGGGGGGTGGGATGAAGGTGGGGGACTGAGCTGGAGGTCTTTAGGCTTGGTCAGGTGACAACACAAATCAAGGTGTCGCTCAGGCTCCACAGCTGTGGATGGCTTTCAGGGTGTCAGATGTCTGGGAAGATGGAGGGAACATAGCACTGCAAAGATACTTTATTCCCATCTACACCCTGAACAAATATGCTGGAAGTATTCAGTTTCAGGTCATGAATTCGACCTGCTGTAGAGGAGTAGGTTTTTTCAGGTTCTGTCATCAGCAACCCACCAATGCCCCATCTTTAATAGGTGAGGTTCCAATAAAGGTTCTGTCTGCTCCCTTCCAGCCCTGACAGCCCAGGCCTATAAGCTGACACCCAGAGAAGGTAAAGAACTTGCTGTCCCTGCACAGTGAGGCAATGGTGTGAGTACTTGAACTTCTGCATCTTAAATCAGTTACTGCTTCTCTGCTTTACCCTGGAGTGTTTCCTTTACAGCTCAATAAATATTTCATCAGTGGTGACTCAGTATAATCACCATCCCCCATGCCATCCCAGGCAGCTTACAACCTAGAGACTGTCACTGCTCTTTGACATATTCTGTCACTTTGCCTCCCCAGGTCACCATCCTCTCACTCGCCTCTGACTTTTCGCACAGGAGAGAGCTGGTCGAATAGTACAATTCCCCGATGTGAATGGGGAGAAGCTGGGGAAAGGAAGAATGATCTTCAGGCAGTAAGGGTAAGAGGAGCCACTTTTCCCATCTGAGTAAATACCGAGAGAAGATGAATGTGAGGCTCTTGGAGATTAGCTGTCTGCTGGGAGAGAAACACCTTCATTGATTAAATACAAAATCTGTTCTGGAAAACATGGTCGTTGGAATAGTTCTTAGCAGATCCTTGCACCGGGCTTGTAAAAGCTAAACAGCCTTCTGCTCCCAACCTATCCCTCCCACTTGGGGGATTTGGAGAAAGGGCTAGGGAGAGAGAGAGGAAGAAGTGGTGCCCAGGATGCCACAGGGAGAGGAGAATGAGCTAAAGGTAGAGAGTGTGAGGATATGGTCAGAGGGTTATGCCCCTGACAGTCTTGGGCTGGCAAATGCAAGGACCTTTGGGGGACAGTGCAGGGGCTGACGAGGCAGGCTTGAGGATGCTCTGGTCACGTGGATACTAGGGCCAGAGTCCTCTTGGCTCAGGCACTGTGTAAGGAAAGAAATGTAACTTCCTTATTGCCTGTCCACTCTCCCTCAAAACAAACACTCTTTTCTGTTTAAATAGTAGGAGACCACCCTCTCCGCAGGAGATAGCTAAAAAAGAAAAAATAAATATATAATAGGAGACAATATCTTGAGAAGGTGGAAATGAGACCCTCCCCCGCCCCAGGGGAAAGTGATAGGAAAGCTCAGCTAGAAAGCTCCCGAGAGAAAGTGATAGAAAACAGCCTGGACCAGGGCCAGAGAGGAGCAGGAGGAGAGAAGATCCATCAGTGTTCGTGTCCTAGTGGGAAAGGAGGAATGTACTGACAGCTGGGATGTGATGGCAGACTGGTCTAAGGGTAGGGCCTGCGGGGAGAAGCTGCTAGCAGAGGGCATATGGGGTGAAGGGAATAGGGGGAGCAGAGCTTCAGGTAAAGGAGGAAGAGGTACTGTTTCTCCATTTCCCTCTGGGCTTTTGCTATTTAATTGAGTAATTCCTGGCCCCAGGGCAACTCTGAGAATTTCTCTGGCTTGCAGTAGAGTTGTCACTTTATTACCTTCAGATTCTGTTTGGAGTTTTTCCTTCTGAATTTCCTCAAATGGCCCAGCTTTGCCTTGCCATTTTGGTGGGTTTTATTTTCTCTGCCATCTAATGTCCCAGGGGTCTCCAGACAAGCACACCTTTCTGAAAGCCTCTGGGGGGTGCCTTTCTCTGAAAGCCTGGGCCAGGCCTGGGAAGACTCACCCACAGGCTGAGATTTGAGACCTTGTCCCCCACCCCTATGACCTTCCTAAAACACAAAACTCCCAGGCAGTGTCTGAAATGCCTCGACATGAAGGGAGCTAATAGTAATTTCTCAGAAGAACATAGGCTCTTCTTTAGTCCTTGGATTTAAAGCGCAGATTCCAAGGAGGATAAATTGTCTTGCCAGGCTGGGTAAATCTGTTGTCAGGCAGCTTTTCTCCACTAAAAAAGAGATTAATCTGATTACACCTATAGTCACCTGGAACTGTTCCATCTCTGAAATCTTTTTTTTTTTTTTTTTACAACTTCTTGTCCAACAGACACCTCTAAAATCTTAATTTTAAATATACCACCCTCAGGATATAAATCTGTTCATTCAGCTTTTCCCCAAACCTGTCATTCTTCCTCAAGACCTTCAGCCCTAGACCTCTCTGAGTCTACCAGTTCCTCCTGATGTCCCTTCCTTTCCTGCCTGGGTCCCTACTCAATGGTTGACCATTTGACCTAACCTTCACCAGCCCCTTGTATTCTGACTCTGTGTTAGTTTTCTGGGGCTGCCATAACAAAGTACCACAAGTTCAAGGGCTTAAAACAATGGGAAATGTATTCTCTCATAGTTCCAGAAGCCAAAAGTCCAAAATGAAGGTGTTGGTGGGGCCATGCTCTCTGTGACGGCACTGGGGGAGAACTCTTCCTTACCTGTTCCCGCTGCTGGTGGCTCCTGGCCTTCCTTGGCTTGTGGCAGCACAGCTCCAATCTCTGCTTCCTTCTTCACATGGCCTTCCTCCCTGTGTGTCTGTGTCCTTTCCTGTCTCTTATAATGACACCTATCATTGGATTTAGGACCCACCCTAATTCAGTATGATCTCATTTCACATCTGCAAAGACCCTGTTTCCAAATGAGGTCACATTTCAAGGTTCTGGGTAGACATGAATTTTGGGGAGACACTATTCAACCCGCTGTAGCCCCATTTTTCCTTCTATTGCGTTCCAAATTCCCCAAGCTTAGCTCAGGCCCACAGTTGGGCATCTATCTTCCTTTTGGCCTTGGGGCAGCTGAGCTCTGTTCTTGGCTCCTCCTGCTCTTTGCTGGTTTCAGTGCTTCTCAGCAAGAGTGCCTCCTACAGCCTCTTCTTTCTTTTCCCTCGGGAAGTAGCACCCCAGAGATGGCTGAGGTCTGGGGCAGGAACTCCTCCAAATTCAAACCTTAAGGCCAGGCACAGTGGCTCATACCTATAATCCCAGCAATTTGGGAGGCCAAGGCAGGAGGATCCCTTGAGCCCAGGAGTTTGAGACCAGCCTGAGTGACATGGTGAAACCCCATCTCTACAAAGAATACAAAAATTAGCTGGGCATGGTGGCTAATTTTTGTATTCTTGGCGCACCTGTGGTCCCAGCTAGTCAGGAGGCTGAGGTGTGAGGATTGCTTGAGCCAGGAGGCAGAGGTTGCAGTGAGCCAAGATCGTGTCACTGCACCCCAGCCTGGGCAACAGAGTGAGACCCTGTCTCAAAAAAAAAAAAAAAAATCCCATCTTAAGACCCCTACAGATGTACCATTAGTTTCACCTTTTCCCCCCTTTCCCATCCCATTGAAGGCCATGTGTTTCTGCTCTTCTTGGAGGCTATTCAGGCCCTCACAGCACTTGCCTGGTATACAGCAAATTATCCTGACTGTGTTTATCTGCTTCCATATGCACCCTACTCTTATGACTCTCATACCACTCTTCTGCTTAAAACCATTCATTCATTCACTCTTTCATTCATTCATGTGTTTGTTGCATATATATTGAGTGTCTGCTATGTTAGTACTCTGGCCTCATCTCCCACAACCAATGAGATCATTGACTTTTCAGAACTTACAGCATAGAAAGTTTTCCATGGCGGTCCTATAGGATTTCCATTCTAAAGTTTACATTCTTTAGGGTGGTGGATAACCCCCTTAACCTGGCCCTAACCTACCTCTGACTTCTGTCTCCCATTGCTCCCATCTCTAGCCCAGCCAAACTATTACTCAAGCCAGGCTCTTACACTTCTGTGCTGTGGTGCTTTCAGTCTAGTTGAAATGTCTCTGCCTTTTGCCTGCCTGGAAAATCCCTAGTTGTCTTCAATATTTAGTTCCAATGTTACCACCTCCTAGGAGCCTTCCTTGACAATCCTGTCCTGGACTCTGTCTTTTTTGCCACATAAATCTCTTATTGTGTGAATCATGCTGCCTTGCAATGATTTGTTTACATGTCTGTCTCTCTTTTCCCTTGAAGTTAAGGACAATAATTTATTCATTTTATATTCTCTATATCTGGCATAATGTAGATGTTTAATAAAGTTTAAGTGCTTAATAAAAGAAGTGGTGGAAGACCTCAATTCATCTGAGAGCAGAATCTGCCTAGAAGAGTTGGAACTTCTCCACCCTGCTCCATCCTCTGTACCTGACCTGTGTGTTCTGGGCTCCCCACGGCCAAGGAGCATCAATGGGCTAACAGAGTGTAATGGGCTGAATTGTGTTGGCCCCAAACTCAAATTTTGAAGTCCCACCCCTCCCTCATTCTATGGCCTTGTTTGGAAATGGGGTTGTTGCGATGTAATTAGTTGAGATAAGGTCTTATTATATTTGGGTAGGCCCCTACTCCAGTATGATTGGTGTCCTTATAAAAAGGAGAAATTGGACACAGACACCCTACCAAGAAGAACACTATGTGAAGATGAAGGCAGAGATCAGGGTGATGCCTCTACTTGCTGAGAAACTCCTACAGTTGCCAGCCCACCACTAGAAGCAAAGGAAGAAGCACAGCCCTCAGAAGGAACCAACCCTGCTAATGCCTTGGTCTTGGACTTGCAGCCTCCAGAACAGCGAGCCAATACATTCCTGTGGTTTAAGCCACTGACTGTGGCACTTTATTACAGCAGCACTAGGAAACTCATACAGGAGGTGACAGTGCTCAGATGAAACAGGACCTTCCACTTCCATGGCAAAGCCCTCATCTTTCGTGCCCATGCGCCATTTGATCTGCACACAAATCACTGAGCAGGTTCCTCAGCTATTATTATCCCCACCTTTCAGATGGAAAGAACTGAAGCTCAAGAGGGCCAAAGAAATTTGGCTATGGCTTTCTTTATTTTCTTTTTCATGGGCAGAAGTAGATTTCAGTTTTGGTCCCTTTCCACTACCATATCAGGTTGCCTTAAGGCAACTTTGAAAAGTCTAAAATATTAAACAGTTTGTGAAGTTATTATCATTATTCATAAAGGACAGCGCGAGGTTAGTCTTACCCTAGAGAGCCCCATTGTTGGCCCAAAGCATCTTGCCAGGAGCCCTATAGGACCATGTTTTCAAGGCCCCCAAAGAGCACAGGGCTATTGGTCCATCCCAGCTCCTGGAATGGCTCATTGTACCCACCCTGCCTCCAGCTGAGGAGCCAGGGAGAAGCACTGACCCCTGATCTTGCTATCCCTTCCATTACACTCTTGCCAGAGGAGCTTTTTTCAGGGGTGGCCGCTTCCCTCTCCTCAAGAGAATTCTGGGGACCAACCAGCTCAGGCCTGCTGTTGGCCTCAGGGTCACATCTCACCCAGACACCCCCACCATTCCCTCAGGTCTAGGGATGCTGCTCCCCTACCATGGGATCTTCTTTTTATTTTTATTTATTTATATTTTCCTTATGCCTAGTGTAAAGGGATTTCTTTTCTTTTTTGTTTTTGTTTTTTTTTTGAGATGGAGTCTTGCTCTGTCACCCAGGCTGGAGTGCAGTGCAGTGGCGCTATCTCGGCTCACTGCAACCTCCACCTCCTGGGTTCAAGTGATTCTCCTGCCTCAGCCTCCCAGGAGCTGGGATTACAGGTGTGCCACCACATTTGGCTAATTTTTTTACTTTTAGTAGAGATGGGGTTTCACCATGTTGGCCAGGCTAGTCTCGATCTCCTGACCTCAGGTGATCCACCCGCCTCAGCCTCCCAGAATGCTGGGATTACAGGCATGAGCCACCGCTCCCAGCCAGGATCTTCTTTTTAAAGCTATCACCACCCACTCTCATTCCCCAGGACTCTCCTCACCCCTCCGGCTGCAAAGGCAGCTGGTGTCCCTACTGGCTCCTTCCTTTCTGCCCCTAAAGACAGGCACACAGGTGATTTTCCTTTTAAGTGTTTTTCTGTGGATTACTGCGGGGAAATTGACAGGGGCTACAGGGGCTGATAAAAGGAATAATCTTTGATATTCTTTCAGTTGGGTCGCTGATTTTCTTGCTGGGCTGACAAGAGCAATCTTCCCTACTTGGAATCTTGGTTTTATTCCTTAGCATGGGCCTTATCAAACCTACTTTTTAATGAAGGGAGAATGAAGAAGCCATTGAAGCAGACCTCTAGCTGCCAGTCAGGTCTGCTCTGAAGGCTGCCTATCTGCGGGGACATGTGACTTCTGGGGCTTTCCAGATTAAGTAATGCTCACCCCACATGTCTGAAATTCTCCAAACACTATTCCGGCCCTGCTGTGATTCTTAGAGCAGAGGTTCTTTGCCTTTTTAGTGTAATGGATCCCTCAGCAACTTGGTGAGCCCTTCTCAGAATAAAGTTTCTAATGCAGAAAGTAAAACACATGGGATAATAAGGGAAGTCATGTCCTTTGAAATCCTTATCAAAAATATTTTTCAAATTTTGTGATATAATAAGTTTGGTTGCTATTATATAGCATAATATAACTTCATATCTAATAGCTATTGTTATTTTGAAGTAGTGGTGAATATATATGCTATTTTGAGATGTCTAAAACAACTGTAATGTGTTACAAAAATATCCATGATTTCTATCGGTGACAAAGTCAAAAGTATCGTGAATACGTCTGTGATTTGCAAGCTACATCCAAAATGGAAGGAAATCCTAATGTTTGGTTAGTGATTGATAAAAATAAAGATGTGGGCGGGCGCGGTGGCTCACGCCTGTAATCCCAGCACTTTGGGAAGCCAAGGCGGGCAGATCATGAAGTCAGGAGATCAAGATCATCCTGGCCAGCATGGTGAAACGCCGTCTCTACTAAAAATAAAAAAATTAGCTGGGCATGGTGGCGTGTGTCTGTAGTCCCAGCTACTTGGGAGGCTGAGACAGGAGAATCACTTGAACCCAGGAGGCGGAGGTTGCTGTGAGCCGAGATCACACCGCTGCACTCCTTGGTTTCCTTGGGATAAAATGGGGATATTAATGATGATTTCACAGGGATACAAAGATCAAGGGAAATAGTCAAGTGTTATATCTTGTTCATGTATCAAAATGGGCTGTGACCTCCTTACAGTGACTATCATCAGTCAGAAGCCTCAAGGGATGCTTTCCCAGACAGAAATAGTCTTGTGAATATGCTTAATTTGTTTATTCACAAAACATTTATCAAGCACCTACTGTGTGACAAGCATGGTACTTGCAGTGAGAGAATAAATTTGCAGAGCGAGACTCCGTCTCAAAAATAAAAATAAAAATAAAAAAATAAAGACGTAATACTATTTTTCCCCCATTGAGCTCATGGGCCCAGATTAAGAGCTCCTGCCCTGGATCTGTGCATCTCAAACTTCCATGTGCTTCTGAATCATCTGGCCTCTGTTAACATGCAGATTCTGATTCAGGAGGTCTGGAGTAGGCTCAAGGCTCTGCATTCTTGACAAACTCTAGGGATGAGTTTGTCAAGCTGGCTCCTGAGATGGGCACAGTCTGGAACGTATGGTACTGGGTAATAGTCACCACCTGGAACCATGATGGGAATCTGAGAGCAAGGGCATCAGCTGCTGGGGCCCGAGGGTGGGTTGGGGCCTTAAAGTGATTCCGTGAACTTCACAAGCTTCGTGGCAGTCTTGTGGTGACAAGGCCATTCCAGCATATCTCCTGATGAGGATGCAGAGGACACTCTAACCTGGAATACATTCTCTCCACAAAGCTGAAGGGAGCCTGCAATCTTTTTAATGCTCCAATTAGAGCCTGAACACAAGACCTTTCCTTTTGTCTGGTGAAATCAGGCTGGGCCAGTTACATGAGACTTGACTAAAGGCTTAGGAATAACAGAGAAAAAATAAATGCAGGCAATAGAATATGACCATAGAACATGACTTCAAGACACCCTGCCCACTCAGCAATAGGCTTTAAAGACAATCTTTTGTCCCTTAGACAGAAGGGCTGGACCTTTAGACGTGAAGCCCAATGAGAGAGGCAGCAGTCATTGTCAGAACATCCCTGAGGGGAGTATGAATCCCTGGGTTGGACGCAGTGAGGCCCAGGTCCCCTTATATGCTGGTTTTGGAGGTCTGGGATCTTATTAAGAGAGATGGCAGGTCTCCCTGGCCCACTGCCCCTTTCCCACTTCCTGATTGCTGCTTACCTCAAAGTGGTGGATGCTGCCTTTGCACTTAACTTTCCAGGAGGCCACACCTACGTGGGGCATTCCCTCTGCTTCCTGAATTCTAGTCTGAGAATCCTCTTTGTCTCCATTATGGGCTCTTTCATCACTATTCACCCTATTGAAGGAGATACTCCTTTTACTCACCCAAACATTGTAGCCTTAAACTCACAGTCATGTTTGAATACAACACATTACATTTAATAACCATGCAAGAAAATCACACACACAGTGCAAGAGGGTCTAATCTGTACCAATCTTGATTTTGCACTTGTAATCTATCCCTCTCTGGAGTTTAGTTGAGAGCATGATCTTTGCAGCCACTCAGATCGGGGTTCTAATTATACCATATACAAGCTGTCTGACCTTAAAGAATTTGATTAGCTCAGTGTGCTAATCTGCAAAATGGGAGTAGTAAAAGTGTCTACCTCATTTGACTATTGTGTGACTTCAATAAAATGATACCTGCAATCAGTTTCCTCTCTGGCACACAATAAGTTCCCAATATTAGTTGTCAATGTACTACCCTCACCTCTCACGGTAAAGTAATTATTTCAGCATTTAAGAAAATTTATTCTCTCACTGCAAGTACCATGCTTGTCACACAGTAGGTGCTTGATAAATGTTTTGTGAATAAACAAATTAAGCATATTCACAAGACTATTTCTGTCTGGGAAAGCATCCCTTGAGGCTTCTGACTGATGACAGTCACTGTAAGGAGGTCACAGCCCATTTTGATACATGATCAAGATATAACACTTGACTATTTCCCTTGATCTTTGTATCCCTGTGAAATCATCATTAATATCCCCATTTTATCCCAAGGAAACCAAGGCTCATGGAGGCTTAGTGTTGTGCCCAAAGTAACACAGTTAGCAAGTGGTTCCATTTAGTGATGCCTCAGCAGAAGCCCAATGTGCCCTGAAATAGCATATGAAGTCTGTCTGAGATCCGGGGGCATGACTTATGATTCATAAAATAACTGTGTAGCTAGGGAGCTACAGAAAGAGATTAACAGAACCTGGGACTTCAGTCATTTTCAAGAAAGTACAACAGCTAAGCATTAACAATTCATAGAAAAGACCCACTCTAAATGATGCTTTGTAAATGCATAATGAAGAGACTGGGAAGTACCCAAGTCCAAAAAAAGTCGTCAGGACTAAACGTAGCTAAAGAGAGCTGGGGCCCAGTCAGTAGTCCCCAGTCTGACTGAAGGAAGCCTAGGGCAACTGAAGATCTGGGTCTGCTAGGCGTCCAGAAAAGGGGCAGTCAAATAATACAACCAGTCAGTGTGTCTCCACTTCCACTGAGAGAGACAAGTGGCTCTGGACCAGACATCGTTAATCACAATTTCCTATCCCCTGACCTAATGTCTCTTTGTTCTGAACTCAGTAAGCAATCTTCTGATTATTAGTTTTCTGGGTAAGCTTGGTACCAAAAAGGGAATACTTGGTAGGAATACTCACCATTTTACATTTACCGTGGGCTCCTTAGTGCTATGGTTTGAGTTTGACCCCACCAAAATGCATGTTGAAACTGATCCCCAATGTGGCGGTGTTGGGAAGTGGGGCCCGGTGACAGGTGGGGACAGATCTCTCATAAATGGTTGGTGGTAGTCAGCGCTTGCTCTCTGTGAGACTGAACTAGTTCTCACAGGAATGCTCCCTTGAGAGTGGGCTTTAATAGAACCAGGACACTCCTTGAAATTTACCTCTTTGCACATGTCCACTTCCCCTTTGATCTTCCACCATGTCTTAATGCAGCAAGAAAGCCCACACAGAAGCCAAGCAGATGCCAGCACCATGCTTCTTGAACCTCCCAGCCTGCAGAACCATGAGCTAAATATACCTCTTTTCTTTATAAATTACTCAGCCTTGGGTATTCTGCTATAGCAACACAAAATGAACCAAGACACTCAGTCTCTTAGAAGTTTAGTGACTGTGAGTCAATCTCTCTTAAGTCATGTCTCCCAGTTTTTTACTGGACTCAGGTTCATCAGTCTCTTAGGGATTTAGTGACTGTAAGTCAATGGTTCTTGAACCTGAACAACTACGAGCATGCTTATAAATCCAATGTCTGGAACTGCAAAGCCAAGCAAGGGCCATCCCCTGGTCCACAGCAACCCTTCGAAGAAGGTGCTTCTACCCTGGGAGACACCTCCCCACTTACCCACAGATGCCTGTAATGAGATCCCTCCATCCTCCAGCCTCTGGCCACATGCCTGCAGAGCAGAGTGGTGTTCACAGGTCACTTCAGTGGGAGCACAGTGCTTCCTCAGCAGAACTGAGAGCTGACAGGGGTGCAAAAATAACAGGCTTATTGGAAGAGAGCAACATTACAGACACTCAAGCACCCCTAAGGTAGAGGAAAAACAGAAAAGCTCTCATCTTTTTTCCTACCCATGGTCAGACATGTAAGAGCCTCGCTCCTCCCTATAGGAAGAGAAAGAAGCAGAGAGATGACAGGTGGAGTTAGATTTTCAAGGACACAGAAGGATTTGTAAACACTGGAGGCTGTCTCTCACTGAGGGAGAAGTCATCACAGGTGGGGCAGAGTCCTCCAGCTCCACTCAAGGGATGACATTTTCCTTTCATCTCTTTCTCCCCTCTGGGATCCAGGGAGTGATTGAGATAATTTACCATTTAATGTGGGCAGATGGCTTAATTAAGCTAAAGCGGAAGGCATTAACAGTGGCACTGAGTATGAGAATGACTCGGGGGTGGGACCCTGGGAGCCACCTGGCAGATGTGTCCTCCTCTGCCCTGTCTCCTGGACTGGTCCCTAGGCACTAGGGTGCAGGGTGCTCAGTGGGTAATTTGCCTGCTTGGGAATTTAGGCTCCTGGTTCCCCTGCAGCCTCTGCCAGCGCAGCCTGGGAAGGCCCCGGCTCACACATTGGGAAATGCCTCTGGTTTTGTGGCCAGTCTTCAGGTCTAGGGACAGCAGCAGCAGCAGAAGCCAGCATTGCTGGACTCTCCCTGAGGCTGGCTGGGTTCTGAGTGATCAGTCATCCATGAGATTGAAGCCAAGTCCCTGCTCTCAGAGAGATCATACTTAGGTGGGGATACCAAATTCCTGGACCTCTGCAGGCTGGGCCGGAGAGATTCTAGCCCTTCTCCTAAAATTTATAGATGAGCAAACTGAGGCCTAGACAAGGGAAGCAACTGGCTCACCATGAGCCACAGAATAGGCATGAGAGCTCAGCTCCCCAGCTCCTGAGCTGTAAGTGCAGTATGTGTGTGTGTGTGTGTGTGTGTGTGTGTGTGTGTTTTTACATATGTGGGGAGTCAGATAAAGAAAGCACAGCTCCTCTAATTCCCCTTCCCCCTTCCCGCCCCCATTGCTATCTTCCTCAGTCCATGGGTTCCTGTCAAGTCCTTTCCCATCTCTGTATTTATGTCTGAAGAGAGGAGTGGGAGCCCCCAAATAGGTAGTAAGATTTCAGATTTCACTCATTCCAAGCCTGGAGCTCCACAGCCTTTGGAAACAGGTGTAGGGTGGCCCCACATCATTTCCTGGGTGAATTCTGCTTCCACAGCTCATTAACCATATCCTGTCTGCAGCTGGCAAGTCTGGGAGGAGAAACCCACAGCAAACCACCCTCCTCTCAGTCCCCCTTCCCCGCTCCAAGCACCTTAAAATGATTGCTTTGGCCCAGAGCCAGGGAAGTGATGAAGTTTTCCAAATTATGAGGCAAGGTTTCTTGTCTCATTAGCTTCTTTACCTTGCTATCCAGAAGCCCCCGCACCACCACCACCACCACCACAGGGAGCCTGAACCTAATACCCCCAGGAGGATCTGAGTGACTTGGGGCAGGATGCTCACGGTCCTGTCCTCAGGGATGCAACTGTTTGCTTCGAGGAGGGCTCCTGGAGAAACTAAGCTGGGTAAAGATCACTGGGCAGCTCTGGGTAGGGAATGTGACACAGCAATTTGGTCTACGTGGGGCCAGGAATTTCCACTGGGAATAGCAAGGCAGCAGACCAGGGGATGGTGTGGGAGGTGGCCAAGGATGGTAGATAGAATTGCTACATAAAATACAAGACACCCAATTAAATATGAATTTCAGATAAACAACAAATAATTTTTTAGTATTTGTCCCAAATATGCCATACTTATACTGAAAAAAAATTTGTTGTTATTTGAATTGCAAAGTTACCTGGCCATCCTGTAATTTGCTAAATCTGGCCACCCAAATGTTGGGGTAGATAACTAGGCGATGGTGTAGCAGGAGATTAGGGGATTGTGGGCAGCGGACCAGGCTAGACTCACCTGGGCCTCTGAGCTGGGCCTCTGTCCTCAGGGGTTTCGCAGAGTTGTAGACTGAGGACCTGTTTCCTATCCAGGCCAATTTCACGGGACTTGTTTCCGCCTTCCCTAAGGTCTCAGGGAAGACACCTTCCCTTAGCTTCTCCCATTGCCACTCCCTCCCCCAGAGTCTTCAACCTTGGCAGGGAGACAGAGCACAATCTCCTCCCACCCTGTGGCCACCAAGCACAAGCACGCAGAATCTCTCTGTTTGAAGGGCTTTACAAAGACCAGCTTTGGAGGCACACTGGCCTAGGTATGAACCTGAACTTAGTCGCCCTCTAGCTGGCCATCATAGGCATGTAATTAACCTCTCTGTGCCTCGATTTCTGCGAAATGGTTAAAAAGAGAACCAACCTATTGTGATCATCTAGTGGGTCAATGTTTACAAAGCTGATGGAACACAGCACTCAATAAATGATAGCCTAAACATTCCAGCCGGGTGCGGTGGCTCACACCTGTAATCCCAGCACTTTGGGAGGCCAAGGCATGTGGATCACAAGAGATTGAGACCAGCCTGGCCAACATGATGAAACCCCGTCTCTACTAAAAATACAAAAAATTAACTGAGCGTAGTGGCGGGTGCCTACTCGGGGAGGCTGAGGCAGGAGAATCGCTTGAATCCGGGAGGTGGAGGTTGCAGCGAGCTGAGATCGTGCTACTGCACTCCAGCCCGGGCAACAGAGTGAGACTCCATCTCAAAAAAAAAAAAAAAAAAAAAAAATTCCTAAAGCCCACAGGGAACCAGGAAGGGGATAATAAAAAAAAAATTAACATGGAGAAGTGACACAGGTACCAGATTCTTTCAAAGCTCTCTCTCATAGCCATTATCACTCTTTCAGGAATAATGGAAAACATCAGTCCTGCATTCCCCTTTTACATCTGAGAGCAGAGCTCACTATATCATCTTTGCTCTTTCAAATCTCTCCTTTCCCAGGATCACTCTATCCAGCATTAGTCCAGATGGAAAGCTATGAATTGGAGTCCATTCCAATTTTAGGGAGTCAGGTGGGGAGTGTGCATCTCAGGGAGACCACATGGGAGGCTCTTCATTCATTCCACAAATGTTTATTGGGTCTCTCCTGTGTATACTGGAGACAGACAAGTGAATGAGACAGAACTTGCCCTTGCCCGCAAGGAACTTACAATCTAGTTGAGAATCTCATTTCATTCATTATCTCTCCCAACCCTTATTATCTTCACTTGGATGGTTCAGAGAACAGGATGGCGAGTTGGTTAAAATCAGAATGCCGACTCTATCAACTGGAAGTGGCTTTGTAGAGAGCCATGTTTAGCCATGCTCCAGCTCAATGGGGAAAGGTTTTGTGATGATTAGTGATGTCTGCCATGGGTGCAGGAAAGAGAAGTGGCACAGATGTTCCACTGATATGCACATCAAGCCTTTCCTTGCATTTATATCCTGGAAGAAAAGCCCACAACTTGAATCTCTTTAGGACTATGAATCCAAGCCTGGTGGGTGGAGTGATGAAGAGCTTCCCCACCCCTGGGGAAGGTGAGTCTTCAGAGCCGGCAGACCTAAGTCCCAGAAGAGGAAAGAAATAGACATGAGACGGAAGAAAGGTTGCAGTTGGGCCCCTGAGTGGCATGCTGACAGACAGGAACAGAGTTCACCAGATAATGAGAGGAACCTGGCAGTGAGAAAAGCCCAGTGACAAGTGATACCTCTGTCCCCACTTCCCATCAAGCTTCTCTAGCTGGGAATGCCTTCCATGATGATGGGTGTTCTGCTGACCCCGGGATGACAGATACGATTGCAGCAGATGGCCCTGGGTCTGCTTGGCTAGGAAGGTGAGTTCAGGACGTAGGCACAGAAGCAGGGCACCTTCCTGGTACCTGAAATAAATTTTGGGCCTTGCCATTAAAACTCAGGGATCCCAATTATACATGTTCACGTGGGTTTTTAATACTCACACCAAAGGGAAGATATTCTTATAAGTGGGAGAGAACTTTGAAATCATCTACTCCAGGGTTTCTCAACCTTGGCACAATTGATATTTTAAACCAAATACTTGCTTGTTGTTGGGGCACACAGAGCCTGTGCATTGGGGGCTGATCAGCAGCATCCATGGATGATAGTAGCACTGCATACTCCCTCTCATTGTTACAACCCAAAACACCTCCATCTCCAGATGCTACCAAATGTCCCCAGGAAGCAAAGTCACCCCTGGTTCAAAACCATTGACTCATATCATCTCAATCTATGGATAAAGAAACTGAGGTCCAGAAAGGTGATCTGCCCAAGGGACATTTAGTATGTTCTTTGGTGACTCTCCCTGGAGAATTCTCTTTTTTTTTTCCTCCTTCCGTCCCTCCCTCCCTCCCTTCCTTCCTTCCTTCCTTTTCTTTCTTGAAACAGGATCTCATTCGGTCATCCAGGCTGGAGGGTAGTGATGCGATCATAGCTCACAGCAGCCTCGACCTCCTGGGCTCAGGTGATCCTTCTGCCTCAGCCTGCCAAATAACTGGGACTATAGGCATATGCCACTACACCCGGCTATTTTTTGTATTTTTGTAGAGATGGGGTTTCGCCAGTTGCGCAGGCTGCTCTCAAACTCCGGGGCTCAAGCAATCTTGCCTCAGTTTCCCAAGGTGCTGGGATTACAGGCATTAGCCAGTGTGCCTGGCCTATGAGCCACCATGCCCAGCCCAAGAATTCTTCTAATAACACCCCACACAAAAAGAAAGGGTCTTATAAATCTGCACCTAGTGAGATCATACAACTTTTGCACAGCTATATAAAACCTTTTAGAGTTAGCCTACATTTAATTGGAGGAGGGCTCTGCTTCTGTCCCCTCTCCTGGGGGTACTGGGTCTGGGGCCTTTTATGATGTTACTTCCCACTCCGACCTTCCTGGAATCTGGTTTAGAACAGCGTGTACCAGGTTTTGGAGATAGAAGCACTGTCACTCTCAGCTCCCATGGCAGTGCCACTGACTTGAATGTCAGACTTTATAGATCTTGGTATTGAAGGAAGACGAAGGCCCTAAGTTTCATCTAGAGAGGAAGAGCTCCAAGGTTGGTAGCAGATGAGCTATCTCAGGGACAGGTAAGGTGATGGAATAAGAAATGTGGTGGGCTGTCCATTTCACCAATAAAACTTATTTTCTTCTTTCTTAAAGAAAAGGACTTCCCAATGCTAATTTGTTAGAGCCCAGAGTTGCCCGTGGCATTAAAAGTGACACAGGGAATAGCATTACATTTCTATTATCTTCCTGATGAGGGCATCAAGACCTGCTGCCACTATGCTATTTCACATTTCCAGCTAAAAAGCAAGTGATTTCAAAGGCATTTGGCTGGCCCTGAACATTTTTAATGATGTGTGTTCTTTCTTGACTTCACTTACATTATCACCCCTATCAAGTAAGCCTAAGTCCCTGTGATTATTGGAATGGTGAAAACAGATGGCTAAATTTAGATTTCAGCGGGATGTGGGGTGGAAGGTAATGCTGAAAGCAGAGGCTTCAGAAGACAGTTTATATGTCCTTTGCAATTTGGTAAAATCTGAGTCTCTGATAATGAAAAATGTGTGGGTGGTATTGGTATATACATATGACCCGGCTCTCAGCACTGTTGAGAACTTCTGGGGGCAACTGTCTGTTATCAACTCACTTTTGCAGTCTTCCCCTTGGAGGTCCATGTTTGTCAGTCTTTAGTTTGTTTTTGGCTTGGTGACATGATAACACTATTCCTGCATGAGATACTAAGCTCCTGGGGCTGTTCTAAGATGTGTTGAATACAAAATGTCCTGCTCTCTCTGCCTGAAGATGATGCTCTTGCATTTAGATGCCCTATAGGACTAACACATGCCAATGAGCCTCCTAAGAGATTGATGGTAAATCAGAATTGTCATGAGAAATAGAACCCAAACAGGCTGGACTGGATGGTCCTGAGGCAGAATGTGGGGCACAGGAGGTTGGTTTATGCTTTTGATGGTCAATATATTATGCCATGGGAGCTAGGTACCTATGTCTTCACTCCAGAAAAAGTCCTGCCAAGAAGTCCAGGTACCCATGAGGACTAGGCAGGGCTCCCTCTCCTTCTGAAAAAGCTGCAGACACTGAAATTCTCTTTCTCTCTCTGGTCCTGGTGTCCTGTTTGCCTGAACACCATGAAAACCCAGCTATTTCTATTAACCCATTCTTCACGTATAAAGGTCACAGAACACTAAGGTCCTTTTTTTTTTTTTTTTTTTTTTTGTATAAATTGAAAGGATATAAGTGCAGCTTTTTTTACATGGATATATTATATAGTGGTGAAGTCTGGGCTTTTAGTGTAACCTTCACCTGAATAATGTACATTGTACCCATTAAGCAATTTCTCATCCCTCACTCCACTCCCACACTCCCACCCTTCAGAGTCTTCAGTGTCTATCATTCCACACTCTGTGTCCAGCTGTACACATTATTTAGCTCTCACTTATAAGAGAACATATGGTATTTGAATTTGTTTCTGAGTTTTTTTCACTTAAGATAATGGTCTCTAGTACCATCCATTTTGTTGAAAAATACATGATTTCATTCTTCTTTTTTTTTTTTTTTTTTGAGGCGGAGTCTCTTTTCACCCAGGCTGGAGTGCAGTGGCGTGATCTCAGCTCACTGCAACCTCCACCTCCCGGGTCCAAGTGATTCTCCTGTGTCAGCCTCCTGAGTAGTTGGGACTAGAGGCGTGTGCCACCATGCCTGGCTAATTTTTTGTATTTTTAGTAGAGACGGGGTTTCACTGTGTTAGCCAGAATGGTCTCGATCTCCTGACCTCATGATCCACCCGCCTCGGCCTCCCAAAGTGCTGGGATTACAGGGACATCCAGCTGATTTCATTCTTTTTTAAGTGGCTGAATAGTATTCCGTGGTATATACATATCACATTTTCTTTATCCAGTCCTCCATTGATGGACACTCAGGTTGATTCCCTATTTTTGCTATTGTGATAAACATACAAATGCAAGTATCTTTTTTATATAATGATTTCTTCTCCTTTGGGTAGATAACCAGTAGTAGAAGTGCTGGATCAAATGGTAGTTCTATTTTTAGTTCTTTGAGAAATAGCCATACTGTTTTCCATAGAGGTTGTACTAATTTGCATTCCCACCAATAGTGTATAAGCATTCCTTGTTCTCTGCATCCTCACCAACATCTATTTTTTTGACTTTTTAATAATAACTATTCTGATTAGTATAAGATGATACTTCATTGTGGTTTTGATTTGCATTAAAACCTGATGATTAGTGATGTTGACCATTTTTTTCCTATGCTTCTTGGCCATTTGTATGTCTTCTTTTGAAAATGTCTATTCATTTCCTTTGCCCACTTTTTAATGGGGTTATTTGTTTTTTGCTTTTGTTGTTGTTTGAGTTCCTTGTAAATTCTGGACATCAGTATCCTACTAGATGCATAGTTTGCAAATATTTTCTTCCATTCTGCATGTTGTCTGTTCACTCTGTTGATTATTTCTTTTGCTGCGCAGAAACATTTCAGTTAAGTTCTAGTTGTCTATTTTTGTTTTTATTGCTTGTGCTTTTGAGGTCTTAGTCATGAATTCTTCGCCTAGACCAATGTCCAGAAGAGTTTGCCCTAGGTTTTCTTCTAGTATTTTTGTAGTTTCAGGCCTTACATTTAAGTATTTATCCATCTTGAATTGATTTTTGTATATGGTGAGGGACAGGGGTCCAGTTTTATTCTTCTGCATATAGCAATCCAATTTCCCCAGCACCATTTATTGAAAAGGGTATCCTTTCCCTCGTGTATATTTTTGTTGACATTTTCAAAGATCAGTTGGCTGTAGGTATGTGGCTTTATTTCTGGGTTTTTAAATTCTGTTCTATTGATCTTTGTGTCTATTTTTATGATCATGCCATGCTGTTTTGTTTGCTATAGCCCAGTAGTATAATTTGAGGTCAGATAATGTAATGGCTCCAGCTTTGCTATTTTTGCTTAGGATTGCTTTGGCTATTTGGGCTCTTTTTAGGTCTCATATGAATTTTAGGCTTGTTTTTTCTAATTCTGTGAAAAATGACAATGGCATTTTGATAAGGATTGCACTGAATCTGTAGATTGCTTTGGGCAGTATGGTCATTTTAACAATATTAATTCTTTCAATCTATGAGCATGAGTTATTTTTCTATTTGTTTATATCATCTACAGTTTCTTTCATCAGTGTTTTGTAGTTTTCCTCATTGGGATTTCATTCTTTTTCATGGCTGAATAGTATTACCTCCTTGGTTAAATATATTCCTAGGTAATTTTGTTTTGGTGGCTATTGTAAATGGGATTGTGTTCTGGATTTGCTTCTCAGCTTGAGTTTTATTGGCATATAGAAATGCTACTGATTTTTGTATGTTGATTTTGTATCCTGAAATTTTACTGAATTTATTTATCAAATCTAAGAGTTTTTCGGAGGAGTCTTTAGGGCTTTCTAGATATAAGATCATATCATCAGTGAACAGAAATAATTTGACTTCCTCTTTTCCAATTTGGATGCCTTTTATTTCTTTCTGTTGCCTGATTGCTCTGTCTATGACTTCCACATTAAGTTCTTAATAACGTTTTAGTCCTAAGGAAGCTCCTTATGTTCCTGGGTTGGTTCTGGGAGTGTTTTGAGACCTCTCTACCACCAGTGCAGACTCTGAAATTTGGATGACTCCCTCAGAAAACTCAGGGCATCCAGAGAACTTAGAGACAACTAGTTTTGCTACCTGCTCTACTCCTAGGTGAGTGGCTTTATCTATAAGTTCCAGGGCACCTCCCTACAGACACCACTCACCCATATCCAGTGGGCATGTGCTTTGAGCTCTTCCCCCAGAATGAATTTGAGTGGTTTCACCCACATTCCTCAATGCTCCTTAGCCTCCCACTGTGACCAGGAGCACATAGTTCCACGATTTGCTGGAGAGGGCCAGGGTGGCCATCAGTGGGCAGGGAGGAGCAACACAGTTCAAATCCACAGCCCAAACCTGGTAGCCAATTCTCTGGTCAGTTTTTGAGTGCCAGGCTCGGCATTAGTGTCAGCGGAGGGAAGGAGAGATGATAACCCAGGGTCCCTGTTCTTTCCAGACTCTTCGTCTCAAAGAAGAGACTGACACAGAGATAAATAACTCTCACAGAAGGCAGACTGTTTTGTTGCAGTACCAATAGAATGCCAAAGTGTCTCCACTAAACCATGAGCAGAAACTCATGATTTAGTGAAGGTTTAGTGTTGTATTTATCTGCTTCCTTAGCACCAAGCCTAGGGTCAGGCCCATATCTATGTACAATAAATGAGTAAAGGAACCAGTTGAGGAAACACACAGCACTTTCTCTCTAGGGACCACACCAGGTCAATGAAAGGCACTCTGTAGCTCTAACTAGATGCCCTCTTTCAGCTCCTGGGTCCATTTTTCTCCAGGAAACATTATATGCAGTTACAGAGGTGAAGCTTTCCTCCTTCCTCTCCTTGCTCAGCTTCTTAATGGTCTTTCATTCTGCCAAGGCCAATTGTCAGGGGAACTGCGGAGATTTACATAGACACCACAACCAACTCCAGGACTATCCCTTGGAGACTTGGGAGTGAGCATTTTTATAATACAAGGAAATCAGATTACATTTAGATAAATGAATTTTAGGATGAATTTACTGCATGCAAAGGACAGAAAAGCAAACCAAAATGAACAAGGTAGTCATTGTAAGGTTCTAAGACAGCTCATGGAAATAAAGTGCAGCCAGTATCATTTTGAAAATTGCATCTGGGAAATCTGAACTGTTAGGGCTCAAGGTATCCTCTCTCTGTCTCTCTCTCCCCAACCCCTCTTTTTCTCTTTTCCTCTCTCACCCTAACTGTAAGATACCTATTCACTTTCCCACACCTCCAATCATGGATTATTATGAATGAGATGTCATGATTATGAGTGGCTAAGTCTTCTGTCTCCTCAAGAAAACAGCACTATTGTGTGACTACAGCATCCTATGGAAAATTTCAATCTTATTATAACCTTAAGAGCTCTGGTTTCATAGCCATCCAAGCCCTCTTTGAAATGACTTATAGTCCCTCTCTTTGATTCTCTTTCTCTGGGGCCTCTATGGTGTCTCTATGGTCTCATCTGTTCATACATTTGGGCCATTTTTCTCTCTGCAGCTTGTTCAAGAAGCATCTCTGCCTCTTAATGACTTCAGCCTGTTTACAGCATTGATTGTAGGTAAAGTTCCCAACCCTCAGTAACCTTTGAGCTCTGATTGCATTCTGGCTGTGCAACACATACTTGAAATTCTCAAGAGGGTGAATCTGATTGGCTGCTGACCAGCCAATAGATTGTTCAACATTGAGACAGGATCTGATTCTGGTCCAACCAGCTGTAGCTGGATGGTCACATAGAACACATAAGGCAGTCCAGCTGGTCCCTTCAGTAGGGCTTACAATCCAAGACAGATCACAGAAGAAGATGGAGTGGGCCAGGTACCCCAGAACAAAATTACTATGTTAGATCAGTTTCGAGGTCATCAGAGGTCCACAACTTTAGGGAAAATTGTGGCGGGAAGGGGGGATCTGTCCATCATGGTGTGGACAATTTAGAGGAATATGGGGTAATTATGGGTGAGTGTGTGTTATAACCTAAGTGAGTCTTAGCCTTTCATGTGTGAACGGAGCCTCCTCCTCCTCCTCTTTCAGATGCTTTTCAGAGTCACTGTACAGTTGGCAGCAAGAGGGAAGATTCCCAAAGCATGCGATGGGGACAGTCTCCTCCCCAACCTCACACCTCAACCCCCTTCTTCCCCACCCTGCAATAGAAACAGCCCCCACATGATTGTTTGCTTCCTAGCAAAACTGGACCTAAATGTTTCCAGAGGCAGCTAGCCCACTTTTTGTTGGAATGGCCTTCTAAAGAATGAGAAAGTTGTCTGCTGGCACTGAACTCACAAGCTTAAGCCCCTGTAATCAGAGGCTACACAAGTGCAGGTATTTGGGATAGGAATAAACCAGTCCAAACAGATCTGGGTTCACATGAGTCTTGCTTCCCATACTTAGCTTTTTGCTCTTTAAGAGAAATTTTCTAGACTAGATTTTTCTAATGAGCTGCCAGGATTCAAAACTACTCTCAAGAGTCCAGAGACTTGGGTTCCAGTTTTAGCTCTACTACTAACTAGCAATGTAACTGTGGGCTATCCCTTCCCCACCCTAAGCTTCAGATCTCTCCCCTGTATAAAGAGGGAATTTGGAGTAGATGATCTTTAGTGCTCTTTTCTTCTTGACCTTCTGTTATCCAGCTTTCACCCAACCACACCATCAGTGCTCAGCTATACTCACCTCCAGGAATATGCCCTGAACTCTCACAACCTTCCCACCTCTGAAGGTTTAACCTCTCTTTTCTCTTTGCTCAGTTTCTCCAGGGTCTGAGTGGCATCTAGCCCTTGCCAGTTCACACAAGGAGAATTGCATGCCTTTGACTCTGGAGAGTCATTCCTTGTTTGTTTGTTTTCTATTTCTACCCTCTCCAGAACTGTCATCCTCAGGATCCTTCCATTGGCTTCCAAGCCTTCCTGAAAAGATCTTTCAAGAGGGTTCCATTCAGCCCCCCAGGGTCTAAATCTACTGAAGAGCTGATCTTCCACATCAATAGACTCCTCCAATGTCCTGGAATGTGTACCTCTGAATTGAGGCCACCGCAGAGCCAGTCTGCAGGGGCTGAAAAATGCAATGCAACTGAGGGTAGGCCAGGCATCCTGTGTTCAGACCTCAGGCCCTGATAGGCTGCTCACCTCTGATGCAGTGTGGTTGGGTGAGAAGAGCCAGGCCCACTTTGGAGGCAATCCCTTCCCACCTTTGTAGCCTTGTTTCCCTTGCACATACTGCTTCTATTTATCTTCCTCACAACCAGCTCCCTTGCACCTGTTTGTTCCTTTCTTGAAGGTCATTCGCTCAGCCTCCTGGTTTGTGCTCACACCCTCCAGTCAGCAGCTTATCTCCCTAAAGAAGTTCAGTAGACACATATGGGGACAACTTGTAAGACTCGCAGTGCCTATGTGGACAGGGTCATCAGGCTGCCTCTAAGTCCACCCTGAGATTATTAGTATAGCCTCATCCAACTCCTTAGCTTTGGTTTGATCTTCAGGCAGATGCAACTGTTTTTCATGGCTGTTCCCTCTCTTAATCACGCAGTCCTTAAATCTTTCCAGTAGCTTGTTCCCTGAGGGATCTGCTGACCATAACTTGGTACTGGAGGGGAAGGTCCTCTCTGCACTCAGCTTATTTCCAGAGGAATGAGGCCAATGCAGCAGGCAACATCCAAACAGAAAGGACCCAGAGAGGAGAGTCTGAGGGCGGCATGACTTCAACAAGGGGTGAGGACAGAGGTAGATCAGGAACTGCTCATGACCAAGGGAAGCCAGTTGGACGTCAGTGTTTTTCCAGGTGAGAAGGATGGAGCATCAGTAGCTCTGTCCTCTAGAAACTGCCAAGCAACCTAGAAAGCTTCATGTGTTCATTCATACATGTGTTAAAGATATATTGAGCTCCTACCCTGATATATTCTGTGTAGGCAATATAGAAATAAACAAATCCCATTTCCTGCCTTCTAGGACTGCCACTTGAGAAAAAGCAGCACAAAAATAGATCACAAAAGTGCCATGTAACACATCTTTAGAACGGAGGGAGGTTGGAATGGGGAAACTGGCAATACCTGACATTGTAAAAATGCAAAATAACTGGATCTGTCACACACTGCTGGGAGAAATGCAAAATAATACAGCCACTTTGGAAAACAGTTTGGCAGTTTCTTAAAAGTTAAATATATCCTCTTGCCTGAGATCTGGTAACCAAAAAAAAAAAGTTAAATATATACTTACCTTACAACTCATAAATCCCGTTCCTAGGTATTTACCAGGAGAAATGAAAACATATGTTCACATAAAAATTCTACATGAATGTTTATAGCAGCTTTATTCATAATTGCCCCAAACTTGAAACTCTAATGTCCTTCAACTGGTGAACTGATAAACTGTGGTACATCCATACTTCAGAATACTACCTAGCAATGGACTACTGCTGCTTGCAACAACATGGCTGAGTCTCTCTGAGTGAAAGAAGCCAGACTCCAGATTTCATTTATGTAACATTCTGGGAAAGGCGAAACCAGAGGGGAGAAAAATAAAACCACCACAGATTAGATTGGTGGTTGTGAGAAGCTGGCGATGGGGGAAGTTGTTGGCTTTAAAGGTATATGAGAGAATGTTTTGGGGTGATGGAATTGTTCTGTATCTTGATTGTGGTGGTGGTTACTCAACTGACGTGTCTGTCAAAAATCTTGAGTTGTATTTTACTTGGTGTAAATTGCACTTTAATAAACCTGAATGAAAAAAACAAAATACCAGGCTACAGGAAGGCCCAGGGAGATTTGCTTTCTGAAAAGATGGCCCTGTCACAGACTGATGGGTTCTTCTTGCCTGCTGCCCTGAAGAAAACAATGAGAACAGCAGGTTGTTGCAGCAAAGAAAGAGCTTAATAATCTCAGGGTAGGCCGGGCGCGGTGGCTCACGCTTGTAATCCCAGTACTTTGGGAGGCCGAGGCGGGCGGATCACGAGGTCAGGAGATCGAGACCACGGTGAAACCCCGTCTCTACTAAAAATACAAAAAATTAGCCGGGCGTGGTGGCGGGCGCCTGTAGTCCCAGCTACTCAGAGAGGCTGAGGCAGGAGAATGGAGTGAACTCGGGAGGCGGAGCTTGCAGTGAGCCGAGATCGCGCCACTGCACTCCAGCCTGGGTGACACAGCGAGACTCCGTCTCAAAAAAAAAAAAAAATAAAATCTCAGGGCCAGCCACATGAGCAGAACGGGAGAAACTTCTCAAGCCTGTCTTCCCGAGAATTCCAAGGCTAGGGTTTCTTTTTTTTTCTTTTCTTTTCTTTTTTTTTTTTTTTTTCTTTTGAGACAGTCTCTTGCTCTGTCTCCCAGGCTGGAGTGCAGTGGCGCGATCTCGACTCACTGCAAACTCTGCCTCCCGGGTTCACGCCATTCTCCCGCCTCAGCCTCCGGAGTAGCTGGCACTACAGGCGCCCGCCACCACGCCTGGCTAATTTTTTGTATTTTATTAGAGATGGGGTTTCACCGTGTTAGCCAGGATGGTCTCGATCTCCTGACCTCGTGATCTGCCCGCCTCGGCCTCCCAAAGTGCTGGGATTACAGGCGTGAGCCACGGTACCCGGCCAAGGCTAGAGTTTCTTAAAGGCACTCTGGCAGCCAGGGGGCTGGAGAATTGAAACAATTGATTGACAGGGGATAAGATCACAGGGGTGTCTAAAGCTGCCTTTGTGCAGCTGAGTCAGGTACTGGGAGGGGGTCTCAAGACCAGGTGGCATCTATCTCTTGGTCTGCCAAAATGCCAAATCTGAAAAAAAATCTCAAAAATATCTCAGATACATATGGGGAAGTTCTTTAGGTTTCACAATAGTGATGTTATATAGGAATAGCTGGGGAAGTTATAAATCTTGTGACCCCTGCTTACATGACTCGGGGGTAGTAAAAAACTTCTAGAAAAGCATGCTAAGTCATGGCAGGTTATTGCTTAACTATGCCTATTCTTCAGCAAAGTTAGAGCCCTTACCATGATTCTAACCATGTATTACGAATGCGACTTCAATCTCTGAACAAGGAAGGGGCAGTTTTTCTGGCCTCAAAGTTTAACTGTAAACCAAATTCCTCTCATAGTTATATTGGCCTCCAGACTAGAATAAGCAAAAAACCAATTTAGCCTGTGAGGTTAGAAGCAAGATGGAGTCTGTCATGTTAGATTTCTCTCATTACTTATAATTCTGCAAAGGCGATTTCAGTCCCTTCCTGGTGGTGAGATACATAGGAAGTGGGGCAAGGAGGATTAAGAATGACAGAATGTAGAGGTTCGCATCTTGCTAAAAGGAACAGAATAAGATGATGGCTAAGGGCATAACCTAATCCTAAGAGAGGCTGAAATGAAGTTTTGCTGGCCAGGGAAGGAAGCAGGAGCCGGATTGTAAATGTACTTAGGAGTGTGTTCATGTGGGCGGTGGAGGCATTGGGGAGTGGTGCTATCTGGAATGTACGGATTCCAGAAGGACATGGAGGCAGCGGGGAATAAGGACGGGCCTCGTATCAGCTGAACTGAGGTGTGTGCAGCACAGCACTGAGCCAGAAATGTACTTAGAGCCTCAGAGTCTATTCATTCCCTTCAAAGAAAACCCCTAGACAGCAACTGCAGTATAAATAGCAAACAAGCAAGCACATGGTTCTTCTGCATCAGAATGGAGAAAAGACGTTGATCCTGAGCAACCTGGAGTCCAGCAGCAGCCCTCCTGGGCCCCAAACCTTCCCAGTGGCCTCCTCAGCTCTCAGAAAACCAGCACCTTTCTCCCCAGCAAAGCCCACCCTACACAGACTGCTGAGCCTCCCACAGCCAAACAAGTGATGAATAGCAGCCCTCTCCCCAAGGGTTCTGCCCACAGAGGCGTGCGGGCTGCTTGCTAAATGGAAGCTACAAGACCTCTGGGGCTGCTGCAGTTTGTTTTGCTGCAGGCCTCTTGGCAGATGGTGTTTGCTCAGCCTGCCCTGCAAGCCAAAGTGAGAAAGTGGGATGCTTCAAGAGAACTAACCAGGAGCTAAGAAGGAGACATCAGAAGGGGCAAACATCCCCATGACAATGGCACATCAAGGCACGGGGTCCTCGGGTCCGGGGAACACAGACTTTAGGTCTCTCCTGGTATTCGGGTCCCTTGGGGTACAGATGCCAAGACTTAAGGGGAAGAAATGGGGCCCATACAAAGAGCAAGGGGGCCAATCTGGATCAAGAATGGCAACAACAGCTGTGGCAGACTTATAGCTAGGAGCAGAGGCTGGAGCTAGGCTGGGTTCAAATCCCAGCCCTGCCACTTAAAGGTTCTGTGCCCTTGGGCAAGTCGTTTTACCTTTCCTCATTAGCAAAATGAGAATAGTAATAGTACCTACTTCCTAGGGTTGCTAGGGAGACTAAAGGAGTTATCCCATGTAAAGTGCTTAGAGCAAGCCTGGCTGTTCCTAAGGACTCAGTGAGGGTTACCAACAATGAATGACTGTTTCCAAAGGGTCTTCCAAAAACCTTGCAGAAATTCTTGCTGCTTCTCATTAGGAAAGTGATGTCCTGGGGCTGGATTTATTTGTGGGACCAGGTTTGTTCTGCACTCCAGCCCCTCCCCTCCTCACTCAGCCCTCCAGGGTGCAGTTTCGGTGTTGCGGCTATGAATGTTTCAATATCTGATCCTTTCAGTCAACTGAGACTCTCTCCCCATGCAACAGTGTTGGGATCTGGTTACCACAAAGCCAGTACTTGTGTCCCTGATCAGCCACTTAACTTGCTTCCCTGCCCATTATTTCTCCCCCTATTTCCAGAGCTGTCGGGGGAATTGGGTGAATTGTACTTAAGCAGAAGAATGCCTGCATCTATTAAATGCTCCACAGTGCCTCTTCTGCCTTCATGGAACTTCAAGAGGCAGTCCCCACCCTGTCCCTAGCTCTCTATGTGAAAAGGGAACAAGGCTACATGTATTTCTTTTGTATTCCTGCGGTGCTCTGAGGTTTAGTGTTATCACATGGTAGGCTGGGTCTATCTGTGCTGAAAGAATGAATGAATGAACAAATGACAAACAAGGTAGGAAGGTAGGTGCAACAAGTCACTTGGGAGGGTCAACAAAGGAACCAAGGGCCTCTCTGGGGCTGGAGCACCACCAGCCCAGTTTCTCCGTGTTTTCAGGAGGAGAGGGTCTAGTGCTGGGCAGGACCTACCCTGTCCTACCCACCTCCAAGGGCCTCTTCCCTGGCTCTGAGTTCCTCTTCGGGGCCCCAGAACAGGCTCCCTGGTGCTAAAATGGAAGATGATGACTATTGGGCCTTTCTCTCCAAACCAGAGATGGTTAACTTTTTGACATAAGTACTGTTGTAATGCAAGAAACTCAAGCAGCCCAGAGGAGTGCAGAGTTCCTCAGTGTTGCCTGGGAACAGGGGCCTGGATGACTTCTTGGGCAGCCCTCTCTAAAAGCTCCTTTGGGAGCCCTCTTCTAGCAGCCTAAAACCTGACTGCTAGGGGCCATCCTCTGGGTGGGGAATATTTTATTTTATTTTATTTTATTTTATTTTATTTTATTTTATTTTATTTTATTTTATTTTATTTTATTTATGTTTTATTTCTGCTGCTGGAAACTCAGGGAGCCTGAGAGTTCTACTGTTCACTCATCAGCCACTTGTAAACTTATTTTTCCGAGGCTTCTAGCCTAGGAAGAACCTGAACACTATAAACGAGATCTTTCTCTGAAGATGCTCAGAGTGTGGGGGAAGGGACAGGGTAAAAGAAGTTACTAGTATAGCATCAATAAATTCTGTTTTGATTGCAAGTGGTTTTGTACTTTATTTTCTTTCACTCTCCCCCACCTTTTTTTTTTTTTTTTTCTGAGACAGAGTCTTGGTTCTGTTGCCCAGGCTGGAGTGCAGTGGCACAATCTCGGCTCACTGCAACCTCCGCCTCCCGGGTTCAAGTGATTCTCCCGCCCCAGCCTCCGAGTAGTTGAGATTACAGGTGTGTGCCACCATGCCTGGACAATTTTTGTATTTTTAGTAGAGATGGGGTTTCACCGTGTTGACCAGGCTGGTTTCGAACTCCCGACCTTAAGCCATCCGCCTGTCTTGGCCTCCCAAAGTGCTGGAATTACAGGCATGAGCCACTGCGCCCAGCCAGCTCTCTCCCTTCTTTCTCCCCCTCCTTCTCCAGAGACGAGTAGGGATCCCTCTTAGGGGTCTAAATAAAGAAAAATCTTGAGTTCCTTCCAGGAAAATTGCAGGCTCCTAGCTAGCCTTGAGAAGTAAATAAGCAACTTGGTAAGCAGGAAGGTAACAGTGGCTTAAAACAATAGCCAAGGAAGTTAAAGTCATGTTTGGTTCCCTTTAGAAACTAAAGATAACATCTCAACATATGTTCCTGAGTTGTTTTTCAGAAACCCGGACCCCTACTAAATGGATCTGCTGGCATATCGACCTCAGATAAGGGGGGACTAAGGACTGAACTCTGACCTCTGTTCTTTCTTCTAAAATTCTTCCTGAAGGGCTTGGAGGAGGTCATGCCCATGAGCCAGAGCTAATAATTCTTTTCTGCTTGCTTCCAAATTTTTAGACAAAGCCTCCTTAACCAATCACAAATCAAAAAAATCTTTGAATCCACCTATGACCTGTTCCTCTCTCCTCCACTTTGAGATGTCTTGCCTTTTTAGGTCAAACCAATGCACAGACTCTATGTATTGATTTATGACTTTGCCTGTAACCTCCGTCTCCTTGCCTTCAAAAACTCTTACCTGTAAGCCACTGAGGACTTCAGGGTTTAAGCATTAGTGGCCCAATTCTCCTTGCTTGGTGCCCTACAATAAATGCCTCGGTTTCTTTCATTGCAGTCCCAATGTCAGTGTTTGGCTTTACTGCCCGGGGCCAGAAGACACCTGTTCAGTTAAAAAAACACCTTTTCTCTTTTTTTGTATGCAAAGTCCCTTTTGGAATTCTTCAGTTGTACCAAGAATAACATGGGAAAGAGATTCCCCCACCCCATCCATTTGACCAGGGAGAATGGGGGAGCTTTGTACCCAGAGGAGAGAAAAAGCCCAGAGGTAGAGATGCTTGAGAAGGACTCTCCCCAAATGGAGACCCCCATTCAGCTCCCCCCCCTCACTGAAAGCTTGCTAGAGATTGTTTTTTTTTTAGAGAGGAAGGCTGGTTGCCTTCCAGGCCTCAATTTGTTCCCCAAAGTAGTCTTTCCCACGGGAAGAACTGTTTCTTATTCTATGTATAAAACTGGATTTTTGAACCTCTCAATCAGTCTCCCATATGAAATGTACCCTCTAAACTGGAGTCCTTTATGTAAGGGCCACTTTGAGCCCCAGCAACACTGTGGGTCAGATGATGACCCTGTTTGGAGTGGCGTACATATTTCTGGGTGTCTGTCTGTCTGTGTTGCCCAAACGTGCTCCTATTTAACCTTGATCATCCTTTCTGGCTGAAGGATGCCAAAGTGAATATCGGTCATTCTATCTCCAGCAGCAATCTTAGACAGCCAAGGAAATGTCAACCCTAGGAAATAAACAGCCCTAATATTAGCCTAGATGTGTGGACATGTTTCCTCAGCAGATGTGGGAAAAAAAAAAACCCTTAAATTCTCATGTATTTTTAAAGCATGCCTCATGCACCAAAATCTCCCAAGATGTCACTAAATGTATTTTGGCCCAGAACAGCTGTTATTACCGTATCTCTTACCCAAGGGATGAGCCAGCATCCAGCCCTCAGTTTCCTGGGCTCAGGATAGCTGGCTGTCCCCAAAACAGGTTGAAAAGCCCCACCACTGCTGACCCACATGTTCCCTTTGCCACCAGGCAGGCAGCCATTCTAGAACCACAGCACATGGCAACTCCCTCCACCACAGAAAAATGTGCAAGTGACAGATGCAAACAGGTCATGAAACAGACACCAGAGGTCATGCTGTCACCAATGAGCATTTCCTGACAGGGCCTGTGCACAGCATCCTCTGTTGTTCACAGGGCTATCCTAGGTGATGGGGTTACGCGGAGTCTCACCACAGATGCTCAAGGCTTGACAGGCGGGAAAGACAGGACGTCCTCATCACGACAAATGCTTATTATCAGTCCTGACTGTGCAGGTAAGCACTATAGGAAAGCCCTCAGAGGAGGAAAAGACCAAAAGGAGGGGGTGAGGGCCGAAGAAATGGGACCTAAGAAGTACCTTGTCACAAATCTAGACCTCCACTTAGTAGGGGAGAGGAAGGGCTTCTGGAGAAGTATTGGAGAAAGGTGGGTTTGACAAGGTTGATAGAGACAGTGAGGCAGAAGGACAGCTGTATTGCTAAGAAATTAGAGCTTATCCTATGGGCTTCTGGGAGCCAGAGTAGGTCAAGTAAATGGACCTTAAAATGTATGATACAAGAACTGGAAACTCCCTATTGGCCTGAACTTCAAATTCACTTTCACAAATGCAGCGGCTGCAGATCAAAGAGGTAGGCACTGGGGCAGGGTAGGGTTGGGGAAGTTAGGGAAGAGGAAAGGCACAGAAAGAAGAAGATGCAGTCACTGAGCTCCCAGTTGCATCAAAAGACAAAGTACTCCATAAGAAGCCAGAGGTTGGCTGGGTGCAGCGGCTCATGCCTGTAATCCCAGCGCTCAAGGATGGCTTGAGGTCAGGTGTTCAAGATAAGAAGCCAGAAGTCTAAGGCAGTATACAATAAGCATCACATAATTGCTATAGCACCCAGAGTCTGTTCTTTTAAGCAAACAAATATTTTTATAACTTTGTATTTTATAAGCATTTATTATATAATTATATCTTTATAGTTCTAATAAAATGGAATCAAAACATATGGCCTCATTCACAAGATTTTAAAATAAGGTAGAAAATTTTGTTTCCAATCCTTTTTTAAGTGTACAGGTATGAGAGATTTAAAGGTATTACAAAACAGTGCTTTGGGCAAAATTGTGTAATGATGGAAACATCTAAACATCTGTTTTCAAATGTTTTTTCCTTAGCATGTCATCAATTTTTAAAAGATAATAAAGCATCACCTTTAAAATGGAATGCTTGTTGTTTTGTATAAGAAAAACAAGTAACTTTTTAATTTTGATAAACCTTAAGTACTTGCCATGAGAAAATTGGTAAACCTTTATGGGAATCAAAAGACCTCCCTGGTCACTCCATATCCCATTTCAAAGTGTTATAAGAATTCTGTTATATTTTACAGACCTTCTTTTTATAAAATTAACATCATCAATGACAACACAGCATTTTGTGCACATATGGCTTTAACTTCTTTGCTGCCCAGTAAAGGAATATTAAGTGTGGTTCTATCTTTGTAACCACACCAGATCCCTCTTTTTATTCCAGTCAATACTTTTTCTATAAAGCGTTTTTATTAGGGAAGTCATTTACTCTTTTCCCACTCATCCTCCCTTTAGTGGCTCAAAAATAGTGCTTTATCATATAATTCTCGTATTTCAACAAAATGTAGCAAATCCCATTAACTGAGATGTTAGAAATCTCTATACTTTAAATCAAATATATAGCAGATTTCCTATCAGGCATACTTTGTCCTAATATTCATTTAAAATTTTTTCAGCAATGTTTTTTATGCATCTGTCAATAATGCCTGCTGACAAAAGATTGCATTTTTTATTGCCATATTGTTTTTCATGTCTTATTTCAGCCATTTTTCATGGTAGAAAAAGCAAGTGTTTCCCTAAGGGCATATGGCTTTTTGTGTTTTGCAATTACTAAGAACACTAAAGGATTCACGCATATGTTTATCATTAGATTTAATGAAATGTTAAATACCGGATTAAGCATTGTAATGACTTCAAGCATCAATGAAAAAATTGAGAAAGTTTTTCTTCATGGTCTAGATGCTTAATTTTTAAATATCTTACTAATTGGGAAATTTTCTGCTATCATTAGCTAATATCTCAAGACAAAAACTCTTAGGACAATATCCTTCATTAACAATAATAAATGGCAACCATGTTTCAGAGAATTGTTTTTGCTTTTTATTTATTTATTTTTTTGAGACGGAGTCTCGCTGCGTCACCCAGGCTGGAGTGCAGTGGCGCGATCTCGGCTCACTGCAAGCTCCGCCTCCCCGGTTCACACCATTCTCCTCCCTCAGCCTCCCGAGTAGCTGGGACTACAAGCGCACGTCTCCGTGCCCGGCTAATTTTTTGTATTTTTAGTAGAGATGGGGTTTCACCGTGTTAGCCAGGATTGTCTCGATCTCCTGACCTCGTGATCCACCCACCTCGACCTCCCAAAGAGACAATTGTTTTTTAAATGTTGCATTTTTCTGTCAACTTCTTTTCAGATCTGATTGGATTCTCATTGCTTTTGCCTTATAAAGTGGCTAACAAAGAACTTATAAAGAAAGAAAAGGGTCACCCCAGAAATATTCTTTTTGTTTTTTATGCTTTTACTATTGATATTATCTCCAACCCGAATTTCTTTGCAGGAATCTTTTAAAGACATTTGTTCATTTTGTGAAAGTTATATAGACACATGGTAGGCATTTGAAAAGATGTTGGTTGATTGAGAAAAACCTGAAACCTGATAGATGATATATTCATCATTTCCTCTTTTTTTCTCACACTATCTAGTCTAAGATCATCAATTCCTCTTTACAAAGTCCTAACATCTTACAGATCCCAAAGGATTTTCAAGATCTGCAATCCATGGGGCTTTCAGTGGGAAGCACCCTTATGCCCTAAATGGTTTGATAAAGAGAGGGAAAAGCCCCCCTGTTCCTAGTTCAGGAGGATCAAATTTTTAATTCTCAGGGACTTCTCAGCCAAGATGTATTTTCTTGTATTCCACATTGTCTCTTGAGAGGAGTAAAAACAATCCATGGTATTTTATTCTTCACTTTCCCCCATAGTGATAAATACAGATGAACAGTCAAAGAGCTCAGCCTCATCTGAGATGCATGCCCAGGCCTGCTGGGCGTTCTGCTGGGACAATGCAGCCTGGCCAGGTCTTACCTAAGAGGAAGTGAGCCTGAGGACAGAACCTGGACAGGAAATGCACATTGGTTGGCGAGTCTGCAATCACACAAAAAGGCACCCTCTTTGACAATCTTTAGGCATCACTTAAAATTGTATTTGGCTCCCTGTACTAGAAACCCAACCATGCTGGCTTACCCAAATGAGGCTTTTATTTGTGTCATGTAACAAGAAATCAGGAAGTAGATAGTCCAGAGATGTTGTCAAGAAAGTCAAGAAGAACCTCAGATCCTTCTAGCTCCTGCCCCACCATCCTAGCATAGAGCTTTCCTTTTCAGGAGTGTGAGACAGCTGCTTCATTCCCAGGCATCTCCTCCTCCAGGCAGGAAGAAGGGGAAGGGTGAGGCCAAATGCAGCCTCTTGGGCCTTTCTTTGCAGGCACACATACCCTTCCCAGAGCCCTGAACCTACATTTCAAGGTCCAGCACTGTGAACATCTGCAAGAGAGTCTGAGAGATCAGGTATCAACTGAACACATTACAGCCCCAAGTAAAATTGATGTCCATTTAGTAAGATGAAGGGGAGGAAAGATTCTGGAATAAGTAGCAATGTCTGGGCTCTTCTCATGAATTAAGCACCCATGCTTCAATTCCATATGGAATAGACTGATCCTTGCTTGTCCACCGTCCCCTCTCAAACACCTGTTCATCATGCCTTAGACAAGCAGCACACTGAGAGAAAGTGTTCCGGTGGGTTCCCCGTGTGCCCTAGTCACATGCTGAGCTGGCCTACGATTCATTCCTGAACAATTTCCTTGGGGACAGTAGGGGTCAGGATGCCTGGGCCCAGCCTTTGGCTTACTGTGGGGAAAAGGAGACTCCTCCAGGTCCTTGACCTACCTTCTGGGTGCTTGAGGAGGATACCTCCGATTCACAAATAAACAGAGCCATCTGTGACAGGCTGTGCAAAGGCTGAGCCTTACCCACAGAGCCACAGCATCCACCCCTGCTATTCAGCTCTGAGTCCAGATGGGCATGCAGCCCAGAAGCCCCTGAGGGCATTGGATTTCAGCGTGGAGAAGACCTTGTGTGGGAGGTACTCCCAGACAAGAGGAGATGGGAGCAGGAGGAGGGGAGGCTGAGGGCTGGGGAGCTGGCTGTGCATGAAGCTGTGATTCTCATCAGTGCCTTGGAGGATTCACCACTTCTGCTCCATGCCTCCTCATAGGGTGATATGGTAGATTTCATTCAAGCTGAACAGAATTGATATTTTGCTCAAATCCTGTTTTAAGAATTTTTGTGCCTTCCTCGTAAAAGCAGCATAGCCTAGGTGACTCTGGGCAGGGTTAATAGTCATCTGTGTGAATGATTTGAAGGAGGATGGATGGGTGTTTTTCTCTCATTGTGAAATCAACACATACACGCTGAAGAAAATTTAGAAAGTATAGAACAATTTTAAGAAGCAGGAAATGGCCAGGCACTGTGGCTTACCCCTGTAATCCCAGCACTTTGGGAGGCTGAGGCGGGCGGATCATGAGGTCAAGAGATCGAGACCATCCTGGCCAATGTGGTGAAACCTCGTCTCTACTAAAAGTACAAAGATTAGCTGGGCATGGTGGCGTGTGCCTGTAGTCCCAGCTACTCAGGAGGCGGAGGCAGGAGAATCGCTTGAACCCAGGAGGCGGAGGTTGCAGTGAGCCGAGATCACGCCACTGTACTCCAGCCTGGCAAAAGAGCAAGACTCCGTCTCAAAAAAAAGAAGCAGGAAACAAAAACCCTTCATAAATCTTAGGAGAAATACAAATCTAGATACAGATTCTAGATATATGAATAGTATCTCCATTTAGTGCCTAGGAAAGTGTCTATGGCAGAAATTTCTGGTTGCTCCCAATATCATTCTTCATTCCTACCACAAGCTCAAATCCATTTAGCATAGCAATGTGCCCAGGTAAAAGACAACATTTCTTAACCTCCCTTACTGGCAAGTGCGAAAGGATTATAAGTAGAACTTGGATGGGATTGCAGAAAGACTCCTAACGGGGCAGACAGGTCAGGCATGCATGTCATGTCCTTTTGTTCCTTTCTGTTCTCACTTTTCCTGCCTGAAATATGGATGTGATGGCTAACACACCAGCTGTAGTCTTGGACATTTTAGGATTAAAGCTGTGTGCAAAAGTCAGTGATGCAGAAAGCTAGAAGAAAGCTGCATCCCTGATGACTTGGTTAGAGCTGCCATACCAGCCCTGGAACACCTGCCTCTGGACTTTTTTTTTTTTTTTTTTTTTTGAGACGGAGTCTCGCTCTGTTGCCAAGGCTGGAGTGCAGTAGCGCGATCTCGGCTTACTGCAAGCTCCACCTTCTGGGTTCACGCCATTCTCCTGCCTCAGCCTCCCGAGTAGCTGGGACTACAGGCGCCCGCCACCTTGCCTGGCTAATTTTTTTTTTTTGTATTTTTAGTAGAGACAGGGTTTCACCATGTTAGCCAGGATGGTCTCGATCTCCTGACCTCGTGATCCACCCGCCTTGGCCTCCCAAAGTGCTGGGATTACAGGCGTGAGCCACCGCACCCGGTCCCTGGACTTTTTTTTTTTTTGCGGCAGGGGAGGGAATCAAACACAATTTATTTTAGAACTAGACAGGAAAGACTGAACTAAAGAAAAAGTTTTACCCTAAACTTTCCCAACTGACGTCTTCTGGACAGGCTCCATGTTATCAACTGTGTCAGTCACATCAGTGGCCTGTACAAATTGTGTAATTCAATTGAAGAGTCAAGTTTGCAAATAACAATCTTTCCATTCTCTGTGCTTTAGAACAATTCTGAAAACACATTTATTATGCTCCCAACCCATAACTGTTTAATTAGGTTTTTCTTCTAAAAATAACTTGGATCAAGAGAATCATTTACTTTATACATATTCAAAAACAGAACTCATTCATTTTCTTCAGTGTTCCATGGAGGGGAAAACTGGTCCAACCAAACAGATGTAGTAAAAAGTATGTTTCCTGTTTTGGCTTCTTTGTGTTAATAACCAGAGAAAATCCTTTGTTGTTTTCATCTTGGCTTCAACATAATGTATCAATATCCCTTTCTTCCTCTGATTCTTGACCTGGTATCCAACACTGATCTTTTATACTCAAAAAATGAGTATTTCAAAGCTTTGCAGTATCCTTCCTTCAAACACTGCAGAGGGGATTTTCCTTCCTGGACCACACAGTTGGACTGCAACAGACACACGCCCAGGTCCTCCTTCAGCTTGTCCTTGTAATACCGGGGCGTGACGGCGCTTCCCGTCCACTGCAGACTTGTCTTTCTTCCACTACAACCACTGTGACCGGGCCTGGAGCGAGCAAGGCCTCCGTCGCCTCTGGACTTTTATGAGTGAGACGTAAGCCCCTGTTTAAGTCATTGTGGTCAGGTCTTCATTAATCACAACTAAATGTAATTGTTAGCTGATCCACTGCCTGACACAGCGTGATGTCCAGTAAAAGCTGGAATATCTGGGAAGAGCTACGGGTGATGAGAAGACTGGGCAAAAGAATCTTGGCCTTGCTCCACTACAAGTTCTGAGTGACCAAGTTATGTGTTCTTTCGGGGCCTCAGTTTATTTTCTCTGAAGTGTGAGGGTCACAGTAAATATTCTCTAACAGATTCTTTGGGCTCATATCCCTCTGAATCTAGGGACTGGAGAGATCTGGGTGCTCTTCTGGTTCCACCCTTAATAGCTTTGTAACTGTAGGTGGGTTTCATAGCCTCTTGGAGCCTTGGGTTTTCATCTCGCTTGTCTAACATGTCAGGTACACAGGAAATGTTTGTCGAATGCAGGAGGAAAGTGGAGATCATGCCACCTGTCTTGGCTGCTTCCCCAGATGATAGCAAGAATAGGATAAGATGGTCCTGTACAGTGCCACCCAGAAGAGTGGGCTACTGTAATTCTAATGGCTGCAGGACTGACATGGCCTCCCCCAGCCTCCTGCAGAGCTTGTGTTCTAGGTGTTTGCCAGAACTAGCCTCTACTGCAAAATGGCCCTGCCACCTTCCTCCCTGAGCAGCTTCTAGACTGCTTCTTGGGTGGCCAAATCCCTTTGTGGAAGGAAGGGCCAGGAAGAGAACTAAAGCAGTCCACAGCAAGTGTGAGTGAGAAATAGAATCAACCCCTCCCTGAATGAAGTTCCAGAGACAGTGTCCTCCATCTTCTGGCTGACCCCTTCTGAGGGTGCCAGGGACCTCTGCCATCGTTTGCCTTCAGGAGAGAAAGCTGTGGCCATCTGAGAAGCTTCTTGATCCCCATTGGCCCAGAGCTCCACCTGTGCTGTTGTTTCCTGAGAGGAAGTTCGGTTGTCCTGGCACTCAGTCTCCATGGCAACCCTTGCTTTTGAGACACTGAATGGAAACTGCCTGGTATGGGGAGGCCAGTAGCAGAATACTGATTTGCCTGGGTGTCTGTAGCAATGACTGCATCTCAATACCTTTCCAGATACCCAAAGAGCTAAAAATACACCCGGCTCTGTCTAGGACTCTCCAGCCCCGCTAAGCATCTTAAAGTATATCTGTGCTGACTCTAACCTGCTAATATTAGTTATCTTTGGCAACTTGTGCCTGGGGACATGGAGTAGGGTGTTGAATGCAAAACTGCAGAGCCTAAGTGTGAAGGGGTGAGCTGGAGAGAAGACGGTGAAGTGAAGAGGACCTCCTGAGAGGAAACCAGGGGGTTCCAGGGGGACGGCCAACAGAGAGCACATTGAATCTTAACTCCCTGCAGAGCTCTAGGGAACTTGTTTGTCCAACTCCGACGATCTAGGCATTTGCTCATTTGCCAACCATCTATTAAGCACCTACTCTGCTCCAGGCTCTGTGCCAGGCACTGGGATTACAGGGGTGAATAAAAGAGAGTGTATGTTCCCTGCTCTCACCAGAGTTTACCAAATGTCTTAAATGAGAATCATCTCTGCAAGTCCAGAAATGCTATCTGTATATACTTGGATGTCTCCTATGCTATGCAGTGAGTTTCATCAACTTGAAGATTATTTTACTTATAATGTTGGCACCCTTTCCAGAACATAGTAGGTGGTGAGCTAATACGGAATTGAATGGAATGGAATGGACTGGAATGGCATTGCTACAACTGCTGTGGGCTGTTCTACAGCACTGCTGCAGCCTTCTTGTGGGCCTCCCAGAGGCTCTGGCTGGCTCTGCAAAGTATGTGCTCAGGCTGTAAGGTGCTGTATTTGGGATAGACCAGGTGACTGCTACACTGACACCTGCTGAGGGAGCTCAGTATAAGGTGATGGTTTGAATATATTCCTAGTCTCCTTGGCAGGATCTACAGACAGTCCTCCCCCCAACTCATCTCCTTGTTCCCGTAATCACTGCACATGTCATTCAATTAATTCTGCATTTCCCAGGGCAGGAAGCTGTACAGAGTTTAGAGCAAGCAGCCTATGCCAGGGCTGCTCTCAAAAAGCAGGTGTCACACACTCAGCCCCAGTCTTTAACTCCAACCTGGCCTCCTCCACATGGCAGATAAGCCACAAGATGGAGAAATGGAAAATGACCATGACTCTCTGGGGATGTTCTTGGATATGCAGTGGGTGCAATGAAGGAACATGAGGTGCAAATGATGCACTGAATCACATGAAGATGCCACAGTGACCCTGACCATCCTCCCAAGCCTCAGGGGTCAGATCCTGTGGCTGGCTGGTTGGCTTAGAGCAGAGAGAAGGGGCTGGTCTCCTGGATGCACCCAAATCCCGCAGGCTGTCTAGCTGAGAATGGGAATGGTTTCATGCAACCGAATCCTCCTTTCTGACAAAGCATCTCCAGATATGTCTGATGGGGGACATCCACAGCAGAGCTGCTTGGGGTTCCCTCCTGGAACCCTGCAGGCAAAACAACAACAGAAACGCCGCCCCCCCCCCGACTTCTGCCTATTTCTTCCTTCTCATGAAGAAGCAGTAGCAGGCCTCTGAGGGTTTTCCTTCCCCTTCCTGCTAGAGGAAGGATCCTGAGGGTACCTGGAGCTTGGTCTGCAACTGATCACCTGCCTCTATTGGTGGCTCTCTGCATGGCCGTGAAGTAGGGCGGGGGCCCTATAGACCCAAGAACCCCTGAGGAGAAATGGGAAAGGCCTCTCTTGACCAGGACTTCAGCCTAGCCAGGTGGCTAGACTCATTCAGAGCTTCACTTGAGATGCTTTCACCACCCCTGCCCTCTGACTTCTGCTGCCCTCAGAGCCAGTCTGATAACACCGTCAACAAGGAAGGCTCCCTTCTCATGGCTCTGTGGAAGAAGGAACAGTGGAGAAAATAAGCTGATTGGAACATGTTCCAAGAAACAGTTGATTATCTGTGGCCTGAGCAGAGGAAAGAGCCCTAGACTCAGGATCAGAAAATCTGGGTCCTGGTCCGGGTCTCCCACTGACCTTAGCTACAGCACTAGCCCCTCAGAGCCTGGACACCACCTCACACTGTTCTCAGGAGGATGCATCAAGACAGGGGACATTCAAATGCTTTGAACAATAACATACAGATGTGTGGAATTTATTCAACACTCTGTTTGTGGTTGACACTATGCTAGATGCTGTGGCAGATGCATGAATGTGGCCTCCACTGTGAAGACACTTGTAGAATCTAGAGTTGACATCTCAGGGCTGTAAGCAATGAGACATCTCTCATGATTGGTTGTTATTCTTTAGGGAAGACCAGAGTGGGCAGAAACAAGGCACACATGTGCAAAACAAGAAGATGCATAAACAGACAACAATGAAGTGCCCTCATGGTCAGTAAATGTGGTTGGAGATTGGAAAGGGGAGGAAGGGATGATCAGCATGGGGTCAGCATGGCCCCAAGTGCTAGGGAAGGCTTTGTGGAGGGAGCCATTGTGCATTGGACTGGGAAGATATACCAGCTTCAGAGAGTTGGCTGAGAAGATGGGGCTGGGGAAGAGTGTTGAGTGGAGGAGACCTAGCAAAAGCATGGAGGCCCCACTAAATATGGGGTGAGGGAATCAGCCTGCCTGGGAGAGCAGAGAGATAAGATCACAAACATACGCTGGGGAGTTGCTTGCCTTGGGCAAGCATAATTGGCCTATAATTAGCCTATCTGAGTCCCAATTTCTTCTCCTATCCTATGAAAAGTTGATAACAACACATACCTGAAGGGACTGTGGTGAGATTACAATAGATCCAAGCCATGGTTCTGCAACTCACTAGCTTCCTGACCAGACAAGTTAACCTAACTTCCCTGATGCTCAGATTTCTCATTTTTAGAGTGGAGATAATATCTCTTTTGAAGGATTGTGTTAGAATTGAATGAGATATGTAAAATATTTGGCACAGAGTAGATGCTCAATGAATGTGATATTGTACCAGAGCCATTCTCGGGAGGCAGGGCATCAGGAAGTTTCTGGAGCAGAGGGGCAGGGTTTCAGCTGAGCCATCCAACCTCTCTCCGGTGATCAAGGGAGAGCATTTCTGAGTGCTCTATCCAGGCAAGTTCCATCTGTGCTCAAGACAGCCAGTGGGAAGCTAAGCCTCTCTCCACCCTTCTCTCAGGCCTGAGCCAGTGAGTTAACCAGGCCCAACCACAGGTTTTGCAGGGCAGACTTTCATCCTTTGAAACCCAAATGACCAATTTAACAGCTGTAACCAAGGTAGGGAAGGAATTCAGAGAGGACTGTTCTCTGGTAGCCAAGGATGGGTTATGAACCTCATTTCTTGGTTGGAAAGAAAAAGAAATCATTTTAACGGATTTATTTTCTTAGGGGCACACTGACAGTCACAGAACCTGGACATCCTTCCCTAGCTAGGAGGCCTCTGAGCTCCCCAAGCTGCCCGTGCCAATGCCTGATAAGATAAATGAACTCAAGCTCCAGGCTTACTGGGTTCTGGGCACCTTGATTAGGAGTGGAGGTGAGAGATTGGTGGGCTGTGCAGGCCTGGAGTGACTCAGAGCCTGCCCCACCCCTTGCTCCCTCCTTTAGCCCCTCATCAGAAGGGCTGCCTGGAGCAGCTGGAGCGCTCACCATCATGGGCTTGCTCTCAAAGTCCCCCTAATGTGGGGCCCCCATTAGACCCATGAAGTAAGGAGAGGCAGGCTGGTTGAGCAAGGACCCTGGACCAAGGACAGAAACACCGGGGTCAAACCCCAACTCCTCTACTGATGAAGTGAGTGGCCAACAAGGGCCTTAACCTTTTGTGCCTTGTTGTCTTTGCCTGCATAATGGGATCGCTGTTTCTGCCCTGCTCCTCTCATAGGGTTGCTGTGAGGACCATTCGAGTTAATGTTGTCAGCTTAACACCTTAAAAATAATCATGATAACCAAGTCACTTAAGTTCCTCCTTCTCTCTTGGGTAAATAATCCCAAATGCTTACCCTCTGAGCAGATTCAAATTCTGTCACTTTCTACTATAGACTTCATGTTTGTATTAGTCTGTTCCCAAGCTGCTAATGAAGACACATCTGAGACTGAGTTATTTACAAAAGAAAGAGGTTTAATGGACTCACAGTTCCACATGGCTGGGGGTGCCTCACAATCATGGCAAAAGGTGAAGGAGGAGCAAAGACATGTCTTACATGGCGGCAGGCAAGAGAGAGTGTGCAGGGGAACTCCCCTTTATAAAACCATCATTTCTCATGAGATGTATTCACTATTGTGAGAACAGCATGGGAAAGACCTGCCCCCATGATTCAATTACTTCCCACCAGGTCTTCCCACAACACATGGGAATTATGGGTGCTACAATTCAAGATGAGATTTGAGTAGGGACACAGCCAAACCATAACAACGTTCGTGGCCTGTGGAGCTTGAAGTCCTCTAAGTGGACTCTTTAAGCCAAGCCGGACTAGCATGCAGTGATGTTGGGGCCCCTCACATGGAGGTCCTATAGGGACTCCTGCCAGTAGACCACTCTACCCTGCAGGCACTCCCCTGCCACCCTCTGGGTAGAAGCAACTGCCACAAGGGATACCTGACTGTTCCTGTTTGCCTAGGACCTGTCTCCCCTCTCTGCCTGCTTACATGGCCCTAGTCCCGTCCCCCAGAACTGACCTCAAAAGCTGGAGTATAGATAAGCCTCCAGGAGGTGAGGCCAGGGCTTTAAGGCAGTCCATGGGCTTGAGGCTTCAGGAACAGCCACCTGCTTCTCCACCTGATGGGCTTGGCCTAGCCTCCCCTACCCCAGCCGCTCCTCTCCTCCTCCTCCTAGAGAAGCCCAGGGCCTCTCCTAGCAGACTGGCTGTGTAGGGGGTCTTCCTTTCCTCTTTTCCCTTGGGGGCCTTGCTGGGTGCCTCACTCAGAGCAAGTGCCACTGCATGTTTGTAGGATGACTGAGTGAATAAAGGAAGGAATAACTGTGCTGAAGGTCTCAAAACTAATTCATCCCCTTGGCAATTTGCTTTTCCTCAGGGCAGGAATCTCTATCCACACTGACAGTGCCCCTGGCCCTTCCTTACACCAACCATGCAGGCATATTTCTCCAAGAGGATAACTCCATCTTTTTTCCTGGGAGTTTCTAATCACAAAATGGCCCAGGCTTGTGCAGTGGTGCCAAATGTGACATATGAATTATTCTAAGCAACTCAAAGGCCTGGTTTGGTAGGTGCAAGCCATACAAAGAGACTGGTGGGAACTGTGCCCTCAGGGAGCTTGTGGCCAGAGGGAGTGAGTGTAGAAGGCAGTAGGGCAAGATACAGGGTGGCCTACCAGATGGCAGCCTGGAGGACATGGAGGAGGGAGGAGAGACCCCTTCCAGGGGTCTGTCTGGACTTCTGGCTGGAGAAGAGCGTTGAGCTAAGTAGGCATTAGCCAGATGAGTGTGCGAGGCCTGGTCATGTGGGAGGAGGGAGGTGGGGGAGCCCGGGAAAGGGGAGCTGTGTCTGGGAACCATATGGAAGACAGTGTTTCATTTGGCATGAGAAAAGGAGTGATGACCCATTCCTGTTGTCAGAGACTAATTCTTGCTAAGGTGTTAATTTTTAATTAAGGAAAGTGTTCGCTGATAACAGCTTCAAGGTGGGACTTGAAAACGTATGATTCCACTTATATGGGGTACTTAGTCAAATTCACAAAGACAGTAGAATGCTGGTTGCTAGGGACTGGGAGAGAAGAGAATGAGGAGTCATTGTTTAATGGGTGCAGAGTCTCAGTTTGGGAAGACAGAAAGAGTTCTGGAGATGGATGGCTATATAGGTTGCACAATATGTGAATGTACTTAATGTCACTGAAAAAAATGGTTAAAATAATAAATTTATGTTATGTCTATTTGGCAACAATTTTTTAAAGCAATGCTTTTATTCTCCAGAAGCAAAGCCTCTACCAATTTCTCTTTTCTTTTAAGGAGAGCAGACAAGAGCAGTGACACTTCTAAAAGGTCACCAACTCTGAGCTTGATGCCTAATTATCAGCTGATCCTGCTCAAGACTCCCAGAGGGGGGATTGATTAATCAGTGTTCTGTCCAGGCCAAGGAGTCTATATATCAGACTCATTGGAAGGAAGCTGGCTCTGGTGCTGAAGTCGGGCCGAGGGAGGGGAGGTGGATTAGCATTCACTGAGTGTCTGCTGTATGCCAGGCAACGTGCTAACCAGGTGCCAGGCATACAAATCAACAGCTTCTCTCCTCAAGGAATTTGCAAGCAACTTTCACCCTCAGTTACCAGCCTGCCATCCCTTATTGTGGAGATGGGCAGGAGGGTAAAGGGGAAGAGACATATTCTTGCAATTGTCTGCCAGGATGCAGGACCGAAAGAATTTTTTCCAGAGCCCCCAGAAAAAAAGGGGCCTGCTCTTCTACTGACCTCTAACAACAAAAGTGCCTCTGTGTCCAGATGGTGAGAAGCAGTTAGGGTTGTCTTACAGAATCTTCATAGTGATGTAGTTGGCCATGGGGCAGGAAGGGACAAGAGTCCTATCTGGGCTCCATACTTCCTGCAGCACCCCAGGTGGGTGGGAAGGGCGGGGAGCCTGAGAGGACCTCACCCTTGAGCTGACAGAAGGGACTTGCTTTGGCCAGCATTCCCTTGGGATCACAGGCCCCCCAAACTGGGAAACCACCCAAATAGTTCAGGATCCTGAAAACGTCTCATCTTTCCTGCATCTGCCACTCTCCAGACATGTGGCTGATAGGGATCCCACCACAAAGTTTGGCTGGCAGTTTAAACTTTCGACCTCAATTCTAAACAAGTGCTTCTTATTCATTCAACATTTACTGAGTCCCTACTTAATACTAGGTATGTTAATAATTGAGTCTCTGCCATCAAGCCGAACAGGAGACAGAGATATGTCAAAGTATAATTTCCAAAAAGTTAGAAACACAAGTCTCATACAGTTAAAGTATGAATATGTATCAAAGATTTTATTGAACTCATTAACTGACAAGGGAAACAATACGATAATAAAGTTGATTCAAAGAGCATTTGAGGAACTGGGATTTAAAAGGCACGCCAAAATAATTTTTTAAAAAATACAAATCTAGTTAATGTCCTACAGAAAAATAAAACTGGGGTTATTTTTCCTACTGGATACAAATCACTTGAATCTCTAACAGGCCAAAAAAAAACAAAAACAAAAACAAAAACAAAACCCTATAACATGTAACTTCACACTTTGAGCCCTTAATTAATAATAGCAAATGACAAAGTCAAACAATTATTGTCTGCTACTGCAGCACTTTCCAGTGGATATATAATGTGAACCAGGGGTATAATTTAAATTTTTCTAGTAGCCACATTAAAAAGTAAAAACAAACAGGAGAAATTCATTTTAATAATTTATTTAACACATTCAAAATATTGTCATTTTGACATGAGGCACTAGCCACATTTCAAGTGTTCAATAGCCATCTGTTGATAGCACACTTCTAGAGAATTAATAATCTTCATGACAGACAAAGCCTTAGTATGATATTGAAGGAACATGCAGGCATCCTCCAGGTCACAGCTACATTCTGGATCATTTTTCCTACCATATCTACATAGGTCTCTGTGATCTAATTGGCCAGGGCTACAGGAAAGGTGGGTCTAATCTATGGCCTTTGAAAGGGCCTGTGGAAAGCAGCCGAGTAAACATCTAGTGCAACATATGCTCTTGTAAAGGCATATCACTGGCTAAGGGGCGAAACATTCTGCCAGTGGGACAGGGTGGATTAGAAAAGACTTCACAAGGCCAGGTGCGGTGGCTCATGCCTGTAATCCCAGCACTTTGGGAGGCTGAGGTGGGTGGATCACAAGGTCAGAGTTTGAGACCAGCCTGACCAATATGGTGAAACTCGTCTTTACTAAAAATACAAAAATTAGCCGGGCGTGGTGGCACGCACCTGTAGTCCCAGCTACTTGAGAGGCTGAGGCAGAAGAATCACTTGAACCCAGAAGGCAGAGGTTGCAGTGAGCTGAGATTGCACCACTGCACTCCAGCCTGGGTGACAGAGCAAGACTATCTCAAAAAAAAAAAAAAAAAAAGAAAAAAGAAAAGACTTCACAGAAGAAATCAATATATCTAGAAGAAAGCCAGGCCTGGTGGCTCCCACCTATAATCCCTACACTTTGGGAGGCTGAGGCGGGAGGACTGCCCAAGCCCAGAAGTTCCAGACCAGCCTGGGTAACATGGCAAGACCCCATCTCTACAAAAAATTAAAACTTAGCCAGGCATGATGGCATGTGGTCCCAGCTACTCAGAGGAGGATCACTTGGGCCTGAGAGGTCAAGGCTGCAGTGAGCTGTGATGGTATCATTGCACTCCAGTCTCGGTGACAGAGCTAGATCTTGCCTAAAAAAAAAAAAAAAGTACCTGCACTCGTATGTTTACTGCAGTATTATTCACAATAGCAAAGACATGGAATCAACCTAAATGCCCTGCCCACCAATAGATGATTAGTAGATAAAGAAAATGTGATACACATACACGTGGAATACTATTCAGCCATAAAAAGAATGAAATTATGTCGTTTACAGCAACACAGCCGGAACAAGAGGTGAAATACGTTAGACACAGAAAGACAAGTATGTTCTCACTCATAAGTAGGAGCTTAAAAATGTGTACACATGGATGTAGAGAGTGGAATGACGGACAATGGAGACTCAGAGGGAGAGAGGGTGGGAGAGGGGTGGACAATGAGAAATTACTTAATGGGTACAATGTATGTTATTTGAGTGACCGATACTCTAAAAGCCCTGATATAACTACTGTGCAACTAGGCATGTGGCAAAATTGCACTTGTACCCAATAAATGTGTACCAAAAAAAAAAAAAGAAAAGAAAAAGAAAGAAAAGACTTCACAAAGGATGAGCAGATTCACAGGTGGAGGAAAGCCAGGGGACACTCCAAGCAAAGGGAAGCGTGTAACCCAAAGCAGGAAAGTACATACATTCAAACACTTCTATGTGCATGGGATTGGAGTGCGAGTGTGTGGGAGGGAGGGCAGGGACTGACTGAGGCCCAAAAGAGAGGCTGGGACCAGACGGTGAAGGTTCTGGGGAAGCCACGCTCAAGCTTCTAACCTTTATCCAGCAGGGAGTCAGAGAAGACTTTTCGGAAAAGGAAGGGCATGAGGAGACTTGTCTTTTAGCAAAAGCTTGTTCAAGGAGCTGTTCTGTGGCTGGAGGAATCTTCTCCAACTCCCTACCCTCTAGTCACACGGTTGTAAATGGGGATGAAGTCTGACTCATGGTTGGTAGCTAAAAATGTTTTCTGGACCCCAAGTGATAGATGTGATTCCTAAATACAGGAAGAAGAAAGCATTGGCAGAGGATGCAAGGTGGCTTCTGAGGTCAGGATGGAGTAAAGACTCCTTCTGGGATCTGGAAAAGGCTGCAAGATGACTTTTATAGATTGGTGATTTAGTAGCTGATACTCTGGCAGCCTTGAGGTCGGGTTAACATGAGGTCAGAGAAATCCCAGTTTGGCATTAGCTTAGCCACTGGACAAGTGAGGCAAGAAACGGGCTTGGACTGTTTTTATCCCCACCATCTGGATGGAGATAAGAGCTGGCTTTGATTTTTCTCACCCTTTACATCGGAGAAGCCCAGAGTACTTCATGGGCATTCCCTACGATGCTGGCCACTACCTCCTGCAAGAAGCAGGTCAAACAAGGGCAGCTAGAGCTGGAACAGGCACAGATAGTACAAAGAGCCAAGAACCTCTTCGTTCTCTGAAACATCCTCCTTGATACCCACCCTCTCAATGTCAGAAAGAGGAAACTGACTTGTTCAACTTCTAGTTCTACCTGAAGACAAGATACGTGCACTGAGCAAGCTTCTTCAGGCCAAGAGAAGAGAAGAGGAAGAGAAGAGGCAGTGTGGAGGAGAGATTTTGGGATGGTTCCATAGTCAAGCCAACTCTGTTGGGCGTGTGTTATGGGAGCGGGGCCAAGGGGTCTTAAATCAGCTTCCTTATGGTTGCTGGTATGTTTCTAAGTGGCTAGTCTTGGAAGAGAGTGGACTTTAGGGTCCTATTTCCACTTAGGGTTGTACAATCACCACGTGCAGGATAACTACCATGTTGAAAACACTGACCGGAGATAAGTCTTCTAGCTTCTGACACTTTTTGCCACGAATTGATCACCAGCTGGGTCTTCATGTGAATGCCATCTGACGACAGGGAGAGCAGAGAATACTGAAGCCCAGAGCAGCAGGGTGAACTGAGTTAGAACTTGAGGAATGGACCTAGGTCTGCCAGCTCTCGGCCCCATGTTTAAAACTGAGCTCCACAAAATGTCAAATATTTTATTAAAGCCAAAATCCAGCCGGATTTCCAGCTGTGATCCAAATACCATATACAGGTTCAGTTGCCTCTCTGTCACAGAAGCCGCCAGCACTTAGGTTGAGACCTTCTGATCACTCATGTCTCCCCTTCCCTCCTCCGCCAGACCTACCCCTCCAGCCCCAGCCCCTCATGGGGAGGCTGTGGGCTGGGCTGTGTTCCTTTTCTCCTCAATTTAGCTTTCCTCAAAGGTTCTCTAGTGAATTGGGGAAGGTTCTTAGAGCTCATTCAGAAAAGAAGGGAGAGAGGAAGGAAGGAAATTAAACCTTATAGAATGTCAAGTTATTGAGCTAAGTAGGAGGCACACAGGATCTCATTGGAGCTTTATGAGAACCCGCTGAGGTGGGCAGTATTATCCCCAATTTTGCAAACGGGGAACTGAAGCTCAGCCAAGTTAAGCAAGTTGCCAAAGACTGCACGGCCCATGGTGGAAGCGAGGCTGGAGTTCGGGCCCCCTAATTCCTGTCCACATTCAGGCCCAAGTAGAGCTGACCTGAATTCTAGAGAAGTCAGTGATGAAGCAAATGCCCCACAGTGCAGACACCTTGGATTGGGCTAAATGGCAGCTCTGGGGGCCACTTGGCTCCAGTTACCTTCATAGCCTCTGCTGGTCCCATGTCTAATTTCTGGACTGAAGGTTCTTCATATTGTGTGTTGGGGGTTGTGGGGAGAGGAGGGGAAAAACACAGAGGTGGCGCTGCTGGTGATCAGGGAAGGAACCAGCCCATGGCAGAACCTCAGGTGGCCTGGGCACCTCCCAGGGCGAAGTGTGCTGGTGTGTGTGAGGCATGGTGCAGTTCTTTGAGCTGAGACAGGCAGGGCCCCTCAGGCTAGTCCTGATCCATCCTGGAACTGGGTTTTGTTATTTATTATTATTATTTTTAGACAGAGTCTCGCTATGTTGCCCAGGCTGCAGTGCCGTGACTAATTTAGAGGTGCATCATAGTGCACTGCAACCTCAAACTCCTGGGCTCAAGCCATCCTCCCATCTCAGCCTGCTGAGTAGCTGGGACTACAGACGTGTGCCACCGCACCCGAGTTAGGGTTTGTTCTAATAAGGGAAATAGTATTCCATTACACAGCTTAGATTCCTAAACCTCCATTTAGAAAGTGGATTAAGATCTCTTCTCCCGAAGCCGGTGGCATCCACAGTTAGAATAAGAACCCAGAGTGGTCTTGGTCTCAAAGTAACCCAAACCTTCCACCTGCCAAGGATGGGGTGGCGTCAGGCTAATCCCGCCACCAAGCCAGCCTGTGAAAAATAATGATTACGTAAAGAAAACATCCCGGAAAAAGAACCCCGACTAATCTGTGCTGGACTGGAACACATGCCTCTTGTTCTGACCTGCCTCCAGAGTGAAATGAGCCACTTCTGCCTTGCATTGTTGCCCCTTTCTTCTCATTCACGTGCTTGCTCAGCAGACACCCAAACAAAGCGTTTGGGGTTTGCCCAGCTGTTCTATTTCCAGCCTGTTCGGTTCATTTTAGGCCCCGCAGCCTCTGCCCACAGCCGGGTGCAGGCCCTCCTCCTTCCCCTCCTCTGCCCCTCCCCCTTCCCTACCTGCTTTTTCTCTCCCTGCTCCGCGGGCTACTGCTCCTCTCTCTGCCACTCTCCCTTCTCCCTCTTCCTCCTCTTCATCTTCCTCTTCTCAGCTTCTGAGATCTGCTTTCAGTCTTCCCCTGTGCTTCCTCTCACCTCCCTGCCTCCTTTAATCTCATTCCCAGGAGCTCACAGGTGTGTGTGGAAAGGACTTGGGGCAGCTCCTGGCCCCAGCAGGTCCGGGAAGCAGGTTAGAGAGAGGAATGGAAGGTGGGGCTGAGGTGCCCACGTGCAGGGAGCAGCCTTTAGAGCCAGCAGCTGTGTGGGTCTCCGTCTGGCTTCTCACTGCTTCGGGAAGCAAGCACACAGGTGTCACCACTTCTGGGTCGCTAAGGCGGAAATGGTCATGACAGTGAGTTGTCTCATGAGCACTGGTGTCCCAAGGCCCTGCCTCGAGTTGGACCTGCCTCCATCCTCTCAGTCCACAGTGAGAGGCCCTAGCAAGGAATTTCTGGAAAAGGACTTCTAGTGCTTCTGTTGTGCTCAGGCCTGCCAGGCAGGGTCTGTCAGTGTCAATAGGGAAGGACACACACTGAGCACTGTTTACTGCCTGGGTCTAGAGCCACTTCACATATCCCACCTCCATTTACTCCTCTGGGCAAAATCTGGAGATGTTTCCTTCTCTCCATTTCACAGACCATGCTTAGAAAGGTTAAGTCATTTGCCCAAGGTCACGCAGCTCACAAGTGGCAAAGCCAGTGGAGCCAGAATTAGCAATCTGGCCGTGGACCAGAAATCGATGGCAGTGGTGGTGCTGGTGCCAAGGGGCTGGCCACAGAGCCAGTGTAGAAGCATGGTCAAAATCGCCTGTGAAATCTATCTGTGAGATCTCCATCAAATTACTCTCCAGTTTCCTCACCTGTAAAATGTGAGTGATAAAAAGAGCCCTTACCTCCTGGGGCTGCTCTGATCCATTAAGCCATGTAGGGGGCTTGGGCTGGTCGTAAACACTCAATCCACGTTAGCTATTATACCTTCCAGAGGCACCTGCCCTCTGACTCTGGAGGAACACCCAAGTCCTCGACAGAGAGAAAGCCAGAAGAATGATAATCCCTTGCCTCCAGTGGTGCTTCAGGAGTTCCAAAGGACCCATCCATCCACTCTCATTTAATTATCATCCCACCTTGGATGAAGGCAGGGGAAGCTTAATTCCCATTCACAGATGTGGAACCTCAAGCCCAGCAACAGCGTGGGATTGGCTCAGACCCCTCTGGAAACAACCCTTGCCAGCCTCTTTTTCTATGTCCACTTATGTAGCAGGAGTTTCATCCAAGAGCACAAACCTGAGCACCTAACTAGCACTCGGAGAGTTGGGGTGGGTGGGAGGCTCACAGAACACCACTAATGAAGACTGAGAAGGAAGCAGACGGAGGGAGAAAGGACCCAGGATATAGCCCCCCCCGCTGTTCCAAGTTAACTGTGATGTAAATTGAAGCTACTAACATCAGGAAAGAAAGGCCCAGATGGCTGAAGCCTGGAGAGTTGAGGGGAAATGGGGAACTTTGGAAGGGAGTACTGATGGTGAGGGTGGCGTGGGTGAGAGGAGACTTGGCTGGCACATGGTGGTGGGATGGCAGAGTGAGAGGTCCAGCATCCCGGATAATTATTCTGGACAAATCTTACAACCCAACCATGGACTAGAATGACAGGGGTGAAGGGCAGAAGTCAGCAGAGGGCAGCTAATTCATTCACTCCTTACTCATTCACTCATTCCTTTGTTCACCTTTGAGCTCCTGACCACTGAGCAGGGGCTGGAGGTAAAAACATTAATAAGGAAAGCATCCATAAATGAGTAAACAAGCAACAAGTTATCACTGCAGTAAGTGCTATAATGGAGGAATATTCAAGGTTCTGTGAGAGCATAAAGGACAGAGGAATTCTACCTGGGAGAGCCCAGGAAGGATTCTCAGAGGTGACAGTTGAGTGGGCCTTGAGGGATGAGTAAGAGTTTGCCAGGCTGAGGACACAATAGTAGAATGTAAGAGGGGAGCACAAGGAGCAGGAAGATCTTCCAGACAGAGGCAGCCTCCATTGCATATCACTTTGGATTTCTCTTTTGCGCTCCACGTCCTTCTTTGTTAATTGGAGTCAGGCCAGAATTCCTTGTAGAGCTCTGGCCCCTAATTTGACCCACACAGGAAGTTTTGGATTTCTTCCTCTCCTAATCGAAAAAATTATCTATCCTGCTTGGAGCTCTCTGGTGCTAGGACTTCCTATCACAGAGAACAAGGCTGTCACTCCACAAGTTGAGAGAAGGTCAACAGTCCTATCTCCTGGGAAATAAAATATACATGGACCCTAAATTCATACTAGAGTGCTGATGACTGACACAAAATACTTTCTTGTGCATAGGTCAGAAAATGAAGAGAGCAGGACGACTCTGGAAATGTGTGTTTATGTTTAGGTGCCAGTATGTAAGGGGACAGTAGTTAGCAAGAGCCTCTGGCAGGGGTGGGAAAGAACCCAAGCAGAAAGATAGAGAGTATTAGAGAGCAACTTTCCAGTCCTGTCCAGGGAAACCCAGCTTGTCACCACCTAGCACCGAGGCCCAGAGGGAGCCTGGTATCACTGGAGCCTTCTTACCTCCCTGCTGCCCTCAACATCCCGCCCCCAGGCGCCCTGGGAGCTGGTTGCCATCTCTAGTGGGGTGCTGACAGAAATGAGGTCCCTAATCAATTTTCCAGGGGGGCAGTGTCATCCCCTCAGGGGAAGAGCGGGTCCTGGGGCAGACAGCGGGATGCTGCCGGGGTGTTGGAAGGGGGCTGATTGTGACTCCTGTTCCCTGGTACTGTGGCTGCCTGGCATGGTGAGAGGATAGCACAGACTGGTCTCTCGGCAGCCTAACTAGGAGGGAGGCCCCAGGAGCAGCTTTGCTGTGGTGGCAGCCCTGGTGGTGGTGGTGGTCGTCGTGGTAGTGGCACAGCTCTGCCTCCCATGGCAGCTTAGGAGCCACCACCCCAGGGAGGGTCACTGTGGCAACAGCTACTCTGGGAACAGATCCTCCGGGCCTCTGAGGCTGGCCCCTGGTCTTCTCGAGGGGCAGCTGGCAGGCCTGTGCCGGGCGTGGGGAGGAGGCAGGGCACCTGTCTCTGAGCCAAGCCTCTGGGGCCCCAGGGCTGAGGCAAGGAGGAAAGGTGGTGTTTGTTTTCCTTTGTTTGCTATGAACATTTGATCACTGATGCTGGATTTGGAGTTAATCGTCCTTGGATCAGGGGCTCAATATGAGGAGCTGAGGGGAGGGGAGCTGAGGGGAGTCTCTAGGGATCTCAGGGATGGAGCTGGGCCTCAGGTTAAGGAATCCTGGGCTCTCGTCCCTGCAGAAGTCTCTTCAGGAGCAGTCTCTCCTGCTCCGGGCAGCCTGGGGTCTGAGCTGAGTTCAGGGTGCCCTTGGTGTCAGTGGCAGGCTGGAGGAACCCTGCTGTCCCACCTAAGGCTGGGGCAGGCCTGGGAGGCTCCGAGTCCAGGAAGACTGGAAGGAGTGGGGTAGGGTGCTGGCTTGAGGTGGACACCGGGCCAGGGTTCTCTTTCCCCGTTTCCCACTCCCTGACCTCACTTCCCTCCCTCTGCTTCTTCACTCTTCATCAACCCCTTTGCCCCTCCCTCCTCTTCCTCTTTCCTTCTTTCTCACTCTTCCTTCTTACTCATTGCTTCCTTTCTCACCATATCCTTCATTCACTTCAACATTTCGCTGAGCACCTACTCTGCATGGACCACTAAGCTAGGCCCTCGAGTGGGAGCTGGGATGAACCAGCACCTCTGAGCAACTCGCCACTGTGGGAAGGGGAATTTGACAAGTACCAAAAAGTACCAGGTAGAAAATGGTAGGTTCTAAAAGGAAGAGAGAGGAAGGGCTATGGGAACTCTCTCTCCAAGGCTTCCTCATTATTCTGACAGTTTCTCAGGCAGGAAATGCATAATGTAAAAAGAAGAGCGTTCATGTTATTCCCCAAGGACTCCCAGGAATGCCCTAGAAATGAGGTGCAAAAGCCAGCTGGAGACAGCTTGCGAGGAATAAGAGAGGATGGAGTTCAGCAGCTGCTCATGCCAGGCCTATCTCCAGCCCATTCATTCATTTGTTCATAAAATATTTACCGAGCCCCTATAGGCCCTAGCAACTTACAGGGAAGCAGGCAATACACAATTCATAGTTACAAAGGACTGTAAGTACCATGAAGAAAATGCACTGGCTGCAGTGATGGAAACTGACAGAGGCAGAGGGGCGTGGATGTGTGAGGGGAAAACGCCTCACCAAGAAAGTGAAATTTACAGCCAGGCCTTCTCAGCCAAGAGAAGGAGGTGGGGTGGGGCTGGACTGGGGTGAAGTGGTCCCCGTGAGGGAAAAGCAAGTGGAAAAACACTGAAGGTGAGAGAGCTGGGGATGTGTGGGAAACTGACAGGAAAGTGAGCTGCTGGTCTCAGGGGCTGAGAGCAGGGGCATGAATAGGTCTGCGGAGGCAGGAAGGCCATGAGGAGCAGCAGGGCATCACAGGCCCTCCTAAGGAGTCTGGATTGTACACGAAGTGGGAACCCAGCCATTGACAGGGTTCTAAGCAGGGGTGACATGATCTGATCCAGTTTCCATTTTAAGAAGCTCTCTCTCTGGTGACTGGGTGGAGACTGGTGGCAGAAGGGCAGATGGGACCCAGGGAGACCTGGGAGGAGGCTCCTGCAGAGCTAGAAATGTAGAACTTGGTAATAGGTTGGAATACGGGTGGGAGATATTTTTTATCTATTGGTCTTCTGGCCTCTCTCCCTGATTAGAATGTAAGTCCCATGAGGGCAGGGATCCTGTTGGTCTTGTTCACCATTGTTTCCCTGAGGACAGAGTTCACAGGTGTTTAATAAAGATTTAATGCACGAAAAATGAGTGAGTGAATTAAGGAATGAGAGGGTGGTTTTGACAACATCTATCTCAGCCTCAAGGTGAATGGTGGCAGCACGCTGAGGGGGACCAGGGAGGCAGAAGGGTGGGATCACAGCTCGGCATCAGGGAGCTGTGAAGACACCCAGGCACTGCCACGCAGGTGTGTCTGTGAGCAGGGAGTGCATGGGGAAGGGAGTGTCTGTTTGGGTCCCTATTGTACACCCAGGTTGTAGAGCAGTACCTGGGACAGAGATGCCACATATGTTTGCTGAATGAATGAACAAATGAATGAATGGAGCTGACGGGATTTCTGAACTGGAACTACACAAGTGGATGACACCAGTACCTGGAAGATGTTTAAGGCAATGGGAGGGGATGAGGTCACCCAGGAAAGAGTATGTGAGGAGAGAAAGGGAGCAAGCCCTAGCCCCCACCAGCAACCAGAGGTTGCTCATTTCAGAAGCAGAGGCCCTAACTCAGCCCCAAGGGGAAGCCTACATTTCTGTAGACTCGTATTTGATGGCTATAGCATATGCTTGCTAACCACTGCTCTTCTAGGGATCCCTGGAGAAGCAGGCAAGTAAGAGCGGGGAGTGGAGAAGCCCCCATAACCTGTGGGGAAAGAAAGGAGAGGCTTCCAGTGCCAACATCAGAAGGCCTCTGACCTCTTTGACTTGCAGCTGTAGCCGTTTGGCTCCCTCTCCTCACCCCCTAAAGCTGGGTCGGAGACAGCCTTGTCCCCAGAGTCCCCAGCGGCTCTTTAGCATGATGCTGCATTTTGAATGCGGTTACCACAGCCCCAAGTGACTGAGCCAGCTCACGTGCTACCTCTTGTGTGGGTACCAGTGTATGCACACACAGGGCTTGGAGCCAGGAACGGAAAGAAAGTGCTCACTGCAATAATGCCACAGGAGCCCCACGAGGGTGGGCACTGGATGGCATCACAACCCAGGCCCAGGACACTCCCCTCGCTCCAGACTAGAGGAGACACAGATGTCTCTCTGCCCTGCCCTATATCCCTGATGGGCTGGGAAGAGGCAGAGAAGAATTTAAGGAAAATCTTGCTAGGAAAGGAGTTCATCTGAACCCCATCTGAATACCTGTGTTCTGGACCTGCCTCCACCACTAACTAGCTGTGTGTGCCACGTGAGTCAGAAAGTCTTAGGATTGGAAACAGTCTTCTAATTCCACCTCCCACGCCGAGCAGAAATACTTCCCACGAACCCTGGTGCAGCACATGATCATCCACTGTGTCTCCAAACATTTTCAGGGAAGGGAACTTCACTACCCCGCAGGGAAACCCATTTTGATTTGGTAATTTTGTTAGAAAGTTTTTTTTTTTTCCAAAAAGCCTGGGAGGACCCACACCAGATGTTAACCATGTCACCTCTGGGGAGGAAAGTGGGACTGAGGAAGGGTGACAGGGGATTCCCTGTTGATTTGGTATGGGGATGGTTTCCAATACCTTGTATTAAATAAATGTTTGTTTGAGACAGGGTCTCGTTCTGTCGCCCAGGCTGGAGTGCAGTGGTATGATCATAGCTCACTGCAGCCTCAACCTCCTGGGCTCAAGAAATCCTCCCGAGAAGCTGGGGCTACAGGCACATGCCATCACACCTGGCTAATTTTTCTTTTTCTTTTTTTTTGTGTAGAGATGGGGTCTCACTATGTTATCCAGGCTGGTCTCAAACTTCTGGCCTCAAGCAATCCACTCTCCTCAGCTTCCCAAAGTGTTAGGATTACAGGCATGAGCCACCATGACTGGCAGTAATAAATTTATAATAGCAAGGGAAACAACAGAAAATAAGGTTCTTATATATACCTACTATGTACCCACAAAAATTACAAATCAAAAATTTCATTAAAAAAAGATTTTTTAAAATTTAAACCCAATCTGCCCTCCTAACATTTCCACCTATTATTTCCGGATCTGCTCTCTGCAATCAGAGAAGAATCTAAACCCACTTCCCCACAGGTACCCTTTAAACACCTGGTAGTTGGGATCAGGTTTCCAAGACTTCTCCAGCTTGAGCCACTCCTCATGTAACTTGGGTTCCAGAGCAGTCCTACCCCCACTTACCCACTTCTGTGCGTCAGAGAATAAAACTCCAGTGGGGTCGCAGAGGGAAGGAACCAAGCAGTCACTGAGCTGGGTGTTGCCTGCTGCTAATTAATGAATGAATCCCAAGAGGACATTCCTCCTCGCTTTATGTGTGTGTGGGGTGGGGTACATACACGTAAAAGGGAGAGTGAGTTTAATGATTCACTTCTCCAAGCCTTGGTTTCTTATCTGTAAAAGGGGAAAACAATACCTTTGCTATGAGAATCAATTGCAGTTAAGGAAATAACACTAAAAGCACAAACTCCTACACTGGAGGTTATGACTCACAAGCCCCACTCAGTTCAGAGAGTGGCTAAGCATTGGACCCACAGAGCCAGACTGAGTTTGAATCCCAGCTTTGCTACTTAATGGCTGTGTGACTTTGGAGAAATGACCTGACATTGTTGTGTTGGTTTTCTCCTCGTAAAACAAAGGTAAGGATAACATCAATCTTGGAATGCATCTTTATAAGCATGAAATGTACTGCCCAGCACTCAATAAATGTTCGCTGTTAGGTATAATCATCCCCTCTTATTCCTTCACAAGGAGATAAGGACTAAGGACTTCAGTGAAATGAGGCTGATTCACTGAAAAGTGAGGTCATCAAACCAAACTGGTCATCTGTTACTGGAGTGAGTTGCCCCAAAATACTCCCCTCTCCCTCTAGCAATGGTTATGTGCTAGGCACTGTGCGCGAGGCTTTACAGGCGCCGACTCATTTCTCCTCATGGCTCAATGAGAGAGACACGGCCTCAGGCAGATACTACATTTAAAAGATGAGGAAATAGACGTTCACAGAGGCTGAGTAACTTGCCCAGGGTCACACAACAAGGAAGTGATGGAGTCAGGACTCAAACCCAAGTCTGCCTGACTTCAAAAGTCTGTCTTATTCTTTTAAACAATGTCCTGTTCTTTTAACCAGCTCCCTACCTTGGGCTCGACTCCAGCTTTGGGGAACAGGAGGAAGCCAGAGCCCTTTCTTCCTTGACAGCACGGCCTGCTGTTTCTGTGAGGTGGGGAGGAGGGGCAGTCTGCTGCTTCTCTCGTCCACCCCTCCACCCTCCTGCACACTGCCCCCTCCTCTTCCAGCAGCCTGAAACGGTCACTGGGGACCCCAGTTGCCACCCCTTCAGTCCCCTCAGGACCACTCTGGCATCTAGTACCCCTGCTGCTGGCTGGGTTCTCAGCCCCTGACCATGAAATGGTTCCACATCGATCTACAGAAAAAACAGCCACTTTGGCCGTGGGCCCTGATGCGTAATATCATTATGGAGTCAGCAGCGCATCCCGTCCCATTATCGCCTGGCCAAGCTTTTCCAAGGCCAGCCTGGCTGCAAATGGCTTTCTCCTGTCTAGGGGGGCCACAGCCACTGTTTGCCCTCCACTACCGGAGGAGAAATTTTATCTTTAATTGACACTGGCTGCCTGCCACCCCCTTGCCTCGGCTGGCCCAGGCTCCAAGCCCGATCTTTCCTTACACTTCAGGAACAGGCTTCCCCTGGCTTCTTCCCTCTCCTCGGCCATTCCGTCCTCACCCTGCTGTTCTACACTGCCCAAGACAGCTCCCGGGTGTGTTCTTGTCCTTTCTTGGTGCAGCTGGACACGGAGATCTCAGAAGTCTGTGGAGAAAAGTCTGAGAGTGACAGGAACAGGGCAGGGAGGGAGCTGACACTGTGCCGCTACTATATGTCATATCACAGGTAGACACATGACACCAGGCCAGGCTCTTCACTCTGTCTCTGAAACAGGGGCCATCATTATTCCCTAACAAACAGGGAAACCATTTCGGTGAGTCACCCCCAAGTCACCCAGCTAGCAAGCAGCAAAGCAAGACTTTGAATTGAGGCCCCTATGGTCCTACACAGATGCCCAGAGTAAGAGTGAGGAGTAAGACAAGAATAAGGAGAGGCAAGCAGGCAACCAGACCCGCCAGAGCCTGGTGCAAGATGGAAACGCAGGGCCCCTGTTCAACCATTATTAATTTCATGATGGTGACAGCCAAGCATTAAACCCAGCATGGGGCCCTTCTGAGTGGCTGCACAGGTTGCACACCCATGAAGCTGGCCCTGCGTGTGCCCCTATGTGAACGTGAGAGGGATAACAACAGTGAGAGCCAAGGGCCACGTCTGACCATCACTCACCATCTCCCCGTCCTATCCAGGCCCAGGATGTGTTCACTCTCCATCCCTAAGTGGTCCCCAGTTGTGCCACCAGTCTCTAGTTGGCCTCAGTTCATCAGCCATCCAGCCAATAACTTTGGCGTCCCCAGGGTCTTGGCCCATTTAGAACTGGTACAATTGCAGGGAGGAGGGGAGGCCCCCTGCACAAACGGAATGCAGTGGAATTCCTTAAACAAAGAACAGTCTTTTCTTCCATGTTATGGCAGGGGCTTGGGGACAGCAGTGGATATTAGAACACTGTTTGGGTCTCGGGGTCCTGGGTTAGTCCTCTTTGTGTGGCTTTGGGCAGATGACTTGCCCTCTCTGAGCACTAGTCTCTCCCTGTAAAATGCAGGGGTCAGGCCACACTGATGATTCCTGCTGGAGTGGGGTTATGCTGAGTGTGTGCACTCCTCAGGTGTCAGGGGTGAGAGCCCCAGGAGGTCCCAATAGACACAGAGCCAGAAAGGAGAGGCAGAGGCAGGTGCTCACACAGCAGGAGCAGCAGGATGCTCCAGATGTCTTTATTGGGGCTCGAGCACAGCATGACAGTTGGAGGCATGCAGACAGGGCACAGGGCCCAGCCTGGGCATGCCCCAGACACACACGAGGGGACAGCTTTAGAAAAGGACTGACCAACACCAGGGAGGAGCAGGGAGGGAGGGCCAAGGGAGGGGCAGAGGCCAAGGCTGAAGGGGTCACCTGGCCTCTGCTATTGCACGCATCCTCTGGCCACTGACCAGGAAGTACAGTATTGCAACTGGTCTCCTCTTGCCCAAGGCTTCCCTTCTCGGACCCCCTGGGCCAGATGGGCAGACAGATCCTTTCCCTGCCTGTCTGCCCAGCAGCATCTTTGACAACAAACAGACAAAGGAGAGAGAACAAAATCAAATCTAAAAAAGACAAAATGCCCCCCTAAGTCAAGGACATAGATGGGGTGGAGGAAGTAGTGGAGGAGGCTGCAGAGGAGCCCCTGGAAGTCCCCCCACAACGAGGATGTGGGGTGGGAGGTAGAACCCCAATCTGGGGTGGGGTGCGGCTAGTGAAGCAGTGACCCTAGGGGGCAGTCTGGCCTTCAATAGACTTCACCAGGTTACTTGCTGACAGGGGAAACATCCCCAAGACAGGAGCCTGGGACTACCCAGCTGGACTGGCAATTCCCAGATGCACTTTTCTTGGGACATTCCACCCACACAGTCAGCAGAAACAACAGAAATCAGTGAAGGGGACGGGAAACTCTGGGTGGGGCAAGGGCTTAGGGAGACACAGCCTAACAAAGAAGACAAACCACCAATAGCACGTGCACTACACACAAGAGTATAATATGTATGAATATAGATACTATATGTGCATATATATCTCTTCGATGTACAATGGAACAGAACATCAGACCCAGATGGCTCTGGGCCCCGAGGGTCGCATGGGAGATTTTCCACCAGTCCTGTGCAAACAAGGATATCTGAGTCTTTCCCAGCGAAAAGATTCTTGTCTGGGTTCCAGAGTTTCCCTAAGCCTCTGGCTTTCTGTCTGTCTGCCTGTCTCTCTCACGTTGGTGCCGCTTTAAGAGAGGGTGAGGACTTCAGCCTGGGCATAGTTGGACGAGAGGGCGTCTTGGCAGGTCTCTGTGTTTAAAGAGCACAGGTGTGAGACACTGGGACGCACGCTTTCGGCTCAACATTGCCTTCTGGGGTTGGGGGGACAGGGAGTTCAGCAAAAGAAAGGGAGAAACAAAGAATGAGACGTTAGAAGGAAGCCAGCTGCTGACCCACAGGGTGTGGGCTAAGGAGTAGACCAGGAGCAGAGCTGGAAGGCATGAGGAACCCAGGGCTAAAAGGCCAGGAAGAGCATGGATGGGTCAGGGAATGGGGTGAACCCTTCACCCCTCTGCCAACCCAACTCTGGTGACTCAGGTGATGTTGTAGCTCATCGCCATACCTGTTCAGGTAACCACTAGCTCCAGGAACCACTAGCCTCTTAGGTCTTCAAAGCTCCAGTGCAGTGGAGAAAGGGACCATAGCTCTGCAGCCTTGCATGGAGGCAGTGGGGAAAGTTCCTGATGTGGCCTGTGGCTCACAGGCCATCACCCCAGCTGTTGCCTGACCAACTTGAGCTCTCCCCCAAGTAGCTCCATCTGCTGTCACCACCCTGGGATATTCCATTGTCCCAAGGAGCTGGTGAAGAAGGCTCCTGAGTATGATGCCATGTCGTGCCCAGCCCCCTTCCTCAATGTGGCAGGAACAGAGTCCCAGCAGTTGGAGGGCATGCAGCCTCAGGTGAATGCTGAAGGGGAAGGTCACGGAGGACGAATGTGCCTGTCTCAGGAGAGAAGGTCAGGAAATAGTACCTTATTGAGAAACCCAACCCCTCAGAGAGCCCTTTTGGGATCCCACCCTCAGCCTGGGATGTCTACCACCTGGGCCTTTCCTTCCCCTACCTTACCAGTGGGAGCACAGGTAGGGCAGGTAGGAGTACTGCTGTCCCAGCTGCAGATCTGGGTCAACAGTGGAGGTGGGAGTTCCAGACCCGCTGGGACAACCCCTGCAGCTCTCGGGTCTGAGGTCTAGGGCTAGGCCTCCTGTCAAGGTGGAGTGCAGATGTGGCATCCAGACCTCACAGCTTCCATCCTGGGCTTCGGGGTGCCTCCATCACCTTTCTAGGGAAGGGGTGTCCTCATCTTGGGGTGATGCTGTTTCCATCTTCTTAAGACTGTATGCCCCAGCCACCTCCTTAAACACTGCCCCTTTGCCTACAAGTGTTCTGGGCCTCTGAGTACTATCCTTGAAATCAGAGGAATTCAGGGTTCTTCAGAGCCCCATTTCTGAGGACACGCAGACAGAGCTGTGGTCTTGCCCTGTACTCCTGTCTGCGTAACTTAAGCAACACCTGCCACTGATCCCCACTCATTAGGGGACAGGGAAGTGCCTCTGGGCTCCCAGTAGGCAATTAGGCCCTAAGATGCACCGGTGAGAATGCCTGGGCTACTGAGGGGTCTAGGATGGGTCTAGGATGAGACAGAAGGAGTCACAGCAAGGCTGTCAAGTGTCCCAGAAGCCAGGGAGCAGAGCAGCCCATACTGAGATAATGGCCTTAGATTGCTTTTCCACTGGCTTCCATGGACTCTCCATCCTCAGGGACCTCTGAGAGTTGGGGAGGGGTCTTCCTAGGAATCTCATCCTGGATTCTTACCTATTTGACCCACCAGGGGTGGGGCAGGGATTTCAGAGGGTGACGCTGGCCAGAGCAGAGCAGGCCCTCCTCTCCCAGGAAGCTCTGTGAAAGGGCAGCCTGGGCCCTGCAGCCAGTCCATGGCCTCCCCTCTGGCTCCTGTCAGCCAGCTTCTAGGTTGCAGTGCCCTTCCTTCTGGTTCTACCTCTCAGAAGCCCTGAAAATTGGTCTCTAGGTTGCCAGTAACCCTGCTACAGACTGGAAGGCGAGGTTGTGAACTCCTACCCAGACTGCCTCCCAGTTCTGTGGGAAGGGGCTGAGCTCCAGCTGCAGGGGAAAGGCATCTGACAACAAAGTAGTGGGTGCAGGTCCAAGTCTAGCCCAAGGAAAACAAACTCTACTCTCAGATGGTGGGTGGGAGAGAGCCTTCTCTCAAGGAGGGAGGCTCAAGGCCTGGGTGAGCCTGACGCCTGTACAGGCAGCCACTTCCTGTGGCAGTGCCTGGTATGCAGGGGTTCTGCAAATGCCTGGGCTCACCCTGCCCTTTCCCAGGGCCCTGGGCAGGCCCAGAGGTGCTGAGAGGTTGTAAGGGCAGACAGTCTACTCAGCCCTCCTGCTATCTGGGTTCTATCTCTCCCAGATGAAGCCAGAGAGCCAGGAGGGATGTGTGGGAGCCAGCTCCCCGAGGCATTAGGGCTCCAGCCTGGCAATGCTGCATCTTGTCGCCCAGGGACATCTGTGCCCACCGTAGGGGTGCCATGAGCCAGACCCAGCCCTGTGGGAGGGAAGAGAGGGAAGGAGGCGGTGGGTGCCGTGGAAACTTGGGCTCCTGACAACTTGAGGGCTGCCACAGAAATAGCGGCCTCGGTTCCCTGAACCAGAAAGGCAAGTCAGAGGAGAAAACAGTGGTGGCATCCCTGTGAACCTGCACACCCGGCTCGTTGTGTCCCTGTCAGAGCCCAGGCCCTCCATGCCAGGGAGTCCTCTCGCTGTTGGGGGAGGGGCCCTCGCATCTCCATCCTGTTCCACAGGCTTCCCCATCCCTGTCACTTCAAGGGCCTGCTCCCTCCTGAAGGGCAGTTGCATGGAGGCCCCCACATCCCCTCTTCTCACTTCTTATGGGTCAGGTCACTTCATTCTGAGAGCAAGTGGGAGGCAGGCCCCACAAACCACTGCAGGGTGGGGGTATCCCAGTGCCCACTCTGAACAGACCTTTCCAGAAGGACATTTCTGTGTCTGCCCAAGACTGAGGGAGGTGCCGAGATGGGGACACTCCGGGCACAGGCTTTACACAACACCCCCAACCCCATGCAATAATTTGCTCTGCCCAGTCCGCCTTTTGGGGAGCCTCAGATTTCCCAGCCTCTGCCCAGCCCCGACGCTGCCCTGCCATCCTATCTTTGCTGACCATGGAAGGAGCAGATCTGGACCTTACTTAGTCATTCTCTCCGCAAAATTGCATAATCTGACTCTAAAAATTGCCAGGCGCACGGCTCTGCTGTCAGGTCTAATTCCCATCAGGTGAAAGAGGAAACGTCTTGGCTGAGGCAACCTTGTTCCTCAGGCTGTGGAGGGCCCCCTTCCCGGGAGCGGCAGGAGCAGGTGGGGGCAAGATGGCTTCTGTCCCCACACTTCCCCTCAGCTGCCCCTGCGCAAGGTGTACCCCTGCTCACCCAGTGACTCACAAACCTGTTGTGCTCCTGGGCTCGTTAGGTAAATGAATACACTTAATTATAGAAATTAGATGAGTCTCCGGTTCTGGCAGGAATACAGAGCGCAGAGGCTGGGTGGGAATGGCAGGTGACTCAGAGGCAGGGCTGGGAGTTTGAGGGAGAGGGAGAGGGAAGAAGAACTGTCGCAGAAGCAGAGGAAGCAGCGTGGAGAGCGATGCTGCAGCTCGGGGCGCAGAAGGGACACCAGGTGCCGCCAGTGGGAGTCACCACTGAATCTGGGCAGAGGCTTCCTGAGGGAAGGGCCTCCCTCGCCTAGGCAGCCCGCCCACGGCCTGCACCAAGCCTGAAGCTACAACGCTAGGGACCCCTACCTGCGCCCCAAGCCAGGGATAGAAAACATCAGGCCTCTTCTCCCAGGGCAGCACTGCCCATAGGCACTGCTCTTCCAAGGAGTCAAACCACCTTTACACCAGCAGAGATGCCCGACATAACAGCCTTGTTCCTTGCTGGTCTGGGTGTGGGGTGGACAGACAGACAGACAGACAGGCTGTTCGGCTACTGGTTAAAGGCTATGAGGAATGGAAATACATTCACAGTGATTAAAGATATTAACATAGGCGTGGCTCCCCAACAAGGCTGACTGGCCCCAGGCGCTCTGTGCACACATAAACGCCTGGTGGCTGAGACTGGCCCTGGTGGGACCCCGAGAGGAAGGCAAGGCCGAAAGACAGGTCCGGGGTGTGCACCTACAGCCCAGGAAGAGGCCAATATGGGGAGAAGCTCTGGGATTGCTTTCCCCTTTGCTCTCCGGTTCCAGAGCTGAACCTTTTGGGAAGCTTGGAGCTATGGAGGGCAGGCTCGGGGGCCTAAGTTCTCCTCTGTCCTGACTGCTCCCCCCTGCTCCCTCCTGCTGCCCGCGTGGGCCCTGGGGAGTGAGCGCTGAGGGCATGGAAGGGTGCCTGTTTGTGCGCGTGTGCCCAGAGGGGAAGGTGCAGCTAAGGGGCAGAGTGACCAGGGGGTGGGCCGGTGAGGGGGTGGAAGGGGGTGAGCAGGAACTTTTTCAGAGGGTAGGGCAAGCTGTAACGCGATGCCAGTGGAGACAGCCCCAGGCTGGTTCCAGCTGCTCCAACTATGTTGTTTAGACTCCGGGACTTTCCACAGCCTTGGTGAAGAAAAGGCACATGGGTCAGTGGGCGCAGCTCCACAGGGTCCACGCTCCAGGAGACACTGCAGGGCGGGTGGCCCTGGGCTGGTGTGGAGGGGCCTGGCCCTCCTTGACTCTCCCTGGCCTCAGGTCTCCTGGGCTCCTGAGGACAGACTCCAGGGCCCCACACCCAGCTGACTTTTGTCCTGTCCTGCCCCCAGGTAAGCTTCCCACCAGCTCCTTGATAGCCCAGCTAGACAAAGACCCCACAGCCTCCAGCATCAGCCTTCTTGACTCTAAGAAGCCCTAATTAGCACCTGCCACCATCCTCCCAGGGAACTGACACTCTGATACATGGGCCTGTGTGGAGGAGGCCCAGACCCACTCACTCCTGGTCTTAAGCATAACCTGAGTGTGGAGAAGTGCGGCACGGTACGGCGTGGAGAAAGTTGCCGAGTGTGCATTGGGAGTTTGGCAATGTTAACTGCCACGCTTGCTTAGCAGGGCCTGTTTCCCAGCAACCCACCTGTTCCCTCTCGAAGGTCACTCTAATTGGCTGAGCTACATGCCTGTTGCCAAGAAGCAGTGTGGAGGCATCTTGAAAACAGAGCAGACAGGCCCCACAGGCACCCCAGGGATACTGGATGGTGAGATGCTGGCTCTCCTGCCCCGTGCACGTGCCGGTGAAACTCCTTCCCCAGGTGCAGTCCACTCCCAGTACCTCGTGGTCCCTCCTGACTGGTACCCTCACGGCCTCTTCCACACCTATTTCCACTGAGCCCCTCACAGCCCAGGGAGGAAAGCAGGGATGCGTGGCACTCAGCTCTGTGTGCTCGAGTCCTACACAGGGACCACTCGTTCTAGACTGTCTGCTTAGCACGGTCCAGCCAGAGCAAGGCTTTGGGCCTGAACAAGGACACAGTGGAAGCCACTGCCTGTTTGGGATGGTCGGCGGGAGAGAAGGCCAAATCCAGGCCCAAGGATAGGACACGGGGGTGAACAAAGGAACACAGGCGAGGGTAGAGGTCTGAGCACCCTCCATCTGCTGCCTTTTGCTGGGGTTGCTGGACCACTTCCTTCTAGGCACCAGATCACTATTCCCATTTCTGCCAGTCCACAGAACACATGCCCAACAAAGCTGGACACACACCTTTCAGGGGCTGGTTAGGCTCAGGGTGGCCTGGGGCTTCCATGGGGAGAGTGGTACTGAAAGGTCTGGGAAAGAAACTAGAAGGTGCCCACAGAGCCTGCATGGGCTGGCAGGCCACGGGACATTGGGACATCTTCAGAGGGACAGAGGCATCACAGGCTATTCCTGTAGCTGCCACTGCCCCTTCCTCACTCAACCTAGTTTGGGTCTGGGGTTTGGGGACAGAGGGAAGTGGGGGATGGGAAATCCAGCTGGTTAAGAAGTGGCAGAGAACCTGGGGAAGAGCTCTGTTTTGGAGGGAGTCAGGGTTTATTCTAGAAAGAGGTAGAACATTGAGTGAGGTTAGGTAACAGGGACAGGGCAAGAGAGACGAATAAGTGATCGAAAACTGGGTAGGAGGGCCTGGTCCTAAGACCCCTGGTTCTCAGCCACCGCGGGCCCTCCACCATCCTTGATCATTCCTACCCGCTTTCCGAGGCCAGGAATCCCTAGCTCCACAGCCCAACCTCTGCCCTTGCCTTGCCGCAGGCTTGGGGCCTGGGGATGGAATTTCAGCCTTTTCCGACAAGCAGAGGATGGGCTGCTCCCTCTCTCTCCAAATACTCAGAACATTCCTCAGATGGGACCCACTCTTCCTGCCCACCTATCCCACCCCTTGGTCATCTCTGGCACTGCCTCAAGAGGACAGTCACCCTCTAGGTGCTTGCAGACGGAAGTCTGCCCATCCTGTGCTCCAGGACCCCTGGCGCAGGATGGGAGGATGCAGGGCCTGTGTGGGGCTCCCTGACTCTTGAACGTTGTTGGCACCTCGAGGGGTCACCTACTTGGGAAGCCTTAGCTGTGTTTAAGGGAGGCCTAGGGAGAGGCTGGCAGTGACCCTGTGGAATGGGGCCTGAAGGCAGCAGCGGGAACCAGAGGTAGAAAAAGAGATGCAATGGAAGCACGGGGCAGGGACCCTGGCCTTGTGCACCCTTTACCCTCTAGCGCTGCTCTTTCCCATGGGCAGCTGGATGGGAGCCGTGTGCCCTTCTGAGATGGAGAAGACCTTTCTAATCCAGGGACTGGGAGATCAGGTACCCATTCTAAAAGTGGGGGTGCATCCAAGGCAGAGGAGATGGCGGCCACGGTCTCAGGGGAGGGGGGGACCTCAGGCTCTTGGTGGGGGACTCGGGAGACTCAGCTCTGTGGGGGCTCCCCACCTGTCCAGCTTGGGAAGCCATACCTTTCCGGACACTACCATCGGCGCAGGCATAGTCCCCAGTGCTGAGCAGGAAGCAGGCAGCTGCCTTCTTGTTTCTGTCTCGAGTGGTGGAGCGTCGCAGGGCCCGGCGCTCCTCGGGGGTCGGGGAGGAGGCCAGGGGTTGGGTGAGGCCAGCTCCCTCCTCATCAGACAGCACTGCGTTGGCATCGCCATTCTGCTTAGAGTCTGAAGGGGGCACACAGAAAGGAGGCTGCATGAGGGGCGACCTGAGCCTTGCTCATGGGTCATCTGGGGTCTCCCAGACCCAGAGTGTTACTTCCTCAACCTTGGGAGGGGCCTAGCATCTACCTGAGAGGCAGCATTGCCAGAGCCGGGGAGCAGAGGGCAAAAGGCAGGGATGCTACACTTGGTGTGAAGACTGACTTCCCTCCCAGCCTCAGCTTAGGGTCTCTCCTCAGGGATGAAGCCACAGTGCAGATGCCCTACAGCAGTGACTCCCCAAATCTGCCTGCTGACGGCTGCCCCAGGAGATCAGCCCAAAGCAGTCCGCAGACTCTACTTCCTCCTTGGGTCTGGCTCAGGCTGACTCTTGGATGAGTCTGCTTTCCCGTGGAGAATACCTGGCTTGCTAGCGGTGAGGGGTGGCACGGCAAGGGTTAAACCTATAAAGTGGCGTCCATGCTTTCTCCCTGGGTGACAGTAATTCTTGTTCACTAGGCATCTAGGCCAGAGTCCTGTGCCCAAAAGACCTAGAGCCCTCCGCAATTAGGGCTGACCTTTGTCTGGGGAGGATACCATGAGAAAAGCTCCGACGCAGCTCTCAAGTGCTGTGGGCTTAGTCTCCACCCCTTGCCTCTGTCAGGCAGTAGCACAGGTGAAGCTGGGCCCTTGGATCTGGAGAAGGGGGTGCTACTCTATCTGAAGACAGTGGCCCTGCCATTGGCCAGGCATGCCCTTACTGTGGCTGCTCTCAGGGTCAGGCTAAGGGCAAGGCTGATAGGGCCACAGTTAAGTGTACCTTGAGGAGCTGACCTAAGGACTTCTACGTTTTAATACTGGGATTCTCTTTATACCCTGAATGGGCCTCAGAGTGCAGCTGAAATTCCCCGGGAAATTAATATTCACAAATTAGGAAGCAGTGCCACTTTGGTGGGGGAGAAATGGGAAGCCTGATGGATGCTCTTCTATCAAGGCCTTCGGAAGACCCAGGCCCCTGACATGACCCCCGGGAATGAGTGGACCCGGGCATGTATGATAGGCACATGCCAAAGGCCATAGGTGAGTGTCCCAAGCTAGGCGCCTCTCCTGCAGGGTCAGTCCCACTTTGCCCCAGAGCTTAGCCTTAGTCTCCTGGCTCCAGTCCACCTCCCCATACCAGGAATTCCATACCTTTCCCAGGAGCCCAGCCTACACATAACAGTCAGGATGCCTTTCCCTCTCTCCAACCGAAGTTCACATTGCTGGGGATTAAGCAGTTTTCCATTTCCCAACTCCTGATTCAGGGGCGGAGATGAGCTTTCTTGGGATGGCCTTTCCCATCCTTGAGGGACAGGATTCAGATGCCCAGGCTCTCCCCTTCCAGGGCACAGATATCAGTTTCTTCCATGTTCCTCCCCTTCCCAACACTGTCTGGGCCACTCCTTCCTCAGTTCCTTTCCATCCCATGTCAAACCCTGAGCCCAGGACTCAATCTAGCTTGTGCTGAACAGAAGGCAGCCTCCCACTGCTATTACGTTATCACATTTATTAGGCCAAGATACCAGACTCGAACGTTTGCAAAGAAGTGATTCATGTGTTGATGTACCTTGGAAGAACAGCTGCCCTGCTCACTGGCTAATATTGACAGTACCTGACATTTGTAATGTGGTTCTGACTTCCCAAAGTACTTTCATATCTGTCATTCATTTGGGTCTCTCAAAGTCTTGAGGGTAGGATATGATATTATTCCCATTTTACAGGTGCCTAGAGAGGGTGAGTGACTGGCCTCAGGGCACACAGCACAGTGGCCAAGATTGGATTTAAAACCAGGGCATCTAATATACAGCCCCATGTACTGCCCATCACACCCTACCCTGGGTGGAATACTCACTCCAAAGATCTGATGTTCGGGAAGCTATCGGAGACCCAGCCAGAGGACAGAGAAATTCGGCCTCAACACTTTGCCCTCATAAAGGCACATCTTTATGCTTAGGGAAGCCCCACACAAAACACATGCCAAATCCCAAGGTCTGAGGTCCATTTGGAAACTCCCTAGGCCACTGGGGGAAAAGGGATTTTCCTTCCCAACCCCTAATCTCACCTGCCCGTTTCCTCTCGATCATACCCTCTTCCCGGGCAGGGGGGCTGGTATCACTGCAGGTGCTGTCCCGGGGGGAAGTCTCCTCAGACTTGCAGTACATGGGTGACTCCAGCTGCGCCGGCCGTGGCACGTGCTTCTTCCGTTTCTTGGGCAGCTTCTGCTTGGCCATGGCCAGGGAGTAGTACATGCCGAAGTTGTTGACGATGACAGGCACCGGCATGGCGATGGTGAGCACGCCAGCCAGTGCACACAGTGCCCCTACCAGCATGCCTGACCACGTCTTGGGGTACATGTCTCCGTAGCCCAGTGTCGTCATGGTGACCACAGCCCACCAGAAGCCAATGGGGATGTTCTTGAAGTCGGTGTGGTCATTACCCCGAGGGTCGGAGGGCCTGGCCCCAATGCGCTCAGCGTAGTAGATCATGGTGGCAAAGATGAGCACACCCAGGGCCAGGAAGATGATAAGCAGCAGGAACTCATTGGTGCTGGCCCTCAGGGTGTGGCCCAGCACGCGTAGCCCCACGAAGTGGCGTGTGAGCTTGAAGATACGCAGGATGCGCACGAAGCGCACCACGCGCAGGAAGCCCAGCACGTCGCGGGCCGCCTTGGATGACAGGCCGCTCAGCCCCACCTCCAGGTAGAAGGGCAGGATGGCCACAAAGTCGATGATGTTGAGCAGGTTCTTGACGAAGTCCAGCGTGTCGGGGCAGCACACGATGCGCACCAGGAACTCCAGTGTGAACCACAGCACACATACGCCCTCGATGTAGGTCAGGATGGGCTCTGTCTCTACCTCCCGCCGGAAGTGCACGCTGGTGATGTTCCCTACGCGGAGGATCTCTGTCACGTTGCGGTCGATATTAAAGGCCTCATGGGTCTCCAGGCAGAAAGTGGTGATGGAGACCAGGATGAAGAAGAGAGAGGCAAAGGCCACTACCTATGGGCAGGGGAGGAGAGCAGGGGGCAGCTGTCAGACAGGGATGGATGGGCCCAGCTGGGGACGTGGACTTCTGCATGAAGGTTACCAGGAAGGGCATTCCAGAGTGAGAGGTGGGATTAACGTATGGAGTCAGGGCTGGAAGTCCCTCCTCAGAGGGTCTTTATCCATATGCTTGGGGGCTCTCGGGCAATGTTTCCCAATCTTTGTCACAAAAGATAGAAGCTGCTCTTGGCTGGAAACACTGGTCAGGTATCTACAGCTGCTAGACCTGCCTTTGATAGCTCTGCCCACCTCTGACCCATTTGCATTTTAAGGCTTCTCAAGCTGCAATGGGAATCTTGTTACAATGCATTCCTGATCCAGAGGCTTGGGGCAGGTCCTGTGATTCTGCATTTGTAATAAGCACTCAGGTGAGGCTCTGTCCATGCACCACAGTTGCAGTAACTGGGCTTTAAGGCAATGGTCCTCAAAGTATGGTCCTGGACCAGAAGCATTAGGTCTCTGGTCCTTTGGTTAGAAACACAAATTTCAAACTTGACCTAAAGCTACTGAGTGAGAAATGCCAAGGGTAAGATCCAGCAATGTTTTAACAAACCTTCTAAGTAATCCTAATGCACACTAGTTTGAAGTCCACTGTATGAAGGAATGCTCCGAGGCAGGTTGCTGCAAGGAATGACCCTGGACCACTTTCTGCTGGCTGAGCCTATTATCCATAGTCTCTTCTCCTGCCTCTCACCTTAGGATGTCCCCGCTGACTGCCTAGATGGTGAGGAAGCCCCTAAAGGCAGACAACATGCACCATGGCAGTTGAGAGGGTGGTCTGGTCAGAAGAACCAGTCTCACTCCTTCCCACAAACTGACATTTCCTGGAACTCTGAGCTCCAAAGAAAAAGGAACCATACGCATCAGCATCAGAGTGGCAGGGGCTGATCTCGACAGCTGCTGGGATCTCGGCTAGAAGGATGACAGCAGCACTCGGCAGAGGAACGGCGGCTGGGTTTAAGTGTCCAATCATTATGAATGGAGATGAAATGCATGTGTAATAACACCAATTATGGAGGCTTCATGTGTTATTCATGCCGTGCCATCCACCACTGTCAGGATGCCCACTGATGGGGTCCAGTCTCATGCCTCCTGCTGCCGCCTGTCCTGCACGATGGCTGGACTGGGCTTCCTCCTTGACCAGACGGCTGAGCCTAAATAGGTGGGTAAGGGAGGTCTGTGGCCTCATGGTACCATTTGGTAATCCCCATGCCTGCCTGACCTACCCTGACTTCCACCTGGCTGTGTGGACAGGCACTGGCATGTGCCCGTCCCCTGTCCAGTGAGGACTCAGAGAGGTTTTCCTCCCTGGGAGTCTGCACTGGGATGGGGAGGGCATACCTTGTTCTTAGTACTGCAAAACACCAATGAAGAATACAAGGGGACCTGGGAAAATGAAGCAAGCAGCAGCACCTCCAGGGCTACTGGAGCAGGAGCAAGTTTGAGGGGGAAAATCTGGGAATGAACAGTTATCAGCTGTCTCTTCTGTGCCTGGTACTGTTAAGCACTCTGTATATGCTTCAATCGCCTTCAATCCTCCCAATGACCCTGTGAGGCACGCCTCATCATCCCATTTTATGCAGGATGAACTGAACATCAGAGACGTTACATACTTGCTTAAGGTCACACAGCCTGGAAGGGATGAAAACCAGATTTGAACTCAGAACTGTTTAACTTCAAAGGCTGTACCTTTTCGTCATACCACAGTGTTTTCACCACCTCCCAGGCAGGGTCAATTCACAGGCCTGGGAAAGCCATCTCTGAATCACTGATCCTGTTCCCAGTTAGCTCCCTGATGACTGCTATTTCACCCGTGGGAAAGTGTGCCTCAGGCTTAGGACAGGTCCCCCATCACACACCTCACTGTACCTCATTCGCACTTTAACTTGGATGGGTTGATCAGAAACAGCATGGAAGGAGAAGGCTAGGTCCAGGGGGTGAATGGAGATGAAATGCATGTGTAATAACAATTACACAGACACACTTTCCCAATTTTACGACACTGCTGGAGTTTTTCCTGCTTGCTTCTCCCCTGTGAAGGTAAATTTAAGTTCCTTTTCTAGCCTCATTCTTCCTCCTCTGAGAAAGGGGCTGCCAAGTCAATACAGGCTGATATGGGCATTAAGTAAATGGCTCCAGCCTGTGGGCTCTCCATGGCCATCCCTAGGTGGGCTGGCAAAAGTGCCTGTCCGTGGCCGTGGCCATGCCAGGAGTCCAGTCCTGGCACCACCCTCTCTCCTGAAAAACAGAGTGGTTGAGGTAAGGGGCAGGGACAGCATATCCCAATTCTGCCAGGAACCATGGGAAGCAGAAGCTGGCTCTCTGAGGAAAAGTTAGCCAGGAGAGTAGGCCCACCTGGGAAACTGAGCGTGAAGTTAATTAGTGACTTGGAAAAACAAGTTCAGGAAGAGCTGCCAAGAGGGTGAGCAGAGGGAGGGAGGGAGGGAGGGCGGCATGGCCCCGGCCATCCTCTCATAGCAGGGCCAGGGAGCCTGCCTTGCTACCCTCCTCAACTGCCACCACCATGGGCTCATTCTGCAGCAGGCAAGAGAGTCCTTCAGGCCCCGTGGGCACCAGCCACATCCTGGATTAGGGAACAACCCCCTGGATTCCTGTCTGTCCATTCACCTTTGCTTTTTTTCAAAACACAGAACTGTTCCATCTACTATTAACTGCTACCCCTCACCTCCACCCTGAGAAGAGGAGGGGAGCTAAAGAGTGGTCATGTGTGCCCATTTTTTAAGTGAAATAGAGGCACAAGAGAGGGCAGATGATTTGCTCAGGATCACACTGAGGCCAAGTCTCCTGACTCTCAGCTCAAAGCTCTTTCCAATTGGCCCCTCTGACCGAGCAGGTAGGTATAATCCCCTCCTCCTTTGTTGAAACCTTGGTGGGGCCTCAATCTCCACTGTGGCCTCTCCAGGGCTGGGGCAGCAGGCACTCAGCAGGCCCCAAGAAGCCCTCACTCCCCAAGGAGACAGAGATGCGGCCTGAGCTGTGGCACCTTGCTCCAGGTGGGTCCTGAGGTTACAGGTTCCCCTTCAGGGCCCAAATTATTCCTTTCTGCCCTATGTTGCTCCCCAAACTGAATTATTTCATAAGTGGTTGACCCTGCTTGCAAATGGTGCTTTTCACCAGGCCTTTTCACCTGTCCACACTGTGTATCCACTGTGTATCCCTGTGGGCAGGGATACACAGCTCCCTTGACTAGGGCTTCCTAGCACTAAAGGGGGCCAAGGGAAGAAGAGGTGGTTGCAGCAACACCACCCTGCTTAGAGGCCAAAGCCTCAGCCTTGAGCCTTCTATTCATTCCCCACTGGACCATCCTGCCATCCTACAGAGCTGGCAGTGGAGATCCGAGCCTCCCTCTCATGGGCCCCTGTGCTGACAGACTAAGGGCAGAGAACAGCTAAGGAACCCTACACTAGAAGCCTTGGGCCCGGGTTTAGACTTCCGGGATTCCTCATCCTGGCCCTGCCACTCAACCAGGTAAATGAATGGTAACTTCTGCACCTGTTTCCTCTATATAAAATGGGGACAGTACTAGTACCCCCTTCACAGTGTTACGGTAGGATTAAATGAGCTTCTACATGGTAAATGCCTGGCACCCAATAGGTGCTCCATAAAATGGAGATAAGAGTTGAGGAGGGTTAGGGTCCTCTGCGTGCAGCTTTTGAAGGTGAGCCGAATCTGGAGCCAAAATACCACAGAATCTTTGCTTTTTAGAAGTGAAAAACGGAGACTGAGAAAGTTATCCAGTTCAACTCCATTTCTGCTGTTTTACAGATGAAGAAACTGAGGCCCAGGGAGGAGTGCTTGCTTGTCCTGATTTTCATGGCTGAAGCTGCTAGTTCTTTCCACCACAAAGGGCATGGATTCTGCTGGAAGGCAAAACTTCCCAAGTAGAAAACTGCCGGTGAACTGGCTCCACCAGGGGCAGCTCCTCTCCTGCTGGGAGGATGCAGGAGGGTCTCAGCACCCTGGACAGCAGGCTCCCATCCTCTAAGCAGGAGAGCGCCTCTCCTCCCAACTCCCTGCGCCCCCTGGGCTCCTGTGTCCTGTTGAAAACTCACCCCTCTCCAAAGGCCCAGTTGTTCAGCCCTATTACCATCCTCCTCCACCAACCCCACCGTTGGACTGTCCCTAGAAATGTAAAGCCACACACTTCTGGGTTCAAGTTGGGCTCTGCTACTGACTGCATATGAGACCTGCATGAGTTCCTTAACCTCTCCAAGCCTTAAGGTCTTCATTTATAAAGTGAAAAAGGGAGCGCCTACCAAGTACAAGACACCGTGTTTGGGAAAATACCAGACAACCACCCTTGCCCCGGGACCTTACATTCTAGTGGAGGCCGACTTTAACAAATAAACAAGCAAAATACACAGTATGTCAGGTGGTCTAAGGGTTATGAAAAAAAATAAAGAGAAAAAGGAGATAACGGGTGGGAGGATAGGGGAGTTGTTTCCAATAGAGAGGTCAGGTAAGGCCTTAATGACAAGGTGACACCTGAACAGCCCTGAAGAGTGAAGGAGTGAGTCATACGAAGAACCGGAGAGTTCGAGGCAGAAGGGATGAGTAGTGCAAAGGTCCTGAGGCTACAATCTGCTTGCTATGTTTGAGGGGATGAGGGTAGTATCTACCTGGTACAGTTGTTTTGAGGATGCAAAGAAATGATACTTGTAAAACTCAGCACAAAGCCTAGAGCATTCCAGGAATCTGGCACAGGCTGGGTCGAGGGGAGAGGTGACAGACACCAATCATTGGGAACTGCATACAATCAGCGGGGGCAGGGGAGGAGAGCCCAGGAAGAAGGGCCAGGGAGACAGATGGACAGATAAACATAAGGAGACTCAGGCCCAAAAACCTATATTAAGGATGAAGTGTAGGAGAAGGGAAAATTGAGAACACAGCCAAAGACACTGGCAGAGTAAGATCTGTGGGGATGGGGTGAGGGACTGAGGGACTGAGCCTTCCAGGGAAGCAAGATCCTTGTGCCCAGGCAGTGCTGGAAGACAGTGGGGCAGTCCCGGGGGTAAGAGGCAGGAAATGAGAAGGTCTGCCAAACAAAGCATCTCTGAGCTATCCCTGGCTCCTGGTTGAGGGCCCGCACTAAGGCCTAGGTCCCAGCAGAGAAACATCCCCTCCTCTCCCCTCCATGGGTGCCCCTAGGAACAGGACCTGGCCCTGCCCCCACCCCATGCTGAGCCAGGACCTTCTGGTCCCAGTGTCCAGAACCCACCTCTACCTATGCTCACCCTCCGACGAGCCAGCACTTGGGGCCTCTCAGGGCCTCTGGGTTGCCCAGAACGGATGAGTCCCTACCCCAGAAGGAATTCAGTCTAGCCCGGATCACTATCCAAGAACCCGCTATTCAGTCAAATGGAATTCCTGGTTATTGCCCACCCAGGCCCCACACTGTCCAAGCTCTGCTTGAGCTGGTCACCTGACCAGAAAATTCCCCCTTTCCCTAACGCTGCATATGGTTTAGCTCTACCCACATGGAAATTTTATTTATTTATGTATGTATTTATAATGTGACTCTTTGAAAAAATTATTTAAGGCACTAAGTCAGTATCCTACAAGGCCCACCCAATTCAACTTCTAGTTCCTTGTGGAAGCCTCTCTGAACACCTCCTACACCTCATCCCACGTAGAGGTGGGATTTATTGATTCCTCCTCTCACTTCCTATTGAACTTTATTTTCTTACGACTCCTGTGGCACCTCTCATGATCCGTCTTGTATTACTGTTGCCATTTCTTGTCACCTAATTTCCCTTGACTGCCACTTACTCTACCCGACTTGGCTTTTGTCAGGAGCATGGCCCCCTCTGACTCATCTTTGGATTTCTAGAACCCCACATGTGTATGGTAAGTACGCAGTAAGTGTTTTCTGAATGACTGGGGCCAAGGTGACCCCCTGCTCTCTCTCCTGGTCCTGATGAGCCTGTCAGAAGAAGAGGTCATCAGCTCCACTGACTGGGACAAAGTGACAAGGGTATATGCCCAGTAATACCTCTAGGTGCTGGGGCCCTAGGACCTCTGCTGCCCTCCAGAGCGAGCCAGGTCCACTTCCAGATAAGGACCCCTGCTAGGGGCCAGGTGACCACCCCTTAGCCTGAAGAAAATTCCAGCAGGGAGCAGGGCCAGAGGTCATGGCAAGTCAGTTACGCACAGGGAATGAGGGTTGCACAGAGCTCTGGTGCCCAGCATCCCAGGCTGACACTGCCCATGGGTGGGGGTGAAGGGCCCAGGGTCTCCTACCCTCAAGGCCAAGCTGCCTGGCTCTGCTCCTGCCTGCCTGCTCTTCCCCCGAGTCTCCAAAATAGCTCGTTTACTTTCTCCCCTTCCCTACTCCACACCCCACCCCTAATGTGACAACCAGAAACACCTCAGCATTCAGAGACAAGATGTTCAGAGACAAATGTTGATCTGTTCAGAACAAGAGAAGAAAACAAACCCAAGAGGAAACTGGGAGGATGCCCTGCGGGCAGGGCCTGCAGGGAGTCCTGCAGCCTTCAGCCTGGCCCCTGCCTGCTCCTCAGGAAGGAGGTGGAGGGGCTGCCCCGGGCAGGCTTGGCACTGCCCTCCTGGGGAGCTCAGAAAGCCAGGGTACTGCCCTCCTGGGCTCAGGTTCCTGGTTCACCCTAGCTCAGAGGGCACAGCATCAGTGAGTCCTGGCCCTCACTTTAAAGCCTGTCGTGATCACTGACCTGTCCCCCAGGCAATGCCCGGACCAGAGAAGCCAGGGAACTTCAGAAGCGGGCAGGCAGGAATGCAGCTCTGCTCCTTTCCTAGAAGGCCTTGGTTTCATGCTCTGCCTGGGCCAGGGAGCTTCCCTTAGTCTTTTCTCCCAGCCACGCCTCCCTTCATTTTTCCTATGGAAATCCCACAGTGAGAAGAGAGGTTATCCTTGACCAATTCTGGGGAGTGAGAAGTAAAGGAACAGATAAGAGCAGAGTGGAGGAAGAAGCTCTCCAGTGAGGGGCCACCCTCTGGAAACCAGAGATCCTCTCTGGGCAGGAGCCAGAGGCCATAGGAGGAGCACAGACTTAGATTGATGAGACCTAGGTTTGGATCCTAGTTCTACCACAAGTGGTGCGACCTTGAGAAAGCCCCACCAGGCCTGTTTCCTTATCTGTATACTGATACACAGATGTTAACAATATCTGCCTCACCTAGGCCAGATGAGTAGTAGCAGAAAGCACAGGCCAAGCCTCCCACATAGTAACTGACACTTAACAAAGGGGAAGACCCTGCTGGAGCTGCCTTCCTGGAGCAGGGAGTTCCTGTGGGTCCCCTCCTCTACTCAAAAGGGAAACATCACAGGAAAAATGTGCTGATTTAGCCAAAGGAGAGGAACTGTAATCCTTAATAAGGCTGATAGCTGAGCTAAAGCCAGCCCTGCCCTGGAGACCTTGGAGACTAGGGTAGGGGAAGGGCATCCTGGCCCCATTCTCCAGGCCTCTTGTCTGCTCTCAGAAAAGAAGGTGCAGGTTTCTAAAGTTTCGGATGCTGCCAAACCTCCACTGGGCCCCCTGAGGCTGTGAAGTCTCCACGGTGAGCCTTCACTCTGCCCTGCCCCTCGTACCTGTTCCCAGCTCAGGCCACAGAAACGGAACCACAGCAGCAGCTGCCCATGGGCCCAGCACAGTGGAGCAGGGGTGAGCATCCCAGTCCAGGAGCCTGCCTGAGCGGAACAGCTCCTTGGGCCAGGCCTGTAGCTAGGCAACAGGCTCTCATAATCAGCTCAGTTCACTTTCCATTTGTATCGTTTTGCTCCTGTCATAACGCACTACTCAAATGACCAGGTTGCTGTGTGCGAAAGGACGCCTCAGGGCAGAGCACTGCTCCTCTCTCCCTCTTCGCCCACCACCCCACAGTGCTGCGGGCCCTTCCAGGGAGGAGGTAGCTGTGAGCGAGGGAAGGTAGCACATATACCGGGGGGAACAGGGCTGGGAAGGATGGGACAGTGTGACAAGCCAGGGGCAAATGGAGGGGGGAAAGTGCAGCCCCAGAACTCCCCGCATGGCATAGTACCCTCAGGCCTGGAGGGGTAATACAGTAAGTCTTCCTTCTGACGTCTCCATCTGCCCCTGGGTTTTCTGATGTCATCCACAGGAGGTACAGAACCTCAGAAGGACATTTCTCAGGCTACAGTAAGAAACAAGCTCTCTGCCTCAAAAACAGCCTAGTTCAGTGGAAAGAAGGTGTTGTAATCACAAGAGCAAGGGCTTGGGAGTCAGGGACTCTGGCTTTGATTCAAAGCCTGGCCACTATCTGGCTGTGTGATCTCAGGCAAGTTGTTTACCTTCTCACAGCCTCAATCTATTAAACGGGGATAATCACCGGGTTTTAAGTTTATTGGGAGGATTAGAGATTAATGTAAAGTATATACAGCAATGTATCTGTCTGGGGTGCTCAATAATGAGCAGTTATTCATTAATTTGTAAAAATTATGTATTCCCACTTGTGTGTCCCGGGAGCAGGTGAGGGTTGCCTTTGCCTGGGCTCCTGAGCAGGAGGCAAGTCCTCTTTTAGTGCATGTGTTGGCCAGAGCTCCATCCAGATATTCACATCAGGATGAACAACCAGAAGGCTGGAAACTAGGGGTGGTTTCCTGCCTCTGCTATTAGTTAAATGTCTTTGGCAAGAAACTTAATGTCTCTGAATCCTGGTTTTCTCAATGTTTAAATGGAAGAATTAACCTTGCTCCATCATAAACTTCAAGACCTCAACTGGAATGCCTGGGCTGATGTGATTCCATGTCAAAGGGGCAAAGCACCCTGGGTTCCTGGGAAGACTTCCAGGGGCAGGCCAGGCTCTGAGCTTACTCAAAGAGGCCCCCTGGCTTGGCCATTCAGCAGTGAGTTAGGAAGAAAATAAACTCAATGATATGTGGGGTGCCACCTGGAATTCCAGAGGGGAAGAAGAGCAGGTGAAAAGCCCCTAGAAGTCCCAGAATGCTCAGAAATAGGGCCTAGCTCCCCTAACCACCTCATCTCATCCCTGCTTCCCTGGTTTGTCCCCTTTCCCCATCTCTATCTCTATCTCTCCTCCCCGACCCCCAACTTTGAAAGAGTCTGAATGATGTGTGCCTGCCCTCTCTCCCCTAATGCAGACAGCCAAGTGCTAACACTAGCAAGGTTAGTGACCTACATGAGAAGTCTGTAGAACTCACAGCAGACCCAGGCCAGGGGCATCACTATGCCCTCACCTTCTTAGCCAGTCTCAGGGCTGCAAGGAAAGAAACCCAGACAGTTGCCTCTAGCTTTGTTGTCAGTCCTGAGAAAGATCCCTGCCTTCTCGTGGCTGCCTGCAGCCCCAGCCCGGTATGCCATGGCCCCTGAGACCTCTGCTCCTCCCTTCTCTTCCAGGCAGAAGATGCATCTGCCCTGGCCTGGCATTTATGCCAGCCTGGCTTTTCCCTGCAGGCCTGTTCCCCAATTCCCTACCCTGCCTTCTTCTATGACTAGGAAGGAGTCCAGCACAGGGGTGCTGGGAAAGGGAGGGTGCTCTGAGACTCATTAACATGACAATTTGGGATGCTGGAGGAACCAACCAGGTTCCACAGCAAGCAGCAGTCCCCAGACCCAACAAGTTACATTGCTCTTTCCTGTCTCCCAGACAGACTCCAGCCAGGCTTTAGGCTGCTGACCATGAGATCCGACACCAGCCCCCAGAGTTTTCTTTCTTTAAAGAATCTAAAGCCATCCTTCAGGGATTTTTTTTTTTTTTTTTTTTTTTTTTTAGCTGTCGAAGCATAATGGGGGAAGCACCTCCCCCGTTCTCCCCTTTCACCTAAAGGAGTTAGGGAAACTGGATTTACTTGGGGAGGAGGCGGTAGGTCTTGCCTAAATCAACCTGTGCTTCCCCCTTCCCTCATACACCCATTTCAAGCAGTAACCTGAACCAGGGCTTTCTGGAAAGACAGTTTGTGCTGCAGCAGAAAGAAAAGAAGCGGCAACAAAAATCTGGTATCATCACCAGGAAGCCTGTGGCTGGCCACTGGCCGTGGGAGCCTGCAGAGCCTAGAACGCTAGGCCCTTCGTGTTTAATTCTCCTCTCACCCCAGCTGAGGCCAGGACATCCCAGGTGTGCAGGAAGCCTCAGGGGCATGGTATCCTCCCTGGCAGAAAGAATGCCTTTCTTAAACCTGGAAAGGAGGCCGGATTGTGGTCTCAGCTTTGCCTCTTCTGAGCTTAAGATGCTGAAGCCTATATCCTCCTCTCTGAAGTGCATAGTTGTGAGCACACTGAGCTGCTGGGAGGATGTAAATGAGGTGGCACGGCATGGAAGCATCTAACAAAACCCACCCTAGTTTCCTTCCTCTCAACCCTGCCTGCCCCCATCAGAAGACCAAATTCCAGCTCTTCCAGGACCGTAGTCCTGTGTGGAGTGGAGGGCAGCTGAAGATAGGGCAGCCTGTGCAGACCAAAGAAGGGGGTGGAGGAGCTGAGCTGGGCACCCCACTCACTGGAGGGGATGCGGCAAAGCAGGCAGCTGGGACTGGGTCCAAGTAGTAAGTCAAGTGTGTGCAATCTCCTGATGGAGCGTGCAGGGGAGAGGGTGGGAGTGTGTAATTCCCCTGCGAGCCACGGAGGGGGGTTGAGAGGAAGGCGGGAACAATCTGCGGTGGTAAGGTAAGTCAGGCTCGGTCCCTGCTCCTCCCGGCCCCTACCCACCACCCACCACGGACCCCTTGCAGACCCAAGATGGGGAGACACGGGCTCCTGCCACTCACCCTAGCGGCCCGGGAGGAGTAGGGATCCTCGAAGAGCGCCCACATGCGGGGCTGCCAGCCGCGGCAGCCCCCAGACCCGGCGCCATGGCCCGCGCCTCCCTCGTGGGGGCCCAGTCGCTGCAGGGCCAGCTCCCGCTCATCGTCGCCGGCCTCGTCGCTGGGCCCCGCGCCGCTGCCGCCTCCGTCCGGGCTCTCGAAGATGTCGAGCGCCTCCTCGGCGTCGCGGTGCTGCCGGTAGGTCATCCAGCAGCAGGGTTCCACGTCGGTCTCGTCGATGCCCCAGAAGGTGAGCTCCTCTTCGAAGAGCGGCCCGCACACGTCCGCGGGGCAGTGCAGCTTGCCGGTGCGGTAGTAGTTGAGCACGTAGGCGAAGACGCCCGGGTGCCTGTCGAAGAAGAACTCGCAGCCCCCGCCGCCGCTGCTGCCGCTGCTACCCACACCGCCGCCATCGGTCTCGGGCCGGCCCCCGCCGTCGGGGTCGGCCAGCCAGGCGAGGCGGGTTCCCGGTAGGGTGCGCAGGGTGCTGCGGTAGGTCTCATGTCGCGTGCCGCCCACGTTGATGATGATCTTCTCCGACGCCTCGCCCTTGGCCATCTCCTCCTTCAGACATGTTTTGGACGGAGGCTTGTTCCCCGACTTGCGCCCGCGGTAGGAGGAGACACACACCGAGCTGATCATAAGAAGCGCTGCGGGGCTCCGGCTTGGGGCGGCCGCTGCCCTCCAAACACCCTTCCCGAGGAGGCAGCGTCAGACGGGGGAGGGGGAGGAGACGAAGAGGAGGCAGGAGGCGGTGGCGGCCCCCTCTGCGGCTTGGGCTTGCCCCTGCCTATCCCCCTAGGACGCGGAGCGGGAGGAGTTGGATTTCTCCGGTACACAGGTGGTTGGGGTTAGGGCAGGAAGCTCCGGAGAGAGGGAGGCGCAGAGAGGGAGGACCCGGGGAAGTAGAAGCAAGCACACACGCGGTCCCCCGCTACGACGGGACACACAAACGCTCTGGGCCGGGGACACGCCCCCGCCTTCACCCCGACCAAAGACGAGGAAGCGCACAGTCCACGCGCACCGCGAAGGTCCGGGGCGCTCGCGCTCACACGGGCCACCCTCCGGCTCCAAGACCGCACCAAGCCCCGGAATAGCCGGCTTCCCCGCAGCGGCGGCAGCGCAGCAGCAACAAGTCCTCCGAGCGGCTGCCGGGGCCAGGCCGACACTCTCACGGCAGCCGGAGCTCCGTGGGCCCGGGCTGCTTGCGGTCAACACGAGGCGGCGGCGGCGGCATGTGGCCTCTTCCCCCCATTCATAAATCCAGCGCCGGGCGAGGAAGGCAGGCGGGGCAGAGCAGAGAGCGGCGGCCGGGCGGGCGGGGGCTGCGCAGGGCGAGGCGGCAGCTGGAAAACAAGCGCGCCCGCAGGAGCGAGCCTCGGGTCCTGCGTCCGCGGCTGGGAGCTGCGCCGGACCGGGCGCAGCGCTGCGGGGGCCGCGCTGGGGCGGGGGTGCCTCAGACGGGGCGTCCTGCGCGGCGCCGAGCCTGGGGGGCGGGGCCGCTCTGGGGAGCCGGGCTCTGGGCACTGGCGAAGGTGTACCGGGGGCGGCGGCCGAGCGGCCAAGGACACCTGCAGGCTTCCCGGGCCGCGCGGAGAGGGAGCCTCAGCGCAACGCCCCGGCGCCTGGTTCCTGCGATCTGGCGGCGCTGGGAGCCACGCCATCTACGCGTCTGCCCATCTCCGGGCGGGGCGCCGGCCTTGGCTCGCGCGCGGCAGGGGGCGGGCGCGAGGTGGCATAGGGGAGGGGGCGCCTCGGCGCCGGTGGGCTGGGGCCCTAGGGGCTCATGGTCTCCCTCCGGCGCTGGCAGCGGCCGCCACGCCCCAGTGGCGCCTTTTCCTCCGGGGCCCCGCCTCGCCCAGACGCGCCCTTCGCGGGGCGGGGTGGGCGGGGCGCGGCGCAGCGCGGGGCCGATCCGACTCACTGCAGGCCCTGGCGACCGAGCGCAGTCTTCCTCCCCGGAGCCGAGCCCCAACCAAGCGCGTCACCTCCTCGCCGCCAGTGCCCAGCCCAGCGCGCCGCCCCTGCGCGCTTCCGCCGGCAACCCCTCCCGCCCCCCTCAGCCCTGCTCCGCGCCTCCCCCGGGCCCGCAGCTCCTCCCACCGCAGCCCGCTGACACCGAAGCGCTCTCGACCCCTGACCTCTAACCTCCGCCCGGCTCTTCTTGCTTCGTCCCTCGCCCCCTCCCCGCCAAGCTGGTCGCACTGTTGCCGTTTCACTGCGGCTGACGGAAGGCCAAGGAAGAAAGAGGGTAGAGACGCTGTCGCGAGGATCAGGCTGCCCTCTCCTTTCCCAGGGACCGTGTTGGGGCCTTCTGACCACCCCGCCCCGCATCCTGCGCCTCGGAGGCCCAACGTAGCCCAAGACACCCATGGTCTTGATGCTCTCCGCCTCTGTCCCAGCCACCAAAGTCCCCGCGATGGAATGGAGGACGGGGTGGCCTTGGGCAGAGAAGCGCTTCTTGTGCCGGATGGAAGGAAACCGTAGCTCTGGCTGTGTTCATCGCGAAATGTTTTATGGATGTGGAGTGGGTGGGTGGCCCTGAAAAGTCATTAGTTAAAGCCTTTGCTCGTCATTGCTCTGGGGTCCACATAGGAAATGCCCGTGTCCTGCCTCATGACCCCTTCCTGTTTCTACTCTTATTCTACCCATTACAATTTGACTTTGCCTGTGTATATGTCTCCTCTCCCCTCCCTAACCCTGAGCTCCTGCAGGCGGCATTGTGCTTTTTCATCTTGATAGCTCCCACAGTGCCTGCCTCTGAGAACCTGTTTGCTAAGTGATTGAGAAGCTGCCATACCCAAAACGTAGGCACCAACAGGACTTTACTGGCCCTATCCCAAGAGCAATTTCCAGATTCATTTGTTTTTGTTAAGTCCAGAACCTATTTTACATCTTCATATTAATCCCCATTGGGTTTTTTTTTCTTTTTTACAGCTTCAGGCAGCCTCCATGCCTGTCTGGATGATGTAAAGAGATCTTGAGGCAGAAATGAAAGGTGAATGACACACCTGCCCTGGACACCTGTGCACCTTCCCAGTTCCAGATCAGGCAGTACCTAGCTCAACTGAGAAAAACAAGACAAGGGCCTATGTGTGTCTCAGGAAAGGTTAAAAGCTCAGTGCCAATGCAAGGGATTTTTACAAGCAAAAGTCTCATTATTAATGAGGCCAGAAAACCAAAATGACAATGATCTTTGATGATCTGTACTGACACGCAGGGGAGGTGAGTTAATCAGAAACACACATTTACTGGCACCCCCTTTGTGCCCAGTCCCTGCTCCTCGAAACTGATGTTTGTATTTCAGAGTTTAGCTGTCTTTGAGTTTGCTGCAGTGAAAAGAAATATCCCAAGTGTGACTGGGAAGAGAAGACCCGGGACAGGCCAGAAACTGGAGTGAGGAAGAAAGAACCACAGAATATTAATGTAATGAATAACTTTCAAGTCCTATCTGGTCCGTGTCCTGGCAAAGTCCCTTGGGGTCTCTCCCCTGCTTTCCGTTCATCAGGATGACTGAGCTCAGTAATTGTAACAAAGGGAGTGTAGTAGGCAAGGGGACAAAACCCATAGTATCCCACCCCTGATTGACTTATTAACTCAATGAACACTTATTGAATACCTACGATATGCCAGAAGCAGTTCCGGGTACTGGAAATACATCAGTGAATAAAACAGCCACTCATCCTAGTAAATCTGCCCAACTGGTGCTTCCACTCTGCGGTGCTTGTGGATAGTGATGAGCACCTGGGGAGATGGGTAAAGGGAGAAAGCTGCCAGGGAAAAAGGAGGCCAAGAGGGAAGGGAGGAAGATCAGAAAGTTGGGACACAGGCATAGGAACCTAGGAAGAGCTGACAAAAACAGAGGGCCCAGCCTGAGAGAGGCAGCTGGGTAAAGGTGCATGGGGCCAGGACTCCCAGCTCTGTGCACTGACCAGCTCGGGAGAGGGGAGCTCAGCCTCAGTCCTGAGGCCTCCAGAGAATGCCTCACCCTTGCTGAAGGTTTATTCTAGAACTCTGGGCTCACCTGTTACGTGTACCTCTCTGAGGGAGTCGATATGCTGCAGTTAGCACTATGGGACTTGTCCCCATCATTTCTTTGTGTGAGGTCTTGGTGTTCCCTCAAAACACAGAGCCGGGGAAGGATAGGAGAGCCCCCTGCCCAGGCTACTGTGACACAGCCTACCATGGATGTGAGGGTGCTGCCCTCTGGTGGTGCTAGAACATCCTGGCTCCAGACCTCGCCCTGAGCTCTGGGGGCTGTGATGTGGGCAGATGGGGTGGCAGCTGATTCTGGGCTTCCTGTTGATTCCAGGACCTCAGGTACATCTTCTAGCCTAACTCTGCCATTGGGACTCTGCCTACTCCCTCCCTTCTTCATTCCTCCAAGACCTTGATACCTGACAGGCTTAAGCAAGACCACAAAGCAGCCACTATTGGAAATTCCTAGTTCCCCAAGCTTCTTTCCCTCATTTTCACCTTTTCTCTTTTGTCCTCTCCTTAGTGCCCTGGCTTCTTCAGGCTGTCAGGGAAGAGCACCTGTCTGAAAGCCAGTTCACAGAAGGTGTCAGCCACAGCGGGTTTCCCTCATCAGGGGTGAGGGTGTGGTGAAAGAATAGGAAGAGAGGGCCATGGGAGATTCTAAAGGGGCACCGATGGAGGCTGTCAAGCACCTGCACCCTTTCCAGGCCCCCCCTCCACCCGCATAATAAGGTCCTCACCCTCTGAGTGCCGACGCTGACCCTGTCCGTAGGAAGCTGAAAGCCTGAAATCAAAGCCGTTTACCCTTCCCCTTTCCCCACTGGGAGCTTTGTATGGGCTCAGCCTCTTTAGGATGACTGGAGCCATCCAATCTCCTCTCCATCTTCCTTCTTTGAAACCTGTTTGTGGTGAGGGGCTCCAGGCCAAGGCAAGGTTCTATCCATTGGTGCTCACACTTTCCCTTTTTGGTATTCTAGCTCCTGCCAGGGACTGACCCTCCTTCAGGTCCAGGCCAAGGAGCCAGCATCCTTTCCCAGCATGCCTCACTCTCTCCCAGCCTGGAAAATTGAATTGCTTTATCAGACTCATTAGAGGGTGATAGGGCCTCCCCGCTCATGGGGGAACAAGAGAAGGGAAGGCAAGAGCAGGCTGGCAGCCTCCTGTCTGCGTCTCAGCTCACTTCATCCTGCCTCCCCCAACCCCAAGCAGCCTGCAGAGACTTGCAGGCTCCAAATCAAATGTGAGAGCCTTCTTTGGGGGGAGGGGGGTTGGTGGGGGAGGGGCTCTGGGGAGAACCTAGCCCTAGTAATTCAGGTCTTGTGAAGATCAGTAGAATGGCTCTGCCTCAGGACTGAAAGCAGGGTTGGGTTGCTGTGGTAATCCCAGTGAAGTTGTATCTGGGGCTCAAAGGTGGCCTTTGAAGGCCCAGCTCTTAAAGAGAAGAGATCAGAAGCTCGGGCCTGGGCAGGGCTCAGGGCCTCATACACTATGGACCTGGAGTCATAGGGTTGGAGGGGACCTGAGTGTTAGCTCATGGACACCTTCCCCCCGCTTAGGGATGTCAGGCCTAAGCAGCAGCAGCGAACTCTGAGAGACGGAGCTAGGGCTGGTGTTGGGCCAAGGACAGAGAACGATACGGGGGCCACCAGCTGAGTGGACCCTAGAGGCCTCCTTGTTTAAGGCTCCTGGGCTGGGAACTCAGCCTGCATCCAGACAGCACACTCCCGCCACCGCGCCTGCCACATGCACGCTAGCCCAGGGTCCGGCTGGCAAGACCTCTTGACACTTAGCATTTCTCCATCTAGAAAAGTAGAGATTGCTCCCACCTGGGCTAAGTTCCAGGAAAAACTGGTTCATTCCATTAGAGGAGTTAATTAGTCCTGATGGGCCCAGTCCCCTCCAGCAATATCCTGGGGAAAGGGGAAGCAGGTGTCTGGAGAGACAGGCCAAACTCAGGTTCCTCTTGGGTGCTCCTGAAGTCCAGGGATTCTTCCCTGCTTGGGTCAGCCCTGGGCAGAATGGAGGGACCCAGAACCCAGGCAGCTCAGACCCAGGGACAGAGAGCAGATCCCCACTGAGTCTTTATGCTCTGCAGCCAGGACTGTGCCTGGCATGGATCAATCTTTGTAAGGGTTTGTGGTTGAATGACAGGCATAGTCTTCTCCCATCTCAAGGTTTCTTCCCACCTAAGATGATGTAATTAAAGAATGCAGCAGCGTGCCTGGCACCAGTGAGTGTGCCAGGAAGGGAGATGCCCAAGTCAGATTGTGACTGCCTCTGCGAGCCAGGGACTCTTGCCTGGTCCTTTGTATATTCCCAGTGCTCAGCACAATCCCAGGCACTCAAAATACCTGATTCATGCTTGCTTGATGCATGGAATTAATGAGGCGGGGGGTGGCGGGGGAGGAGTCCTCCCTGTCAGTTTCTTGCTGTGTGGCAGAGAGTGCACTAGATTGGGAGTCAAGAAACCCAGGCATTGGCCCCGATCTTCCCCTTGCTTGGTTGTGGGAAGTCTGGTCTTTTCCTCTTTGGGCCTCCGTTTCCCCCATTGTTGTACAAGGAGGTTTGACCAGATAATCACTAAGGTTCATATTCTGGTTACTATTGTTATGAAACAAATTACCCCTAGTATGTAGTGATATAAACCCAACAGCCATTTTATTTTGTTTATTATTTTATGGGTCAGGAAATAAGGAAGGGCTCAGTTGAACAGTTCTTGCTTAGGGTCTCTTATGCAGCTACAATCAGATGTCAGCGGGCTGCAAACATCTGAAGCTCAGCTGGGCTAAACGTTCAGTATGCTGTGTTCATGTGGCTGGCAGTTGACACTGGCTGTTGGCTGGAAGCTCAGCTGAAGCTGTCAACCTAAGCATCTGCAAACATATCGCCTCCCTAGCATGGCAGTCTCAGGGTGGTTGGCTGTCTTACATGGCAGCTGGCTGCCTCTAGAATGAGTATCCCTAGAACACCAGGTGGAAGTGGCACGGCCTTTCCTAATCTAGCCTTGGAAGTCACATAGCATCACTTCTACTATACCCTGTTGGTCACAGGAAGCATTTGCTCACCCAGATTCAAGAGGAGGAGCATAGACTCCACTTTTGATGGGAGAAGTATTAAAAAGAATTTGGGGCCAACCAACAACAAAGAAAACAAAAACAAAACCCCACAATAGCCTTGTGGTCTGTGGAATACTTTAGCCTTGGCCCAAGTCCCTATGACTGGAGCTGTCTGGTGGTGACTGCTGGGGTGAACATGATAATGTACAGGATCAGTGAGACCCCCACACTCTGGTACTCCCTTTCCTGGAGAGAGTTCCTTTTCTGCCTTCCTTCCTTGGCTTCTCTGGATTTTAGGCTGAAACTGTCCTTTGTGAATAGCTTTAGGAGATGGCTCATTGCATGGGTGATGGGGCCCCCAGAATGAAGTAGGCCCCATGGCCTTGCCCAGGATCGCAAGAAGGAAGGAAGGAAATATTTAATGAGCACCTATTGTATCCCCATATGGAAAGAAGTCGATACTGTATTCCAGTAGATGTTACTGATGAAGTTCATTTTTCCCTCATACCATCTCTAAGGAAGAGATTTTATTGTCGTCCTCCTTTTACAGATCAGAAAATGGAGATTCCAGGGTTAAAGTGGCTTCCCCAAGGTGGTATGGTTGGCGACAGACCCATGATTCAAACCACTCATGCCACCTGCCCTGGGGCAAACCTGAGGCAGAAGCAGTGGCCTCACCTGTCCTCCTGCATGCCCTTCTCATCCTCCTCTGACTGCTCCCTCCACCCAGGGCCCAAACTTAACCACTCACCTCCCCACCAGAAATGACCTGCTGTGTGTCCCAGTTCTGTGTCTCTAAGCTGACATCCCCTCAGGAGAAGGCTTCCATGCATGTGCAGGTGACTGATGACAAAGATCCCTAACACTCTAGAATCAGCCCATTACATGGGCAGCCAGACTCTCCCCACTCCCCATCAACAAGGGGGGCTTCTGTGTGCCCTCCCCTTTATTTGGGCAGATGCTGTGACCCACAGAAGATGGTAGAGGTACTGTGCCATTTTCCAGCCCCAGGCCTTAAAAACCTGGCAGCTTCCACCTCCTGTCTCTTGAAATGGTCTCTCTGGGGACCCTAAGCCCTTCAGTCAGAAGTCTGGCCAAGTAGCCATGCTGGAGAGGCAGTTGTAGGTGCTCACTCTGGCCGGCAGGCCCAGCTGAACTCAGTCTTCCAGCCATTCTCACTGGAGTGCCCGGCATTTGAGTGAATGTGAGGGCAGCTGCCTTGGACCCTCCAGACTAGTTCGCTGCTAGTTGAATATCACTGAGTGACCTTGGTTGCCACCAGAAGAGTTGCTCAGACGAGTCCTGCCTGAATTCCTTACTCAGAAAACTGCGAGATAGAATGGTTGTTTTAAGCCGCTCAGACTTGGAGTAACTTGGAACACAGCAATAGATAACTGGACCAACATGTGTTATCTCATTGAATCTATTTATTATGTCTGTTTTACAGACTAGGACATTTAAGCTCAGAGCGATTAAATGACTCGCTCAAGGCCTCCCAGGAAGCAGGAAGCTGGGTGGCATTTGAACTTGAACTTGAGAAGTATGACTCTAGAGCTCCTTGGAACCAAAGCCCTTGTTATGCTGCATCTTGGTGGATCTGTGTGCCCCTCCTGGCAAGAGGGCTTGCATCTCAACCAAAAACATTACCTTCAACCAAAAGACTGAATACTTGACAAGGAGTGACTTTCAGCACCAGGCCATTTCCTGGTTTGAAAGATACATGGGGAGATGTGGAGTTATAGGGCCGGTCCCCTCCCTCTGCCAAACTCAGGACAGCAGGGGCTGATTTTATCTTTATTCATCTATAGCTGGCATGGAGCCTGTCCAGGGTGGGTACGTAATAAATGTTTGTTCAACAAATAAACTAACCCACAAAGGAATAAATGACAGAGAGGAAGGCAAGCAGACTATGATCTGGCGAGAAAGGTTTTCCTGCCATCTGGTGGCTATTCCTGGAACAACACTTTCTATGGCAAGAGAAGAAAATGGCAGGTTCCTTCAGGGTCCTTGGCTGTGTGCGTCTGAGTGCAAGCAGCATCATTCCAGCCTGGAGCTGGGTGGGGTGGGGGTGAGGCCTCCTCCAGGAGCCAGACTTCTTGTTTCTTTCAATGTCGGTGCTCCTAGAGGGTGAGGCAGGAAGAAGAGCTTCCCAGCCACCAGCACAGTCCGTTCTTCACAGTGCTGAGTATTCAGTGGGTGTTTAATAAATGAATACTTGGGGCTGGAATGTTAGAACAGAGGTGATGTCAGATCCCCTAGTTCGTCTTTACCTTCTACTGAAGTTTGCAAGAGGGATAGCTATCTTGAAGAGAGGGGCAGAACTTTAGAATATGCCTGTTCCAGGGGAGCCCACCCCCCCCCCAACCCAGCACCCAAGAGAGTCCTGGTCCTTGCTGTCAGACCTCTCAACACTGGCACCTTCCCACCCCTGTCCTTCCCTGAGGTGGGCCTCCACACACCCCACCCTTGCCAGGCTGACAAGTATAGCTTTTCCTGGTAGTCAGGTGGGACAGGAGTTTCCCCTACAGGGTCCTGTAAGAGACCACCAAATACCATCCTAATTTCAGATGCAGTTTCACCTGGAAAAATGTAGCCAGCAAAGGGTCTCCCTTAGGAAACGGTTGCAAAGATGACAGGAAATTAGACATGTGGAATCGCTGGACCCCAATAGGGCCCTCTACAAGTGTGTGCATTGTTAATACCTAGGACAATTCATAGGAAAATACAGATATGAACCTGTGCACACTCCCCGCGCTGCTCCTCAGCCAGCCAGCACCCACAACCCCCCTCAGCAGTCCTGTCCACCCATCCCAGTCCAAGCTTTTCACCCCAAAGCTTCCCGCAGGATCCTTGGCCACCCTTCCCTCTCCCTCATTGCAAGAGCAGGTGAGAAAGGCAAGAAGGGTTTGGTAAGAACAGACACTTTATTGCACACTATGGTGGGGGAGAGAGGAAGAGGGGTCTAGGGTGACAATGCCTCATCCCCTCCCCTGGGCTGAGTGGTTTTGACCCAGGGCTCTGACCAGCCATGGGACACATGGACTTGAATTGTTCTGAACTTATGCCAGAACCCAAAGTGACGGCCTGGTGTGTATGCTTGGGTCTGTATAAAGCAGAGCTTTCAATGAGAAGAGGCCCTAGGCCCCCTCCCCCAGCCAAAGTCATCGGGCCCCAGTGAAGCAGCAGACCTCACATCTCAGGGCCTATTTGAAGGATCCAGGGATGCTCAGGGAGCCAGGTTCATTCTAACCAGTTTAGTTTCCAGCTCTTTTCACAGTGGGGAGTACTCTGGGGGAGTGGGGTGGGGCGTGGGGGTGAGGAAGGGCAGAAAAGCAGCCCCTCCGCCTGGTAATACTGCAGGCCTGTGCAGTGCCTGGGACCGTGTCTCCTGGGCCCCAGCCTCATGACCCACACAGGCTGACTCGGAGCGGGGGTTCTCCTGGCACTGGGAAAGCAGCAACCCCTGCACATGTATTGCTGGAGGGCAGAAGCTGACCTCACTGGCATTAACTGATGTGCCCTACCTGTTCAGCCCCCATCTGGGCCTCGGGCTTCATGTTGCCTCAGTGAGGAGGGCGGAAGTCTCCCTGAGCAAGAAGCTGGTGATGGGGCTGGAGGGCAGGCAGAGGTAGGGGATCAGGGGACTGTTGACTCTTTCAGGCACATCCCTGCCCTGGAGTTCCCTCTGCCTTCTGGTGGGCACTGTGTGGACAGCACCAAAGCCAGTGGGGGTGGGGACCCTGTGAAGGGACTTGGGGACCTGGTCCTCTCCTGCTACCTCCTGCTCCTCCAGGATTCTGGGGCTGGATCTTAGCTCATCAGGTGACCCCACCTGCCTTTGACTCCAAAGGCATCAAAAGCACAGTGGGGAGGGGGCAGGCGGCCCTTTTCAAACACTGTCAGGACTGCGTCAACGGCAAATGCAGCAGTGCTATGAGATCCCTCTTGGGGTCTCGCCATCTTAAGAATCCTAGTACTTTTCCTCTGGAGAAGAGCTAGCGATTCTACTGGGAACAGCAAGAAGCTGACTGGTAAATAAATTTGAGGATTTTTTTTTTCCCTTAACGCCCTCCTTCCCTGTTTCTGGCAAACCCAGTGGTGTGAAGGCAATGAGTCACCAGCAAGAAACACATGCCTTTCCCCGTAGCAGGGGGCTCCCGAAGCACCCTGCCGGCCCTGAGGCTCCCAATAGAGCCAAGAGGAGGAGGAGGAGGCAGGGGGAGGGAGCGTGGTCTTCAGGAAGGTGGTGAACACTGGGAGTCACAGATCAGCACGCTACACACACCCACACTCACGTATGTGCACACCATACACACAGCACGCACACACACACCCCGAGCTCTAGGCCCTACGTCTAACACACAGCGAAGACACAGCAAAAGGCTACAACGAGCACTAGCGCGCCCACACCTAGCAAGCACACAGCCCCAGCTCAGCCCCTCCCGCTGGGGCCTGGCCCAGCCACACGCTACAAAATTAAAAATATATCAAATATACAATGAAAATAGATCTGTACAGCACTGAGGATGAAAATAGTCCACCAGCCACAGTATAATATTGGGTTTGTCATTTAACAGCATTTACACCCACATGTACAGAGTGAATATACAATAGAAACAGAATATATAGAAGAGTATATATAGTAGAGTGTCTCTCCTGGGGCTCTGCTTTTCCTGTTGCTAATTCTGCTTGGGATTTGGCAAGGGGCCAGGTAGGAGGTGTTGTCGGGTGAGGGGGACTGCGGTGGGATGTTGTGCCCCAAAAGCTCATCTCTTTGGGGAGATGTGGGTCTCTCTCTCCCCTCAAACACTCAGGAAAGACAGGTAGGGCAGAGGGGGCTAGAAAGGGGAAGCTGTGGAAGAGGGATGAGTAAGGGAGATGGCAGGGTTGGGGGATAGACTGCTCCCAGGCTTGGGGGAACAGTAAGGAACTCAGGGGTAAAGGAGGGGACCCTGATTCTGGTCTGTCCCTCCAGGTCCTAAGAGCAATCTGAGCCACAAGAGTGACTTGCGACCCTTCGTGAGGGTGTCCGGGTTGAGCACTGTGGCCTGTTTCTGCCCTGCCCACCAGAGCTCTCAAAGATGGAGCCAGTATTCCCTCCTTTCTCCCTCCTTTCCTTCCTTCCCCCACCCCATCCGTCCATCCATCCATCCATCTATCCATCCACCCCCACCCCCCAACCCATCCATCCATCCATCCATCCATCTATCCATCCATCCACCCCCACTCCCCAACCCATCCATCCATCTATCCATCCATCCATCCATCTCTCTGCAGACATTTACTCTTGGGTCAGGTTCCTCCCTGGCTGCACTCTGAGAATGGGTTCTCTTCCAGAGGAGGCCCTGAAGGTAATGGCAGGTGGGGTCGCTGTTGTCAGCTGCAGCCTTCTGCACAGGCTGGCCTCCATCCTGAAGACCAGCCCTTGCCTTTGGCAGCCTCTACTGTCCACAGCACTGCCTATGGCACTGGCCACTGTGGGCCAGGAAGGCTTGGGAAAGGTTTCCAAGGTGTCTGCACATGATGTGCACACTGGGCGGCTGTGCTTGTGTAATAAGGAGAGTGAGTGGTGGCTCAAAGGGGCAGTGAAATTATCTGTCTTTCCCCAGGAGTGAGGCTTCCTGGGGATAAGCCTGTGAACTCCAGGGACCCCTGTTCCAGGGGAAAAGCTGCCACTAGACAGAACATTGGACCCCAGGTGAGGAGGGAGGGGAGTGTGCTTCACCATTGTGCTCCAAACCATCTAATTTGTGCTAGGAACCAACAATTTGTGCTCTGGAAACCTCTCCGTGCACTGTCCTTCTCTCTCCAGGAAAGAGGCAGAGGCCACCACTGTGGGCTGGGGAGGGGTGCTGGGGACAGGGAGATGGCTAAGCCCTAATTGAGGTGGGGAAGGTTCTGGTCCCGGTCACTGCACTCCCAGACAAGATGCAGGAGCACACACCACACACCCCAGGCAGGGCCAAGGACATGGGAAGATTCCACCCAGGGACCAGGGCAGAGGAGGTTCCTCACCTTCTGCTACCAAGGCTCATGCTGAAGCCAAGGGCAGCACATACCTCAGAAAACAGAACTTGGGGCTTCTGCCTAGGCCCTCCCAAGTCTGAGCCCTGAGCCCTGGCACACCTGCTCCCACCCTCCGCCTTGGAGCAGGTAGCCTCTTGGACCAGGAGCAACCCCGTCTGGGCTGGGCAGGATGGTGTCCTGTTCTCATGGCAGAGTGAGCCAAAGTCCACTCTCCTTCCCCAGCCCCAAGGCCTCTCACCACCACCATCTGACCCCACAGCCCTAAGAACTGCAGGTGGCAAGTTACAGGGAGAGAGGGAGGTGAGTGACTCCTGCAGTGGCCACTTGGAATCTCCCATGGACTGGGAAGCAGGCCTTATGGGTTGTTCCAATTACATGGCTACAATTTGGCGGAGGCTCTTGGAGGGCTAGATGAGTGGGGTCCTGAATTAGGAAACAGAGCTGCTCCCAGCCTCCTGCTCAGGGCTAGGGAGCAGAGTCTACTGGGACTGAAGAGGGGAGTGAGGCAGGGCAGACCCTCTCTTCTTGGGCAAAGGGCCTGGCCTGGGCCTGGTGGCCACCTCAAGAAAGAGGCCAGGCCTGGACAAGTGGGCAGGTTGAGCGTGGGGGGAGAGGCGGGCAGGGCTTGGGCAGTGGTCACAGCTCCGACTCAGGGGTGCTGGCCAGCAGGTAGCCGCTCCCATAGCGTCCATTGGGGTTACCGCTGGTCTCCAGGGGTGATGTGCTGCCGGGCCCCAGATAGGAACGGTGAGTGGGCATGGGGGAAGGTGCCTCACTGGGCACCTTGCTGAGGATGAAGCGGGTCTCATCGTTCTCCTCCAGGTTGGAGATGTCCTTCATCATGCGGCCCTTCTTGTAGGACACGGAGAGGGTGTTGGAGCCATCAGAGAGCAGGTGGAAGTGCCGCAGGACGAACACCACAGGGATGGGCAGCGTCGCCACGACGATGAGGGTGATCAGGAGTGCCATGGCCCAGTTGGGGAAATACAGGTAGCGCTCGGCAGCCTGCGGGTGGGCTGCCTTAAGGGCTGCTGCCGGCACTGTGACAGCCCTCCCCGCCCAGGCCCTCCAAGACTGCTCTCCTGCCCTCACCCATGGCCTTCCACTCCTCTCCCCTCCCACCATCCTGGCCAGGCACAGCCAAGGATGGGGGTTTACCTGGTCACCTTGGTGAAAGGGTCTAGGGTGGTTTCTCCTACTATAAAATGGACTAATTCCACTCCACAGGCATGGAGAGAGAATATGGGTTAGAAAGACTGGATAAGTGCATTAATCTTTCTGAGCCTCGGTGTCCCCGTTTGTGCTACAGGGATGATGCCACCTCTGTCTTTGGCTTGTTGTAAGATTGCGGTTTAGGTGTGAGGCACCTGGCAAGGCCTGGCACATAGCAGCTGCCCTAGAAAGGTGTATCCCTATCAGTGGTTGCATTCAAGGCCTGAGAAGATGCAAATGTCCCTGGGGTTTGGGGCCCCACCCCTCACCTCCTCCTTGATCCAGGCGCTGTAGCCCGGGGGCGTGACCCCCAGCTGGATGATGCTGGCTGTGGTGAGCACAGCCATGCATAGTGGAGACACGAACTTCCACATGTAGAAATAGAAGCGGTAGGGGCGGAAGCCCAGCATCTCCGTCAGCTCCTGCATGAACCTGCCAGGCATAGCAGAGGGTCCAGCAGTTGGCATCCCTCAGTCACACCTCCCTCTTCCCCCATCACCATCTCCTCCAGAAAGTCTTCGTTTCCCAGTCCCTCCCTCCTGGGCTCTTCTATTCTTCACATTCAGTGCTCATTGTGTGTGGTCTGGCTGGCCTCTGGGAAGGCTCTACTGTCCTCCTCTAACCTCTTCTGATTCCGTCACATCATACCCCATCCAGAGATATGATAGGGCCCACCAGACACACCCTGGGCAGGTGCACGTCTGTTTTATGTATAGACAGCTTGTGTGTTCAGGGAGGGGCCTAGCCCTTTCACACTGGCCTGGCTGAAGGCTCCCCCTGCTGGAAAAGCAGTAGAAGTGCACTTCTCTAGAGTCCAAAGGTAGAGAGCTGCCCTGACTCAGGGGTTTCTCACCAAGGGGTGAGCAGAATTCTGGAAGGCAGGCAGGCTTGTGCTTGAATGGCATACAAAAGAATCATCTTTACCTCAATAACCGCTAACTAAAATCTTGCATTACTTTCTATTATATTATGAATGCAAGCAAACACAGTAGTATTAACAATACCTGTGACTGTCACCAATAGATTACAGATATTTTCATATTACATCCCAGTTATTGAAAATATTGAGTCATCGCTGATTTTCATCACTACTTCAAAGTTACCACTGTTATTAGATCTATAGCTAGATCTTGTAACAATGCATTAAAAATAAAGTGCTCATACATTACTATATCACAAATTTTAAATGATATTTTGCTATTTTTCAATATAATAAGTTTCTTATATAACCCTACACATTTTATCTTATGCATTTAAAGTAACATACAGGGACATCACCAGACTGCCGAAGGAGTCCAGGACACAAAAATCAGCCAGAGTCCTTTGTGGCAGTGTCTTACAGCCCTGGCCCACAGCAGGTGGAAGCAGAGGAGTGTCCTTCCCCCCACTCCCTGTCCCCTCCTGTGCTCTCCTAGGAAGCAGACGGCCCCTGTGAAAGAGCCCCACTGCCAAACCAGGTCCAGGCATCAGGGAGGGTCAGACCAAGTGGGTTAGTGGAGGTGGGTCTTGCCAAGGACAAGGACAATGTGGTCATGGTCGATGCTGAGTGAGTCAGAGAGACCTAGTTCTAGAACTCCTGGGAACACGTATTTGCCCTAACATGAGGGATGAGGCCAAGAGTTTACAGTAAGTGTACAACTGCCCTAGGCCTAGGCTGTGAGACCCAATCCTTTCTTAGAGCTGAATCCTCTTACCCTGCACAACCCCAAACTTGGGGCCAAAATCATACCTCATCTCATACCCCTATCTAGGCCCTTACAATTGTGAACCAGGCTGCTGAAGTCTACACGTTCTTGGAGGGCAAGGGCCTCTTGTAGACCCACTAAGCCCTTCACAAAAACTTAACAGAGTTCTGAAGAGTTGGTACCCAGGAAAGGTGCTGTGGTAATTTAAGGATGATGCCAGGACCTGCACCCAGGACACCCAGTCCTCAGACTGGCTCTGTTTCTCCCTGGACAAGTGGCCTTAGGCAGCCATGTCCTTGCACTACACCTCAGTTTCCCTAAATGATCCGTAAGGGCACTTTCAGCTCTGCCATTGTGACTCTATGATCTGCCTCTCCAGGGAGTCATGATAGGACAGACCCCTCCTCCCATCCCACCTTTCCCCCATGTTCCTCTTACTTCTTGGTTCCATAAATCCAGGCCACAGCGATGTTCTCAAGGATGACGATGAGAGTGAGTGGCAGGGTGGCCGAGTAGTCATCGAACATGGTGACAAAGTAGTTTCCGGAGCGCTGGACGAACAACAGCCCCACGAGGAATGCAAAGACACAGCAGCCCACTACAGAGAGCCGGGAGGCCGGTTTGGGGGCAAAGGTGCAGGGTGGGCAGGGCCCTGGGGGTCTCGGGGGCACCCAGGCCCCTCCCATCACATCCCTCCCCAAAGCATGCCTGCAGCCCTCCTGCCAGCAGGCTCAGTCCTGCACGAGGGATCCAGATGCTCAGGTTCTGAGCCCCGCTCTACTAGTCGGGGAGCACCTGAGGAAGGCGTTGTGTCTAACTTTCATCCCATGCCTCTGCCCCAGCACAGGGCCTGGCCCGTGGCAGGTGCGCTACTTAATTGCTGTATTTAACTTAAATGATTCATCTGATTGTTACCAGTCTTTTTCTCCACCTCAGTTTCCCCACTTGAGAACAGAAAGATACCCCGCTTTAGGGATGCAGATGAGAGGTATCCCTCTATGGGCCCTAGATCAACGCAGCAAACCCCGAAGGGAACTGTGGACACAGCCCGGGACTGGAGTGACAAAGATGGAACAGGGCGCAAGGCCAGTGAGTGCCCCTGCCCAAGACGACTCAGCACCCACTTCCCAAGACGACTCAGCAGGCCCTTGGGGAGAGGGGCAAGTGAACTAACAAAGGGGCCTAGATGCAGGCCTCCCGGCTCATGTTTGCTCCAGATTTCCAAGTAGCTTTCTCTTCCTGGCTTGTGAGTGCTAATCACTGAGTGGCACAGCCAGGCTCCAGCTGTGTCCCAGTGTGGGGTGGAGCCTTCTGGGTGTGGGGTCATGAAGGACCCAGTCAGAAGCCAGAACGGAATTGTTGTCCACAAGGGCAGCCTGCAGAGCCTGGGCATGGGGGCAGGGAGGAGTTACCTGTGAACATCTCCTTGGGCACCTTGAAGGTGTCGATGATGGGCGTGGTGATGCCTGCCATGGTCCCGATCATGCTGCCCAGGCCCAGGTTGATAAGCATCAAGAAGAACATGACGGACCAGAACGGGGAGGCGGGGAAGTGCGTCATGGCCTCAGTGAAGGCGATGAAGGCCAGGCCTGTGCCCTGCACGGACTGAAGGTGGGGTGGAAAGCAGGGCCTGTGAGGTCACCCCTCCCTGGGGAGCCCACTGCTTCCTTCCCTCTGCCCTTCAAACTTTTGGAATAACTATTCCCTCTTTCACAGGGGTTCCCACCTCCACCTAAATCCTGTTGATTTTGGCCAGTGGGTCTCGAACTTTAGCAGGCATTGGAATCCCCTAGACGTAGCTCAAAAACACCAACTTGGGAGTTCACCTGTGGGACCTGGAATCTACGGGTTGTACCAGGAGCTTAGGTGATTCAAGTGAAGATGCTCATGTTTAGAAATACACCCAGCTCAGGACCCTGCTCCTCTAAGATGTCTTTCCTGATTGCTCCAGCCACACTGTGGCCGCTCCCAGCTCAGAACTTCTGAACTGCAGATCTTCATGCAGTGGTCTCAGCCTCGGCTCTCAATGGAAGCACACCGGAGCCTTTAGAAACACCGACACCTGGGTCTCACCCCACGGACAATGACTGGATTGGTCTGGGGTGAAGCTGGGTGTCAGAGTTTTTTTTTAAAACAAACAAAAATACCCCAGGAACTCTAATGGGTAGCCAAGGTAGAGAATCACTGCTTTAATGCTTGGGCCATGCTTGTGGGTCAGGTGACCACACACTGCCCCCTGTCACTTACACGTTGCCCTGTAATGTTCAGTGATTGTAAGGGAACATTTCTTCCCCACTAAGTGAGTGTATAATCTTGTCATTTGAATGCTATCGGAGTTGTATTGTATGAAAACACTGCTATAAACCTAGTTTAATTCAGAGAACCAGGCCATGCCCATGAGAACTGAGCAGGGTTTCAGAGAATGTGAAAAGGGGAGGTCCTTTATGCTGCCAGTTACCTGGGGAAGAAACCAGGGCAGTGGGCCCGAGATTGGGCTCTTTTGCTCTTGATCCGCAGGGAAAGGGTTGGGGTGTAGGATGCAGCTCCCTCAGCATTAGGATGGTACCATCCAATGGAGCTGACTTTTAACATAGAGCCCAGGGAAAGCACCCCCTTCCCCAGTCCCATGAAGGACAGGGTTGACCCAGGCTGATGGGAGCTGGCTCCGCCCCATGTGAGCCTTGGCTCCAGCCTGGTTCCCAAGATGCTGTGGGTATGTCCCTTTCCTGTTACCCCTTCTAACAGAACAGTCATTTTGAAAGTGTCCAGCTATGTAAGTATAAATAGAAGCAAGGTGTCCTAACATGGGCCTGAGCACTGAGGAGGAGTCAGCACCCCCAGCACCACCCTAAAGTCTAAGAGTCATCATGGCAGTGAGATTGGAATGGGGACAGGTTGGGGAGGGGCAGAAGCATCAAGAGGTGATCCTGAGCATGGGCTCTGGACCCAACTAACTGGATTTGGACCCAACTAACTGCCTCTCTGACTTACTAGTTATGAGACCTTGATCAAGCCCCCCATCTCATAGGCTACTCATCTGTAAGGTAGGGAACAATATGAATACTCAACTCATAGAGCTGTCTTGAGCGTCAAAAGAGATAGACAGCAACGGGCAAACACTAACTTCAACACTTCTTTGATGCACACCATGTCAAGGCACTGTTCTGAGTATATTACCTGTGGCAGTGACTGATGCACGAGAAGCCCACTCAGTAAATGGAAACATCGTCCCATACACTTACTGTGACTTCTGAGAGGTGTGTGTCTGCCCTACTTCTTGTCTAGGCTCAAGCCTACCTCTGGGCAGGGACTTTGGCCAATACCTTTCTTCCCTTTCACTCCCTCTGGACACACAGCAGATCCTTGCTTACCAAGTAAACTAATGACTACCTGTCAGCATCCTGAGGCCTGAGCCCAAGCTCCCGCCGGCCACAGCTGCTCTCTGGGTTCCTGCCTGTCCTGGGAAGGGCAGCCTGTCCCCGCACCTTGTCCAGCTCGTCCTCCAGAAGGCAGGGGTCAAGGCCCAGGGCTGAGAACTGGTCCTCCTTCACGGTCATGATGACATTGTACATCTCCATGTAGTCCTTTGTGGTCAGGTGGGAGAAGTTGACGTGGGGTGGGATGAGGTCCCGGCTCAGGACGTTGGTGTTAAGGTACCCTAGGATTTTCTCAGCATTCCTGCAGCACAAAACCGAGAGGACCAGGTAAGAAGGCAGGGGTGGGCAATGGGTGAGATCCTGGAGGCTCTTCCCAGGCACCCAGGTGGGAACCTCATGGGTCACTGACAGAGGCATCTCTGAGCTTGTCCCTGTGGCCCGGAGCTGGGGACAGAGAGTGCTCCTCTGATCTCCATTCCTCAGTCTGAGTGGAGGGGACCTCTCTCCCCATGCACACCTGCGCCCCCACCCCTGCCCACTCCCAGGTAAGGTAGACAGGGAGAAGGAGGGACAGGAGGAGAGATGCCACCTACTCGACCACACACTTCTCATTCATGATGTTGGCCTTGAAGCCCAGCACAGCAAACACCACGAGGGTGGCCAACACTGACGTGAAGAAGTTGATGAAGGACACCAGGGCGGCATCGAAGTGGCAGTTGTTGTCCTGCTTATTGTAGCTGGAGAAGGCAATGACACCACCAAAGCCCAGGCCCAAGGCAAAGAAGACCTGGGTAGCTGCCTCCCGCCACACCTGGGGGTCCAGCATCTTGTCCAGCTATGGCAGAAGACCAAGGCAGGAGGAAGAAAAGAGACACAGAGGGGATGGTTTTATTCATGTGCACACCCCCTTTCTCAGCCTCAACAGAGTTCAGAGGCAGCAGCCCATAGTGGTAAGAAGCTGTGTGAACTTGGGCAATTTCCCTACTCCTCTGAGCCTCAGTTTCCCCAATACGCAGATCACAAGAGTATCAACTTCAGAGGATGACTGTGAGGACTTGGTAAGACAACATAAATGCTGAGTGCTTACATAGTAATTTAACTGCTACCATGGCTTCCCATGCAGCCATCATACTAAGGAACATCGTCAAGGCCATCACATATGGTCATGTAGTACACAGCTCTAGAGAGTGCCATTCACTTGGACTACAGTGTGACAGGTGCCTCCTAGAGTCCTGCAGTGAACAGCTTGCACAGCAGCACAAGAAAACTGAGAATACCAGAATCTCCCTGACGCCTTCTCCACCTCAAACTCCTCTACCTCATGAAAGGAAAAAAAACCCAAACCGCCTGCTTTTCCCCACCATCACCCAACCTGAAGCACAGAACCTAGACAATTCCTGGAGAAAGGGCCTCCGCCTAAGCTTCCATCTGCCCTCACACCTGACAGGAGCCCGAACTGCAACAGCATTGGGATGGCATGGAGCAATTTCCAAAGCCCCTTTCCAACCTATTTTCCTTTTATTGTTTGTTCCTTGGGGCAGGGACCAAGCCTTGGACCCAGCACAGAGCTTTAGAGTCTCAGACAGATCCAGATCCAAATCCTGACTCCCATCTTTAAATGGCTATGAAGCTTTTGGTAAGTGGCACTGACTGTGTTATGAGCTTCAGATTACTCATCTGAAGAAAAGGGAATAGTAATAGAGTCTCGGAGTGAACGTGAGGATCAAATGTATAGCAACAAGTAATGCCTGTACGTAGTGGCACTCAATCCCAACAGAATGAGGCTGACCTCGTCAGGACAGGGTGTTTTGTGTTTTGCGGGGGTGCAGGAAGCAAGGATTACTATTCATGTTTTTAAAGGGTAAACTGAGACCCCAAAGATGAAATGACTTGCTCAAGGTAATGGAGCTGGTTAGTCGGGGCAGAGTGATAACTAAAATATAGATATTCTGGGCCAGGCCCCCGCCCCCGGCCCCAGCACCAACTCCTGACTCAGTTTTTCTATCACCTATACTCTTTAAAGCATTTTCCCCTGTGACCTTTGCTGCTGAGGTGAACCTAAGTGACCTCACTCCAGACAGACTAAGGAGGCAAGGAGCCAATTCAGAGAGTTCACTTCCCTGTGGTGACAAGCCCTGTGTGGGTCCTGGCCCGGCTGCCCCTTCTGAGTACCTGTGGGTAAGTCCTCACCTGAACAGTGAGGTGTTGGACTCTAGGGTCCGTCTGGACTTTAGCTGTCTTTAATATCACAGCCCTAAATAACATCCAGGACACAGGGCCCACCTGCCATCATCTCAGCAGCTTCCTAGGCATGTCTCAACTCCTGGCAGCACTCCAACAGCTGAGATGTTGGCAAGCTCAGAGCGCTGGCAGAGCAGTGAGGCTGAGGGCGGCACCCCCATGCTGAGGGGAAAGAGGTGGGGGATGGTAGTCGAGCCTTTGAGCTTCAGGGCCTGGGCACAAATGGAGACCCAGGAGGACTGCCTGGTCAGACAGCATGTGTACTCCAGGGGAGATTAAGGTCCCCCATCCAGCACAAAATAAGTAAAACCATCTTTAGTCCACCAAGAAAGCCCAGAACCCAGGCCTTAAGGATCTAAGGGCCCCTTGGCATCTATGAGGAGACCCTCTCCCCAGCCCACCCCTGTGTACTTATTAGGTATAAGGTGTCAAGGCCTCCCTGTGGCAATGACATGTAGCCACTCATCCATCAATCTCTGAGCACCTGCTGTGGGCCAGGCCTGGTGCTAGGCGATGCAGAGGCCATGGGGAATAGAAGCAATCAGGCTCTCCAAGTTTACATTCTAGTTGGAGAGAGACACATTGGTCAAATGATCCCACGAACAAATGCTAAATTGCAAATGTGACAAGGGCTGTGAAGGCTGGGCACCCAGTGCTTGGAGAGCCCATAAGAAGGGGATCTGAACAAGTTGGGAGGCCAGGCAAGGCTTCCCAGAAGAAGGGGTCCTCAAGCTGACATTTGAAAGCTGATGAAAGCGAGGCCACAAGGGGAGGGAAGAACATTCGGGAAGAAGCATGGACAGAGGTCCTGAGATAGGACAGAGGATGGTGTGTAAAAGGGAATGGAAGGTGCCAGGGTGGCTGAAGCAGTGAGGACGAGGTGGGGGTGGCACAGGTAGGGCTGGGAGAGGAGAGAAGTTAGATCAAAGGCCTGTACAGATCCTGTCTTCACCCTAAGAAAGCACCTAACCCAAGAAGCCACCGAGGGGTTTAAAGAAGTGGGGACACAATCATGTGCATTTCCAAAAGAAATAAGTGGATTCAGCAGACCTTCGAGGAAGCGGCTTCTGGGGTCCAGGCTGGAGGGGACAGTGGCTTTGCTAAGGGGCTGGGTGGTGCCAATGGAGAGATCTTCGCAGGACAAACCAAGGAGACCTTCGGGATGGACTGGAGATGGGAGATGCTGGAGAGGGAGAGGCCGAGGTGAGGGCCATGTCTCTGGCCTGCATACCTGAGCAGGTGGAGATGGGGACAGTGGGAGAGGAACAGGTTGATGGTGTTGGGCAGGGAGGATCAGGACATTAGTTCTACAAAGGTTGAGCTGAATGTGTCTTTAAGACATCTAAAATGAAATGCCAAGTGGTCCGCTGGACAGATGAGCCTGGAGCCAGAGAGAGACAAGCTGGAGATAGACTTTCTGAGTAGCAGGTGTGCTGGCAGGAGCTGAGGCTGTGGCTGTAGTTACAGAGGGATAAGAAGCAAAAGCCTGCTCCTATCTCCAACACTGAATGCAGGGAAGAGGGAGAGTCTCCTGAAAGGGAGTCAGAGAAGGAGAAGCAGCAGAGGCAAGAGGAAAACCCAGAGCCTGGAGGAGGAAGGGTCAGTGCTGCCAGTGAAAGACCCTGAGGGAGTCCACGCAGGAGGCCACAGGGGGCTTCAGAGGCTTCCTCGGAGTTGCTCCCTGGCAAGAAGCCAGGGGAAGTGAAGAAAAGAGAGAGGCAGAGGGGAGGAAATGGAGGCAATGTGGGTAAGCAGGTCCTCGGAGAAGCAAGCCTCGGATCAGGAGAAGGGCAGTATCCGGAGAAGGCTATGAAATCAACAAAGGGTTGCATTTTTATATGTTGTCTTGATTTCTTTTTTGTTTTTGTTTTCAATGGAGTGTCTTGAAAAGCTGGAGGGTAGGGATCGGGATGGGGTGGGAAGCTGTCCTCCATAGGACCACCCTTGGGCTGCTCATTTGAGAGAGGAGGGAGGGAGGACAGGATGGGGCAGCTGCAGGCAGGTTTTATGGTCGGTTTCTGTCTCTGTCATCTGAGGGAGTTTCTTGGCAGCTTCTGTTTTCCCTGTAAAGCAGGAGGCAAAATCATCTGCTGGGGATGAGTATGCCGGAAGGAAGGTCAGAGGGTGTGAAGGATTGGAAGGGTTTAAAATAGCCACAGCGGAGCATGGGAGAGCCAGGTGACCAGAGAAACAGGGCAGGGCTGTCCTGTACTGCTGGGGGCCCACCCCCTTGCATAGGCGGATGTCTGGTTTTTAAAGTAAGATGAAATGTTACCTTCTTTACAAATGTAATACAGGCCCACGGTTCCTTATCTAAAAGCCCTGGGGGCTGACTGGTTTTGGAATACAAGCTTTTGTTTCTAATTTAATTTTAGAAAGGTAATGTGATGCATATGCTACTTAATTACATATCACCCCCAGCAGGGTCTGGGGCAGCACCCTGTAATCAAACACGTTAGTATTTCTGCAGCAAAATATGAATATTCACACCAAGTGAATCAATAAAGACTATAAATAGCCTCACATCTGTGCAGGTCATTTTGCTTCCAAGTGAGTTCTGGAGGATCAAAACCAAACCAAACCAATTTTTGTTTTTCATGGCTATTTGGATTTTGGTATTGTGGATAAGGAAATGGGGGCCTGTACTGTGCCTAGTAGAAATCTGGAGAATAGAAAAGGAGAAGAAAACAATCATAGTTCCACTGGGAAAGGACTTGTGTTAATTCCCATCTCTTGGGTGAGTTTTTGAAAAATAATTTTTCAAGAATGCTCCAGAAATGGGCATAAGGGTGACTTATGCCTGGAAGGCATGCTGGCTGGCCTCCTCTGGTATTCGCAAATGTCAATCACAACAGCCCTACCACAATCTGCTGGAGCCTGGGCGCTTCTCCTAGGCTAGAAACCAGCACCTCATGGGAGGGCTCTGAGCAGTTTGGTGAGTTCTAACTAGGAAGAATTATGAAATTTTCTAAAAGAAGGTATGTTGAGATTATTAAATCAAGTTTAGCCTAAAGCTGCCTCCTTAGATATTTTAAGTTTGGCCTAAAGGTTTCTCTGTACATCATGAACTGTAAGAAGTGGAGGTGTAAACAGACTGTAGCCTACCCTTGTGCCAATCACTGAGTTTTGGCCAATCAAATGTGGTCAACTGCTCGAACCAACTTCAAATAAGGCAAACACCAAGCTGTGACCAATCCAGCTGTTTCTGCACCTCACTTCCATCTTCCGTAAGTCACTTTCCTTTTTCTGTCCATAAATCTTCTTCCATCACATGACTGCACTGGAGTCTCTGAACCTACTCTGGCTCGGAAGGCTGCCCGATTCGCGAATTGTTCTGCCTGATTAGCGAATTGTTCTGCCTGATTAGCGAATTGTTCATTGCTCAATTAAACTTTTACATTTAATCTAGCTGAAGTGGTTTTTTGTTTTTGTTTTTGTTTTTTTTTAACAAGATGAACACAGCTCTGGTCACGTCGCTTGCATGCTGAAAAATATCTGATGGTTCCCCACTGTCTTCTAGAAAATCTTTTTCCATTCCTTTATGTTCTGAACATTCTACATGCAGGTAACTTACTCCTCTTCAAAAGCACACCTCTGGCCTTTGCCTAGGCTGTAATTTTTTCCTGAAATTCCCTTCCTCCTACTCACTTTCTGGTAAACTCCTACAAATTTCTCAAAACCCACCATGAATATCATTTCTTCTTTAAAGTTTTTCCTAATTGCCTCTGGTCCTTGAGCTCTCACAGCTCTTGTCAATACCCACGTCACAGGTTTATGTGTCTCGTCTTCCTTTCAACACTTTGTGCTTAGGGGTGGAGCCCATCTCCTCTCCTGTTTGTATGAACAGTGCTGGCACGTGTGAGAGAAGGAAAGAGTCGGGAGCGAGAGAGAGAGAGAGAGACTAGACAAAAGCTGACCTTTTTCTATGAGTTGTGAGCTGAGCAGGAGGGACCAGACAAGGGGCTACAAAGTTGTACCAGCCTTTTGGGCTAAGATGCTGTCTTCTAGAATAAGAGGACGATCTTAGGACTTCAAACTTCTACTTTCTAAAACATGGCTATTTTAATACTGGCTTCATTTTATTATCCTTTCCTCTTCTCTTTCCTTTTTTTTTTTTTTTGGTAATTATTTCCTTTTTTATCTATGTCAATCATTTTCACAAAAAGGTCCAGACTACCTGTGAGACCCAAATTCATACCATCATTAAGATTTCCATCACACCCTAAACCTAAAAGGTTTAGGATCAATAAAGATGTGAATAAATTCCTCAGCCTAGTCACACTTCAGGGTCAAATTTCATAAATGGAGGCAGCCACTCCTGGGAGGATACCACAATCCCAAACTGCAGATCAGAGCTGGCCCTATATAGCTTGGAGATTTCTTGGAGGATGGAATATTCAACAACTTTGGATAGAAAAAAAATTTGTTTGTTAAGATTGCTCTTTTTCCACTAAAAAATTATGGAATATTTATTATAAAATGTACAAAGGCAGAGAAGATAGTGTAATGAATACCTATCACCCACATACGTATCACCCAGCAAATTGATGGAACCAAATCTGATGTTGATAGGGCCCAGGAAAGCATCTGAGGGTGAACTTGACCTTTGAGGAGAAAAGTGCCTGGTGCAGGTGGTCCCTGGGCACCCTCCCTTCCAGCCTGCAGCTCAGAGGGGTACTCTTGCTGATGGAGATGACCACAGATGCCCAGTGCTAATCTGGGGGTAAATTGAGCCTGGCACCTTCAGTACAGAATGCTTATTGTTCCTTGCATTTAAAGGGGCTCTTTCCAGGATTCCTGGGTGATGGTGCATGATTCTAACAAGCAACAACAGAGGATGAACCCCCGGCCAGATTCAGAAAACCCCACGCCCCTTCCAGGCATCAGGATGTGACTGCAAGAGGAGGATGGGCAATGGGCTTTTCCCTCAGAAAAGGCGGCTCGCCCCCTCCTCGGGGTGTCTGCTCTAAAACAGAGGAACAGCTTCCTGCCAATTCTTCAGCATGATGGCTGAACTACTTCCTCACTCAGGGAAACAAAGTGTATCAAGGCGTTTGACTCGTGGGCATGATGATGCTTTTGAGCCCACAAGCAGCTGCTGAGCCCTAGCCTGAGCGCATGCGTGACAGGAGCACACACCTTGCTTCTCAGCACTGCTGTGCACCTGCTGGTGTGGAGCCAGCCGGGGCCACGAAGCACCAGATGGCACTGGAGCACTGGGCTCCCGCTGCCCAAGAACAGTGTCACCTTCACAAGGGACGAGGATAATAATAGCTAACATTTACCACATGCTCTCCACTTGCCAGGAGCAGTCCTAAGCACTTTCCCGACAACCCCATTGGGGAGGTGCCACTGTCCACCCCATCTTGCCATTGCGGAAACTGAGACCCTCAGGGCAAAGGAACTTGCCCAACAACTGCTGAGTGATGAGGTAGAGTCTGAACCAGATCGTCTGGCTCCAGAGCCCACGCTCTGGTAATGAGGCTGGGCCACCTTCATCATCCTGCTGAGAAGCCCTCTCTCTAACTGTGGGAGTCAAGAAGCTCCACCCCTAACCTCCACCCCTGGGCCTTCAGAACTTGCAGAGAACCCACTTCTCTTCTCTAGGAGTTGATGCACACCCCGATCCCTCAGTCTCCTTTTCCTCATCCCTGTATCCTGTAACACCTGGTTCTTCTTCTCCAGATGTACCCATGATGTCAGTTTCCGGTGTACCCCCCTGTGATATTTTATGCGTATACCAGCAGTATACACACACACATACATTACATACACATATACATACACGCACGTGAATATGTGTGGGTGTGTTCCTCTTTTTCCCTACTGTCCACATCAGAGTGGTCATGGAACTCTCCACACTCCTGGGGCCACTGCCCTTGCTCCCAGCCTCGGCACTTCCTCAACATGCTAAGTTGGGAACCCACAGAGTCCCAGAGCTCCTGGCACACTGCCCCTTCTGCTGTTGCCCACTCATAGCCTCCTCCCTACAGTTATCCACCCTTTCTGTGCTTCAGTTTTCCCATCTGCACAGTGGTGATAATGAGAGTACCGACCTCTCCAGGGTTGTTAGGAGGTTTAAATGGGTTTATATATGCAAAGTGCACACAAAAGTGCCTGCTACAGAATAAGCACTATCCATTGTAAAACACGGGCTTCTGGGCTGCGCGCAGTGGCTCACATCTATAATCCCAGCACTTTGGGAGGCCGAGGTGGGCGGATCACAAGGTCAGGAGATCGAGACCATCCTAGCTAACATGGTGAAACCCCTACTAAAAATACAAAAAATTAGCCGGGCATTGTGGCACATGCCTGTAGTCCCAGCTACTTGGGAGGCTGAGGCAGGAGAATCGTTTGAACCCGGGAGGCGGAGGTTGCAGTGAGCCAAGATCACGCCACTGCACTCTGGCCTGGGCAACAGAGCGAGACTCCGTCAAAAAAAACCAACAAAAACAGAAAAAACAGGCTTGTATAATTGCCTCACTGATCGTCGGAAACAGCGTGCTTTCAGAGATGTTCAAATGTGAAAAACTGTCTATCTTGGAGTTGCGGAAGTGTTGGCGATCTCCATGCTAGAGAGTCCACTGCACACTCCTGACCCCTAGCCTCCAGGGGGCCCTTCGTGCTGCCACTGCCCACACATTTCTCCCATCTCTTACACAGTTACTTCACACTCACTCCTCCTTAGCCCTCCAAGTCCTCCTCCTCCCTTCCTGCTCTCAGACAATCACCTTGTCTCCTACTTCACTGCGAAAAATGACACAATCAGAAGAGAGCTCCTTCCCACAGCATCTCACCTGCCAGCGTCCATGCGCCGTGGCCCAGCCTTTCCCTCCTGCTACTATGGGGACTGTGTGTGGTCCTAGCTGAGACCAACTCTTCCAGCTGAGCACTGCAGTCTCTCCCTCCTGCTTATTTCTCCTCTCCTATGACACAAACTACCTTCTCTTTTTTGAATTTTTTAAGTGCACAATTCAATCGTTTTTAGCGTATCACACTGTTGTGTAACTATTACCACACTCAATTTTAAAACCTCTTCATCACCCCAAAAAGAAAACCCAAACACATAGAGTCATTCCCCATGTCTCCCCCAACCTCCCCACAAGCCCAGTACTAACCACTAATCCACCTTCTTTCTCTATGGATTCACCTATTCTGGACATTTCATATCATTGGACTCATACCGTGTGTGGTCTTTTGTGTTTGGCTTCTTTCATTTAGCTTAAAGTTTTCAGGAGTTGCATGTTGCAATGTGTATCACTGCCTCATTCCTTTTTATGGCTGGATAATATCCCACTGTATGCATATACCACATTTTAAAAATTTATTCATCAGTTGATGGACATTGTGTTGTTTCTACTTTTTGGCTATAATACACAATGCTGCTATGAACATTTGTGTATAAGTTTTTGTGTGAACATGCTTTCAGTTCTCTTGGATATGTGCCTAGGAGTGGAATGGCTGGGTCATATGCTAACTCTGTTTAACCTTTTGAGGAACTGCCACGCTGTTTTCCAAAGCCATTATACCATTTCACATTCCCACCAGTGGTGTATGATGGATTATTTTTATCATATAAATTGTGAAATAACACCCTTGACCCCATGACCCTCTCCAGTTACCATCCCATTTCTCATTTCTCTGCTCCTGTATCGCAAAACTCCTGAGAATAACTGGTATCTATTACTTGTCTCCAATTCCTCGCTCCCATTTTCCCTTCAACCCATTATTATTAGATTTGTCCTCAGCACTCCACCCAAGTAGCCCTTGTTGAGGTCACTAGTGACCCCTCTGTTGCCAAGTGCCTCGGTCAATTCTCAGACCTCATCACCTGACCTCTCAGCAGCTTTGGACATGGCTGATTGTTCCCTCTTTCTTAAAACATTTTCTTCACTCTGCATCTAGAATGTCTGTTTGTCTGTCGGCCTGCCTGTCTCTCTCTCTGCTCCTATTCTTCGACCTCCCCGCCACCGCCCACCCACAGCTATCCCGCCCTCAGCCTCTAAACACCAGGGCCCCAGTGCTCAGCTCTCTTCTCTGTCTTTGTTCATTCTCTAGGTGATTGTGAACCAATCTGTGGCTTTAAATTCTCTCTGTTATCCCGCACTCCCAAATGTAGACCTCCACACCTGACCTCTAGATCCATACATCCAACTGCCTCCTCAGCATCTCCATGTGGAGATCTATTAGATATTTTAAGCCTGCCATGTCCAAAAGAGTACTCTTGATGTTCCCCACCAAATCTGTTCCCTCCACTGTCTTCCCCATCTCCATGAATGTCAATTCCATCCTTCCAACTGCTCATGTAAAGGGCCACAGTCATCCTTGACTCCTCTCTTCCTCTTACACCTCACAACCAATCCAACAGCAAACCCTTTTGACTCTGCTTCTGAAATGTATCTTCCATCGAACCAACTCTCATCACTCCCATTGCCATCACCTGGGCTCAAACCCCAGTCATCTCTCACCTGGAGGACCTCCTGACAGGTCTCCCTGTCCTGTCCTCATTCCCTCAGATTTTCTACAGAAGCCACTTAAGAGGCTTAGAATGATCGTCCTAAGAAGTCAGATCATGCTACTCCTCTGCTGAGAACTCTCGATGGCTCCCTTTTCACCAGAGTAAATGTCAAACTTCTTACCTTAACCACAGGACCCTCATGATCCGGCTGTACATTACTACCGACCATACGTCCTACCTCCTTCCCCTCCTATTCGAGCCACACTGGCCTCTTTGAATATGCCAGCCACAGCCAGTCTCAAGTCCTTTTCACACTCATTGTTCCCTCTGTTCAGGATGGAATGCATTACTTCTAAATATCCACATAGCCTGCTCCCTGGCCTCCTTCAGGTCTTCATTCATACGTCACTTCTCAGCAAGGCGTTCCTTGACGGTACTGTCCATAATTGCAACTCTTCTCACCGAATGCCCTAAACCTCCTTTCTCTGCTTTATTTTTCCCCTTGGCATCAACAGTTAATGACAATTCTTTATCTTATATTATCTGACAACATCTGTCTCCCTCCACCAGAACGTAAGCTCCATGAGGACCAGGAAGTCTGTCTGCTTTGTTCACTGCTGGATCCCGTGACTCGGAACAGTGCACGTAACAGGTGTTCAATAAACCTTTGTTGAATGAATAAGTGAATGATGGTTATTTGGGTTGTTTTCAATCTTTTTCCACTAAAACAAATGCTGTAATGAACAACATTGTACACTGATCATTTTGCTTACGTATGAGTACATCTGTAGGACAAATATGTAGAAGTTAAATTGCTGGGCTGAAGGATATGAACAGTTGTAATTTTGATAAACATTCTCTGAACATTTTGGTGGTTAAAAATCCGACCATAATCTACCACTTTATATCAAGCAAATCACATGATTAATTGCAGGTAGCCCATGCTGACCTGGGTTTTTACCTACATGGAAAGAAAGTAATCAGGAGAAAAGCTGCCCGAGGAATTCAAGAAGTTCATTAGCCGTCAACACGAGTTACTGTCCTACCAACGATGCTAATGGGTCATCATGGCAGCTTGGCCACATCGCATTCATCATACCCGGTAACTGTCTGCTTGAAGACATGGACTGCAAAGTCCAGGTCCGATAGCCTGAATTATTTCTGATGTTGGAAGGCTCTATGGAAGGGAAGGCCTTCCAGGTCATTTAGCACAATCTATGGAGAGCCTATGCTTCTCCCACATGGGCTCTGAGATGCCCTGGCCAAAAATTCTTGGACTCTGCCAGAGGTACCAAACAGCATGACCCCTGGGGATGTCATTTATATTATAGTCTATATGAATGGAGCAGTGCACAGCACGGGCAGCTAGGGCAGTGACCTGGTACTTTACAGCATCATTGTAGGGCAAGAACTTGAAATGGCTCCTAGGACCCCTCATATCTCCCCAATCCTGTGCTGAAAACAGTCACAGCTCTGCAACAGTAGTTTGCCACATATAGACTGTCAGGCCATTGTTTCTGAGAGTCGGCCTACCCTTTCTGCAAATGACTTGGAGGGATTTGTAAATAGGAACCTCACCCCAGCCATCACCATTGGCCTCACTTGCCTGACTCCCTGAGGGGGCTTGGATGGAGCCCCCCAGAGCTTCCTTCTCAGCCAGCTCAGCTCAACCATGGGGTGTAAGATGGGGAAAGGCAGATTAGCAGTAGTGTGCTGGGGTTTTTGTTCCTGCAAAACCTCTCCTGCCCATCCCCCAAAATGTGGGTTTGTTTTTAGCCATTCCCAGGAATATAAGAAGGAATGATTTTAGATGAAATTGTAAGGTAGGGGACGTTTCTATTTAACCCTCCACTCTTGCCACCTGGCCTTCAGCCACCAATTTTCATGAAGCCAGTTTATCAGCTGGAGAGCATGGGATGTGGAGTCTGTGGACATGAGTTCAGGTTTGCCTCTGCTTCTTGCCAGCTGTGTAGCTTCGGGAGAGTCACTTTATTTTTATGTTGATTTTTAATTAATTATTTTTTGGAGATGGGGTTTCACTATTGTTACTCAGGCTGGTATCTAACTCTTAGACTCAAGGGATCCTCCCACCTCAGCCTCCCAAGTAGCTGAAATTACAGGCACACGCCACCGTGCCTGGCTCCTGGATTTGATTTTTTAAAGTCTCATGAAGACCCTGGCCTCTGCAAATGCCAAAGTGGATTCACATGGTTTCCTGAACATCCAGGAAACTGTTTTAGAAAGAAGCACCCCAAGGCCAGGCGCAGTGGCTCACGCCTGTAATCCCAACACTTTGGGAGGCCAAGGCGGGCGGATCATCTGAGGTCGGGAGTTCGAGACCAACCTGACCAACATGGAGAAACCCCGTCTCTACTAAAAATGCAAAATTACTCAGGTGTGGTGGCGCATGCCTGTCATCCCAGCTACTCGGGAGGCTGAGGCAGGAGAATAGCTTGAACCCGGGAGGTGGACGTTGTGGTGAGCTGAGATCGTGCCATTGCACTTCAGACTGGGCAACAAGAGTGAAACTCCAACTCAAAAAAGAAAGGAAGGGGAGGGGAGGGGAGGGGAGGGGAGGGGAAGGGGAAGGGAAAGGAAGAAGGAAGGAAAGAAGCACCCCCTACTGCTCAAAGTGTACATAAACCATTTTGCATCCACCTAATTGGCAAAAATTGAAGACTGACAAATGTGGAACAACTGGGATTTTCATGTACAGCTTGTGGGAGTGTTAGCAGATACAACCATTTGGGAGTGCAATTTAGTCAACATTGAATAAGACTGAAGATATGCATACCCTTTGAGACAGCAATTCCATTCCTAAACATAGATACCCTAGAGAAACATGTATGCATGAAGACCTGCGTAGTGTTTATTGTAACATTATTAGCAATGGTGAAAACTGGAAACAACTTAAATGATCATTTACTAGAGAATGAATAAATACATTTCAGTTTAGTCCTACAGCGAAATACTATGCATCCATGAAAACTGATGCACTAGAGCTATACACCAAAATTGGTAAATCTTAGAAAATCATGTTAAGCAAAAATAAAAGCAAGTTGCAGAATACATATAATATGATGTCATTTATGTAAAGGTTAAAGGTATGCAGAAATGCTAAACATTGTTTATGGATACACATATATGTATAACAAATTTCAAAGAATGTATGATCAAGACAAATCCCAAATTCAGGAAAGTGGTTGCTATAATCTGGATGTTAGTATCCCTTCAAAATTCCCATGACAGAACCTAATACTCAGTGTGATAGATTAAGAGGTGGGGGTCTTTGGGAGGTGATTAGGTCATGACGGTGGAGCCCTGACGGGATTAGTGCCCCTATAAAAAGAGGCTCAAGTGAGCTCCCTTGAACTTCTGCCATGTGAGGATGCAGTGAGAAAGCACCATCTTTGAAGCAGAGAGTCCTCACTAGATACTGAAGCTGGGTGCCTTGATCTTGGACTTCCCAGCCTCCAGAACTGTGAGCAATAAATTTCAATTGTTTATAAATTATCCAGTCTAAGGAATTTTTGTTGTAGCAGCAGGAATGGAATAAGACAGTTGCTATCTTTGGGAAGGGAAGGGAATGGGATCAGGGAGGGCTACACTGGCACTTTAATGGCATCTGTAATATTTTATTTCCTAAGAATTTTTATTCTATTATTAGATATGTGTTTACATGCCTGAGATATTTCATAATTAAAGAGATAAAGTGTGTCTGAATCCAGTGGGGAGCAGTATTGTGTGTGTTGGGACCAGCAGCTGCTCCTGTGAATCTGTTCCTCTTGCTCCTAGAGTTACATACAGGGGGCCCTTAACAACATTGAGGGGCCCATCTGGAGACCTCTGTAAAAGTCCACACTCAGGAACAACACCAGAGCATATAATTTCCTCCTAAAGTTTAGTAAAGTAGAATTGGAAAACTGAAGTGAACGTTTTAGACTGATCATGGTTCTAGAAATACAGTTGTAATCTGTTAAAAACAGTTGGCTTTCTTTTCATGGCTATTTTCTCCCAAAGAAACCAGGTTTTTTATTTTTTCTTTGTCAGATATCATGTGTTTACAACAACCCTACGGCCAGCCACATGGCTCAGGATTCACATTCATGCCTCAGGAGATTCATTAAGTGCTTCATAAAGTGGACCTTTGAAGTTGGTCACGTGTAAACCTCTGATGTTATATCCAAGAACACTGAGGGACCATTTAGGCACTGTCTGGTGACTATGGAGTGGCGTGTGCCCTAGCCAGTACTACCCCTGAGACATCAGGAGCCTACAGGGATTTCCAACCCTATCAGATCTGGGTTCTTCTTCCTGTGTCATCCTGCATGAACTGTTTGTGTAAAGGGGTGTGTGTGTGTACACACATGTGCAAGGTGGCACCAATGAACACTGAGGCCTTCAAGCTGGCCTGACAGAGCTCTGACCCTGTGCCCATGGGCTATAGTCTCACCAGGTCCCTGCTGGTTGCTACTGATCAGCTGGCATTTAGAGATGGACTCTCAGCCTGACCAGCTGGGGTTTCTGATGTACAGGGCTTGGGGCAACTTAGAGGGAGTGCCAATCTGCATTTGAAAATCTTTTAGTCCTCCATGGACTGAGGCATGCCAGTTGTGCCCAGTGGTCTGAAGGGTCATAGAGAGGCAAGGCCATGGGTGGAGACAGACCGTCTTTAGGGAACCTGGGTATACATCTTCAGGATGCCCGTGCCTCTGCTGCACCCTTTGTGAAATGTGAACAGTGATCCTGCTCATCTTGCTCCCCGGGCTATTGAGAGAATTAAGAGGAAGTGTGAATGGCTTTGGTAAGGTTAAAGTCACCACTCATGTAGTCTATTATCTTTAATAAAATAGTAACTTCTTTCCTCTGATTTGGGTACAAGGGGAGATTCCCAGGAGCTTTCTTCTCTTAGGCATCTTCTTGGTTCCTGCTGCCACACAATGAAAGCCCCCATGAATGAATGAATGAATGAAGCTCCCTGCTCTCATACCCTAGCTAAACCTGACTTCCCACTGTTGCCTCAAGCACGCCCAGTGTTTTCCCACACCCTTGCTCATGCAGTTCCCTTTGATTATAATGTCCTATGGCAGCTCACTGCAATCCTACCTGCTCCCTAAGGCTCTTTCAGATGTTACCTCCTCTCTGAAGCCTTTTCTAATTTCACCCAAATCGATGTGACACGCCTCTCCTTGGAACCTGGAGGGCAGGGCCCATGCCCCCTTCCCTGTGCATCTCTCCAGGGCCTGGTACGATACCCAACACATAGCAGGTGTTCGGAGTGCATTAAATTCCATGAAATTGCAGGAAGCTGACCAGGCCCAGTAGACCTGTTGCTGTTCCCTGGCATGTGGGAGCCCCAAACCCTTACCTTGGGAGTGAACATGTGTAGGATGCCATCAACTGCCCCTCGCAGCAACAGCCCCCGGACCAGGAAGCAGGCCAGCACCACGTAGGGGAAGAGGGAGCTGAAATACATCACCTGCAGAGAGGACAGGGAACCCCCATCAGGCAGAGCCCTTCCTGCAGCTGGCACCCCCCATCCCTGCTCACATCTGGGGCACATGAGCCGCCCCTGATGGCAGCAGAAAACAGAGCCCTGGAACCCCTGGGCAGAGGGCCAAAACTGCCACACATCTGGCATGGAGCCAAGGCAGAAGCAGGAACAGGACAAGCTGGAGTCTGCATGGCTGTGCCCGGGGTTGGTTTTCTCCCTTCCAGAGCTTCTGGGGCTGAGCTAACAGCCTCCTCACCCCAGAGGGCTGCCAAGGGGGTAAGGGAGTCCTTTGCTGTCCCCTCCTCATTCTCCCATGTCTCATTCCCCCAGTGGGCCCCCTAAGGATCTCCCCTGTCCTTAGAGCTCCTTTGACGGAAGACCTTCAGGAGGTTATAGACACGGCTCCCAAACAGAAGACATCTGAAGAAGTCCCTAGCCCCTTGTGAGGATGAATCGTGTGCTCTTCTCTACCACAGCATTTCTCGCACATGTCTATATCCCTGCGTGCGTGGTACATGGCCTCACACGAGATGCTCACAAAATGTTTGCTGCACTGAAACAAAGGAAGAGGGCTGTTTGGGCAGGGTGGTGTAAAGGCTAAGAGAATGCAAGTCTGGTGTTAGGCTGCCTGAGTTCTAACCCTGGCTCTACCACTTACCAACATGTGGCCTCAGGCATTTCATTTAACCTCCATGAGCCTCCATCTCCTCATCTCTAAAATGGGTGTAATCATCCCTAACTCATAACGTTGTTGTGGACCAAATGCGTTCATACAGGTGGCAGTACCTGAGAAGTGCCACAAAGCATCAGCTACTATTTCAGCCTCTGGAAAGGGAAGAGGTCAATGGCTGGGGTCACTCTACCTTTCTAGAGCTTAGCTTCCTTGCTCATCAAATCTGGAAAAGAACCCGAAGCCTCAAACAGCCAGGGTTCTAGTTGCAGCTCTGAGACTGACTGGCTGCGTGATGTTAGCTGAGGTGCTTTCCCCTCTCTGGGCCTCACTTTCCTCATCTGTAAAATGAGTAGTCTGGGATACAGGATCTCTAATCCAATCCTTCTCATCCCTGGCAGCCCATGAATACTGGTATGTGACAAGTAAGAAAGGGCCCTTATTTAAAGGGGATCTGAAATGCTGGGAAGAGGTGTGGGGCTTGGCTGGTCTACCCCTCAGAGACTGCTATGGAGCTGCCCCCTGAGGCCTCTAAGGCCCCCTTCACTCATAGCGTCTACCTGCTCAAAGGGCCCTTTAGCTGTAGGCATGGCAAGCTGCTGGTTTTCACCAAGAACTGCTCAAAGCAGGCTCTTCTAGGGCTTTTGCTCTTGGGAACCTGAGGGTCTAGAATCTAGACAGACGTCCCTGGGTCAATACTTCTAGTTTTCCTCCTCTCTAATGTTTGCATTAGAGCAGGACTGAGTTATCTGAGCATGGAAGCAGCTGGGGTCCAGGGCAATGACTTTCCAGCTATTCCATTCCGGGTAGGCTGTCCATGGTGAGCAACACTATAGGAATGATACTTCCACACCCTCCTCTGGGGGCCTGTGTTATCCACCCAGAAGACCCTGCAAAGGGCAGCCTGGAATTCTTAGCCCTGTGCCCTCTGTGCCTTTCTGCTGTTCCCCATTTGGGTCCTGGGTGCCCCCCTCAGCACTCACCTTCCCCGAGGACTGGATGCCCTTAACGACAGCCATCCCCACGATGCTCCAGGCCACGAGGAGGCACAGGGTCATCTTCCAGTTGAGGCCCCCACTCTCCGAGATGGAGTCAGAGATGTCCAAGGCCTCTCGGTACCAGAAGTAGGTAGTGGCTGAGCTCTTTTCACACTCTGCCTCCACCACTGAAATAGCAGCAAAGGTCACAGGGCCTCAGTGGCAGGGCCTATGGGGTCACTTCCTCTGCTGGACCACCACTCAGGGCAGCAGTGGGTGAGGGAGCTGCTGAGGGTGGGCAGCTGGGAGGGGCTGTGCTCATCTTGGGTTAGCCGGGATCTGGCAGACCCTGAGGAATCCTAGGCTCCCACTGGGGTCTGGGAGGCTTCAGGACACACCAGCCTGGCTGATTCCCACCCATGCCTCCTGCTGCCCATGTCTCTCTATGGAAGGGAGGAAACGTGAGGCTGAATTGGCCTAAAGTTCCTCGGGGAAGGTCCTGAGCTGGGAGCTAGAGACCTGGATTCTCATCCCAGATCATTGGTTAGATGAGTGGTGTGAACATGGGAAAGTCGCTTCTGGGCCTCAGTCTCCTCATCTGTGAAGTGGAATAACAGGGTGAGTAATAACAGTTAAAGTCACGCTTTCCAGAGTTTTACCTACACTCACTGTCTTATTCAATCCTGTCAGAAATAGGCTGGAAAAGAGACCATTCCCACTGGGGAAGGGGAAATGAGGATCAGAGATGTTAAGTGACTTATCCAAGGGGACACAACAAGTCTGAAATTCCAAATGTGTGCGCTAAGCTTGTGAGACCCCTTCCTGGGACAGGGCTGGCTGGCATCCCCAGCTGGGCCCCATACTTGCCTGCCACGCTCCCATTCCTGACGACAGGACATTCACTCCAGGGCAGCGGGTACTGGAAGGACTTGAAGAAATAGAAGATGCTCCACCCGATGATCACATTATAATACAGCCCCACAAAGAGACAGACCTGGGGACAAGCCCACTGCGGGGTCACTGAGGCTGCAGGCAACTCCACCCTGCCCCCACGCTCCACCCGAGGCCCAGCACGTCGGCAGCGCCATAAACACAGCAGCACAGCCTCAAGAGAGGCAAGGAGGGATAGGGTGCGGGCCGTGGAGGAGCTCCCCTCACGCTCCATTCACGCTCCATTCATCTGGTATTCAGGAAATCCACAAAGGAATTTTTCAGATGTTAAAGTTCTCTCTTTTAAGCAACAAACTCTTAAAATGTTAATCCTTTCCAGTTTGAAATTCTTCTAAGATACTTGAAGTACTTTCTCCTCCTCATTTCCTGATGACTGGGGATTGTAATGACAGAGATGCCCTCCAGGACTGTGAAGGCATGCACAGCTTTGGCCCCTATGGTAAACAAACCCAGACTGCTGTGCTTTTAGAGACTTTGTGGGTGTTTCTTGTGGATTCCACTCTCTCGGGCATGTTAGCAGCCTGCCTCTAGAAAGATGGCACTTGTCATTTCTTGGAAACACAATAACTAACATTGGTAGAATTTTATTTAAAATAGGAGTGCATGGACTCTGCCTGAGGGTCCAAGGGGCTTCTTTGAAAGCAATGTTTCTATGGGCAGGGATTTGCTGCATCCACTCTGGACACAGGGTGGTCCCTTCCAGAGGCCTGGCTGTCTCCTGCATCAGTGAGACTGGCGCCAGTGTGAGAGCTGAGGGCCGCTTGCTTCATCAGTCTCACCTGAGCACATGTGTGCAGGAGCAGCTGCTCATAGAGCAGACCCTTCTGGGAGCACAGACAGAGTGAGACACCCACTTCTTTTACTTGGGTTCTTTCAGTCCAAGTGGGAGACCATACACACACTCCTGTGTATCAGCACACAGCCAGCCCCAGCAGAATACACGGCATTGGCCAGTGCAAAGCTGATGGCTGACGTGAGAGCAGGGGGCTGCAATAGGCCCTCTCCCAGTCTCTGCCTGAGGCAAGTTTGGGCTGGCCCTACTGCCAGGCCTGGCAGAATCCTTAGTCCCTTCCAGAAGTTCATTTCAGTCTTTATCCCAGGTGTGAGCAGTGAGCATGGTTCCCTGTAGGCTTTGCCCTTAAGGGATGCTGTTTCCTCACGTAGAGCTCTGAGCAGGTTCTCATCTGTAGCCTTGTGGATGAGCCTGGAGACCTCACAAAGTTCTCCATCCAGGGCCACTGGCGTCTCCCTGTCTCTCACTGTTCCAAAGCCTCACCCACCTTGGGTTGACCTTAAGTTTCCTGTGTAAGTTCTCCAACTCTGCTCTTTGGCATAGCAAAATGGCAAGGAGACCCTGAGCCCCAGGCCTGCCTTTTCCTGAGCTCCCTGCTTGCCTGCTTAAAATACTCTTTGACCAAGGAAAGAGGAGGGACCTCCCTCATGGGGAGCTGAGGGACTGATAAGCAGAGAAGGGCATCTGGGCTAGTCCATATGTTCCCAGAGAACTCTGGCTGAGCTGTCCCAGGCGGCCCCATGTGAATATGTCCCAGCTTTTCCTCCTTAGCACCAATGGCAAATCTTCCATGCTGTTTCAGGCAACGTGGTCGACTCTCAGTTTAGGAAACATGGTGACTGGGGTCCTGGAACCCCAGCTGTGAGTAATTCCCATGTTGAGGATCCCCCTCCCTGCCCTTGTCCTGACGTAGGACTCTGGCCTGGAAACTCGGTGACCTCGTCTCCAATGCCCAGGAGCAGCCCCCTGCCTCCCACTCAGTGCCTGCCCCAGCCCTTGACTCACTATGCAGCTGGAGAAGCCGATGCCCCCCAGGCGGGGACATATATAGTGCCACACACCGATGCTGCCGCGGCGGATCCTCTGACCCACAGCCAGCTCCAGGAAGAAGAGGGGGATCCCGATGATGATCAGCAGCACCAGGTAGGGCACCAGGTAAGCACCTGTGGGGAGAGCAGAGGGATGGCAGAGGGGCTCTGGAGCACAGCAGCAGAGTGAGGGAAGGGGCCGCAGCCATGTCTTCCAGTCTCAGCCACATCTCTGGTCATCCGCAAATTGTCACCAGTCCCGGTGCTCCTCCATGAATGATGTGGCCATACGTGTGGCCTACCACACAGCAGCCCACCCAGACCCTCCTTCTCCCCCTTGACTCCCCTGACCCGAAACACTAAGGGAGGAAGTGTATGTATGTCAACTCACAAGGCTAGGTTCAGAAACAGACAGACATTGCACTGCCTCTCCAGAATCCACATGTCAAGCCACACGCAGCAGACACACTCACCTCATGAGGCGCTCCGTGGACAGCTGTTCACACCCCCTCCTGACCACAGAGAAGCAGCCCCAGATGGCATGGGGGCTTACTCGCCCCCAGATGCACAGACACCGGGTGCAGCCTTCCCAGCGTCTGAACCAGACGCTGACACAGCAGACTGGGCAGCTCCAGGGAAGCTGAGCTTGGAAGCTCTCCAGGGAGAGGGGGTCTGACCAGCTTTGCCACTAATCTACAGCTAATTGAGAGGAATGGGAGAGAAATTAGCAGTTCAGGAAAGCATAGCCAGGAGGATCATAAAGGATAGAATGGGTCTCGCTAAAGATTCCAGATGATAAATTAATCTCGCTGTCCTGGGCCTCACTGCAGAAACAATCTCAATTCCAAGTGACAGGGCATTTAGCAGGAGAATTAAAACCATGTCTGGACACAGATGAGTGCACCCTGCTGAGAGCTGTGCCAACAACCTAGTCCTGTTAGCAAGGCCCTGCCTGTCTGTCAAACACTGTCAGGCCAGCCCCAGTCACCAGGGCCCTGATGGTCACCCAGCACCCTCTGACTAAGCCTTGCCAGTAGAGAGCCTCCAGAAGCCCCCAGCTACACTGCTCTGCCCCCATAACATAACATCCCACATGTTCACCAACGTGTGCCCAATCTGCCAATGAACACTGGCAATCAGCCATCTCCTAGGCACAAATTCTGGCAGTTGGCAACAATCAGCTATTTACTGCAGGTCCACTCTGAGCCTTGCACAGGCAGCGGGGGGACAGTGGAGTAACAGTAGGCACAGACACCATCCTAGAACAGTTCACGATCTGCCGGGGAGGCAGGCAGAGTCACGTGAGCAATATGAGCACACATGTATACACACACACACACACACACACCACAGACTAGTCACACAAGCCAACCATGCACATACATGCTGAGGAATGGGCCAGGGTCCAATGGAGCTAGTCAGGAAAGCCCATCGGGGAGGCAACCCACCGAGCTTTATATGACAGCATCTAACTCACTAGATGCACACGCACACATACATTCAACTCGTCACTAACAAGCAGCCCCATCATGGTGCTCAAAGGAGAGAGGGCTCAAAGGAGAGAGGGCCCAAAGGGCCACATGCTTAGACCCCTGGGTCTGTCTTTAACTCGGTCTCTTGGTTTTGGGTGTGGGGAAATGGAAAAGAAGCTAAGTGATCTGCTGCAGGAAGGCAAACGGAGACAGCCTCACCGGTTTTTTGTTTTTATTTTGAGAGGGAGTCTTGCTCTGTTGCCCAGGCTGGAGGGCAGTGGCGCGATCTCGGCTCACTGCAAGCTCTGCCTCCCGGGTTCACACCATTCTCCTGCCTCAGCCTCTCGAGTAGCTGGGTCTACAGGCGCCCGCCACCACGCCCGGCTAATTTTTTGTATTTTTAGTAGAGACGGGGTTTCACCATGTTAGCCAGGATGGTCTCGATCTCCTGACCTCGTGATCCGCCCGCCTCGGCCTCCCAAAGTGCTGGGATTACAGGTGTGAGCCACTGCGCCCAGCCAGCCTCACTGGTTTTGTATTTCGCCCCAGTGTTCTGGGTGGGGCAAGATGTGCAGGGATGTGAGTTTCAGGGTGTCTGCAAAGTGGGTTGGCACCTTCTATGGATGCCTCTTTTTTCTCCCCAAAGAACCAGGGAAAGCCTCCAGGTAACTGCCGCCAAAGAGTGACAGGGGTGGGAGAGCAAAGACAAGGTACTGGCCCCTCACCATCCAGGCTCTGTCCACCTCAGGCAGGCCGCCAGGCCCTGAAGTGACTGCAGGTCTCTCTACCACACCAAGGCCTAAACTAACCAGAGTGCTCAGGGGGCCGCGGTCAAGATAGGCAGAATTTGTGGTTAATAAGAGGTATTTTTTCATATCAACCTTTGTTGCAATCACTTGAAATGCAACAGCATCCTCTTCCGCCTTAGAAAATACAACTTGGGGACACAACTGGATTTCCTTTTATGTTTCAACAGCTTTCAGGAGCCTAAAGTTGTTCATCCGAATAGCGGGGAGCACTGTTCAGGATGTTAGGAGATTTATCAGGACAGGGCCAGGATCCAGGATCTCTGAGGCCTTCTGGATCTCTAATCATCTATGCCTCGGTCAGTATTCTAAGCCTTACTTCTGGCAAACCCCGAGGTTATTCCTGGGGTTTAAAAGACCATCTTGGTGGTAAGAGCCAGGTCCCGAAGTCAGACCTCTTGGTTTTAATGACTTACTAGCTGTGTGACTTTGGGAAAATTATTTAATCTCTCTGTGCTGCTGGTTTTCTCATCTGGGTAAAGAGGATGAAAATGTTACGTATAAAATTGCTGATATTTGACCATTTTTGACTTACAAAAATGGCCATTTCATAAGCTTTGACCCAACACCTATCACACAGGGCTGTTGCAAAGATTGAATGAGTGGCTTACCCATAGTAAGCACTGGTTGAACATTTGCCTTTTTCTCATAAAAATAAACAGAAGAAAAAGCAAACTAGGAAGATGTCAACATTTCGTGGAGCTAAGGAGAGTGTTCCAGAGTTTCTGTCCAGAACTATGCAAAGTTTGATTACATCGACTATGGCTCAAAAGCACAGACTCAACTCTCAGACCAAACAGCTGTCTCCTTCCTGTGATAATTTGCCTCCTCCTAAAAAATATTTAAGACAACTTGATATAGACTCTGTCTCAAAAAACAAACAAAGAAAAACCTGTAAAAATACTGGACAGTTAAAGGTAGAGATAAAAAGGGATTGCAGGAATCAGAGAAGATAGAAAAAGGAAGGCAGGAATGTGGAATGGAAAGCTCAGAATTCTGAGAGTTGACAATGCTTTTCCTCTAGGGTAGTTCTTTATGTCTGGTGCCATGGTGATTGGTGTCACTGTGAACAATCAGACTGTGGCAAGAACACTGCCCTGGGTGTGAGTGCTTGTGTGTGGCATAGAAAGGGATTCTGGAATTCATCACCAAGTGCCCAGGCAGAACTGATCATCTAAGCTAGAAAGAACAAGGTTAGAAGTTCCCAGCTAAGTCCTCCAATGCCACACGTCCTTTGAAGTCATTTTGGTTGCCTTGGAGCTCTTCTCAACATCTCACAGGGCATAAAGAAACCATATACTTGTATATCTTTGCTTTGGGCTAGTCTTACATCAACTCAGTTACCATGCCATGCAGGCCACAAGCTCTGATTGACAGTTACTTATTAAAAAGTAAAAAAGATCTTTCAAGCAAGGAGACCATGCAGCTAATATAACATGCTATGGGGGAAAGATGGAAGCCTTTGGCCTAATTCAATCACAAGAGTTCAGGTGGGCATTCTCACTCCCTGCCCTTCAAAAGAAACTGGAAAGGAGAAGCCTCCCAGCCAAATGTGGCCTTCTAAACTAGGGAAAGATGCATCCTGGAGAGGAGGGGACTGCGTCTTTGGAAAAGGTTACATGGCAAGAGTTCCACAAGCAAGGAAGGAAGGACTGGGGTAAAATGCCTGCCAAGCTGGGGCCACCCAACAGGCTGGAGCATGCCATGCCAGGCACAGGGACTCAGGAGCACAAGAGCTCTTGCTAGTTGACTTTCCCAGGACCAGAGGTCTGGGCTTGCAAAACTCTTTGTTTCCAGCCTATTGGGGTTTTCTTTATTTTTAGTTAGTTGATCTCTGGTTTCAGGGAAAGCTGCCTTTGGACAATTCCTGGGGGCTGGAAGTGGTGGTAGTGGTTTGATACCAGGGGCAACATCCTCAAGAGGGATTCAAGCCTAGGGGGCAGTGTGAAGGCCCCTCCTACCCGGAAGCAATAGGTGTGGAGGCTAAGTGCCCAGGCTCTGGGCAAGCCTGTCCAGGTTTGCATCCTGACTTTATCACTAGCTGTAACCTTGATCACCCACAACCTTGAACAAGTTATCTAACCAATTTGTGCCTCAGTATTGTAGTCTGTAAAACAAGGATGATAACAACTCCTTCATATAAGGCTGTTGGGAGGATTCGATGGTTGAATCACATAAAATTGGTGCTTTGTTGTTCTAAGATGCTCAAATATCAGCAGTTTCAGGCACTTAGCCCTAATATCCATTAAGCCCTTAGAACAGTGCCTAGTACCTCATAAGCATTTAGTAATAATGGCCAACAGGTGCTCCTTACCGTGTCAGGTAGCGTGTTGCCCATTCTGCACGTAAAGCTCATTTAATCTTCCCAACTATCCTATGAGGCAGGAGCTACTATTATTTTCATTTTGCAGATGAGGCACAGAGAGGTTAAGCAATTTGTAGTAGGTCCCAAAGTTGATTGGCAGGGCTGGAATCTGAACCCAGGCAGTCTGGGGCCAGAGCCCACTTTCTTATCATGTCCTGTAGTCTCTTGGTAGCTACTAACCATCATTATAGCTATTCCTGGGCTGTCTTACTCTGGAATCCTGAGCTCCAACCTACAAGGGCTCCAGTTCTGCCTCAGCAAAGGGGTGTTCTTTTTTACCCCTCATCCCCGGCCTATTTGCAGGGGACCCCTGATGCAGGCAGAGCTGTCTCTTACCTCCTCCATTTTTCTGGCACAGGTAGGGGAACCTCCAGATGTTGCCGAGGCCCACAGAGAAGCCAATCTGGGCCAGGATGTACTGCAGCTTACTGTTCCAGGCCGGCCGGTCCTCTGCATCCAGCTCCTCCTCCACCGCCTTCTGCTTGCCGCCTGCCTCACCAGCCACATTCAGTACACTCTGCTTATAGTCCACAGGCTCCTCGAGGGCCAGCAGGTCGGCCACGGACTCAGTGACATGCTCACTGCTGTGCTCACGCTGGGTCACTTTGCTGTTCTTCGGCATTGATGCCACCTGGGCCGTGTAGCCCTGCTCCCCAGCACACAGAGAAGATGGAATTCAGCTGCTGTCAGCTCCTTCTCATTCAGGGACCTAGGAAACCAGGTGAGCAGTAAAGGATTATCTGACCACACCAGGAAGGTGAGGAGCCCAACGTGGACACAACCCAAATTAACTCCCCATCACACTGTGAGGCAGGTCAAGGGCCTCATATATGCAGCTTGCCCTAGCTCCCCATCAGGGGCTGCCCGGTGAGGAGCTCAAGGCCTACAGACTCAGTTTCTCCAGAGGCTTGACCCGAGCATTATTTGAAAAGTAAACCTAAAGGGGCAAAATAGGCAAAGCCATACTCCGAACCCAAGTAGAGCATTATCCGTGAAGACATTTCCCTCTTCCATACTGCAGAGCTTAGAGTGCTCAAGCCCCTTTGGAGGCCCATACAGCCTTCCCCTTCCAGGTGTTCTGCTTAGCCAAAACCACATGGCGGAAGCCACGGAAGCCAGCGCCTTCCTTCCTTAGGGCCTTTTCATTCAAAATGCAGGGATTGCACCAGGAACTGGTTAGAAAGGGGCATCTTAGGCTCGCACCAGACCTCCTGAATCAATCTCTGCCTTTTTACAGGATCCCCAGGTGATTTAAAAAAAAAAAAAAGGCTCTTGAGCCATCACCAGGGGGCCCCTGGACACCAGTGCCGATGGCATCTCCATTCCCCTAGCTGGACTGGTTGACCAGGCTCAGCTAAAGATTCTGGCACCAGAAGCCAAGGGCTGTTTGCTCAGTGCCAATGAATCTTGGGTCATTGCTCAGCACTGACATTATCTGAGGACTTCTGCAGCCAAGAGCTGGTTCTCCATCCTTCAGCGACAGTTTTACAGCAGATAATGTCTGCACGACATGGGCGGAGGAGGCAAAACCCTCCCCTACTCCTGCCAGTCCTCATTTGTCTTTCATGCTTTCCCTTAAAGAAATAAAGCACCAAGAAAACGAAGCCTTTGAAGAATTCCACCATTCCGTTATATTTCAAGGCACCCCCTCATTAAGGGAAGGTTGGAGGATTTAAAATTAAACACACACACCCCAGCCTGCGGTTGCCCTGCATCTTTCTAGGGATGTAACTTACCCAGCTCTGTAATTACTTTATTAAGGGAAAGAGCTGTCTCTGGAAGCTGGGCTCCGTTTGTTCTCCTCGTAGGTACGTGCCACCTGAATGGCACAGGCAAGGCTGCTGTGCAGTTCAAGGGCCAGGCCCGTCCTTCCTGCCAGCCTTGACCCAGACATCCTGGCTGACCCCAGCCAAGGCCTGACCATCAAGGAGACCTGCCAGCCAGGCCCTGTTACACATGTAATGAAACTGGGAGGTTTATGGGGTTGGCTAGCCCTCCGTAGGCCAGGTCTTGGACCACATTAGCAGGTGACACCTGCTGCCCTCCTCTTCCAAGGGAACAGTGAGTCTTTAGTGACTGCCCCCTCACACCTCAAGCATAGACAGGGTTAGGCTTTGGGGTAACTATGACAGGGCCAGCCTGGTTAGAGGACCACAGAATTCCCTATAAGAAGCTCTCTGCTGGGACTCACTTCCCAGTGGGTCAGTTGAACACCCCATTGCATCCTAAAAGGTGCCCCACGGGTGGCACTTGTGCATCTGTGGAACTTTCAGCCCTGGGCCTCCCCCCAGGGCTGCCGTGTTGCCTGTGCTACACAAGTGAAGTACGGCCCTAGGAGTTACGCAACGGAGAGGCCTGTGTCCTTGCCTGGGCTGCCAGGGCGAGCTCCTCTCCTCACTCAGCAGGTCCCCGTCTGCAGGGCATGCAAACAGAGAAACGGCTGCCTGTCAAGGCATCTCCCCGTCCCCTACAGCTTACATACAGAGCTGTTACTAAAGATGAGATCTGGGAAGAAGGGTGGGGGTCCCTCTGGAGCCTGCAATCACTAGAGTTCCTTGGCTCAGAGCCTGTCTCCAGCCACTCTGCCTGCAGCAGGGTTTGATCAGAGCAGTGCATTAGGTATGATTTACTGATCATCAAGCCACAACTAGAGAAAACCAAGGGAGTTTCCTGCAAGTCTGCAGAATTTATCTTGCTGCTGACCAATTGGAGCACATGTTTCTCCATAAATAGCCTAGTGAGTGGCAGCTTCGGTCACCAAGATGAGAAAGGGCTGGGAGGAAAAAAGCATCATTTTAAAAGAAGAGGACTCCAGGACATTCTGGTAAAGCAGAAGGAGGATACCTACAGCAGCATCCAGCAACCACAGGGCATCAGCTAATACGAGCTTCCTCCTTCTTCCCAAGATGTCACTGACGCCATGCGCATCCCGCACTGAGGGATGGGGGCCCAAGAACTCCTGTGCCATTAGGTCTGCAGGATGCAAAGGGCTCGCACAAACCTCCAGGCTGAGGCACTGGGCTGGGCTGCAGTCATGACTGGAACCCTCTGTGTCCAGTGAATATGCCCAGGTGACAACAGGGTCAGACTCAGAAATTAAAGCTTGAGGGACCCTAGCAATTGTCCGACTCAACATTCCCATTTTATCTCTGAACAAACTGAGGCCCAGAGAGAGGAACTGAATTGCCCAAAGCTACTCAGGTTCTCCTAACACCCTGAACAGAGCCTTGTCTGGGACAGAGTCAGACTCAGTAGAGGTGGGGGACACAGGGAGAAGATCACTGGGTGTGGGAGTGGGAGGCATGAGCTGTGAAGCCAGACAGGCCTGGAGTTGAGAGTTCTCACTTCATTCATTGACTCACTCACTCACCTGACATACATTTCCTGAGTGCCTCCTATATGCCAGCCTCTGTTCTAGGTGTGAGGGATACAGCAGCAAACAAAACAGGCAAAGTGTCTCCTCTTGTGGAGTTTGCATTTCATGTGGAAGGGCCGGATACTAAAGAAATCGATGGATAATGTAATGGCCAGGGGTGATACATGGGGTGACTCCATGTATCTCCATGTGACTCCAGGGGAGTCACACCGGAGGGGTGGAGCAAGCTGGCAGGTGGCTCTTTTATGCTGGATGCGGGGGTTGGGGGGCAGTCAGGAAGGGCATCTCTGAGGAAGTGACATTTGAGCAGAGGCGTGAATGACAGGAAAGAGCATTGGCAGAGCGAACAGCAGACACAAAGCTCCCAAAAAGGAAACAGCCCTGGGAATTCCAGGAAGAGCAAGGTGGCCAGAGCCCCGGGGCAGAATGAGAGGCGGAGACAGGGAGAGGTGTGCTGGGGAGGGAGGAGCACGGCTGTGCTGTGTGTGAGGACTGGGGCAGGTGCTCTGAGGGAGGTGGGCAGCCCTGGGGCCTTGGCCACACACTAGCTGTGTGCTCTTGGACAAGGCACTTTAATTATGTGAGCGTCTGTCTCCTCATGGGTGAAAAGGTTGCATTTAATGATGGCTCCCATCTCCCAGGGAGGGCTGCTGTGAGGGTCCAATGAGCAGCCGCACACAGAGTGCCTGACATAGAGCTTGGCACACAGAAAGGACCCAAATGGTAGCAGCCACTGCCTGGAAGCCTTGCATTGTTTACCTTTATGCATTTAAAAAATATGTAAGTCCCCATATTGATATTTGGTCCCATCAATCCCATTTCTTCTCAAGAAAGGCCAAGGAGAGCTGACCATGGGAGTGGAGGTGGGTGGAGAGAAGCATCCTGCACCACCTCAGCAATGCCCACTTTCTTCTCCAGAACTGGTGTCCACCTAGGGCACCCCCTAGAAAGTCCTACCATGCACCACACCCCAGTGTCAAAGGAAGCCAGGCAAAGGTCCCGCAGCTACCAGCTTGGACCCAAAAGACCAGCAATATTATTATTAATAAAAACACGGCCTGTATTAAAAGTTTAGCATTATTGTTATTAAAATGTACCTCATGTTTGGAATAGCTTGAGACCGCTTAAAACCATTTTTTTTTTTTTTTTTTTTTTTTACCAACATGGGTTGGTGATCCTGCTCAGGAGTAAGATGGCCTGGGTTCCAACCCCAGCTCACTGCTTGCCAGCCACCTGGCCTGGGCAACTTTTCTAGCCTCTCTGAGCTTCAGTTTCCTCATGTGTCAAGGGAGGGTGCCAGCGGTGCCCACCTCACCATACTGTGAGGAGGATACATTGTACTGGTCTTAGAACCATGCCGGCACCCAAGAAGTGCTCATGAATGGTACCTCTTCTTCAGCTCTCATTCAATTCATACCCCAGTGGAAATAGTGACTTGGAATAACCCTCCCTGCTCCACCCCCAGTTCCCTGAAGCCATGTGCTGGTGAAAGGTGAGCTTTTAGAGCAGGCAGGGCCTGGGAATCCAAAGTGTACCCAGCCAATGACCCCAAAGCCTTGTCTGGGAGAAGCATCAGGATCAGAGAAGGACCCTGAGAGGGGCGATTCCTCTCTTCCCGTACCCATGTATCTCATGGAACCAGCCATAATCCAGGCATCAGCAGGCCAGCTAGGTGCTGGGCCTGACCAACCTACCGTGCAAACTGGTACTATTGCCCTAACTTCTCCGGATCTCAGTTTTCCTGTGTGTAAAATGGGTTGGCATGGATGGCCTCCAAGACCCCCTTCAGCTCTAGCATATATCTGTTGAGAGTCCCTCCTGCTTATGGGTGTGAGCAAGAAGCCACCTGCCCCAGGCACCTGTAACAATGGATGCGAAAGGTAAGTTCTGTCTGCCCTGCCACCCTCCATCAGCTGAGAGCCCACTGGAGCATGGTAGAGATGTGGTGACAGCCAGCCCAGCCGTATTCTAATTATCCCCCCCTTAGTAGCTGGGGTGGGTTGTGAAGTGGCTTTCACGAGCAACACGTCGGATGATGAAGCTGCAAGGTACTCTCTGAAAGGAGTGCCTCCATCCCTGAAAGCACAGCGCAGAGGGGCACGAGTGCCGAGAAGGCCCTTGGTGCCAGCTTGTCACTTAGCAACAGAGGTGGCTTGCAGCTCAGAATAGCTCCTGTGAGAGAAGGAGGTCGGAGCAAGTGAACTGCGAATCTTCTTGAAAGGAGAAAAAATAGTGTGACTGGGAGGCAGACAGGTAAAAATATCTCCTGCCAGAGGGGTGAGGGCTCCACGAAAATTTTTCAAGCACAGCATCCGGCAATAAGCTCAAGGTGGTGGGGGATGGCTGCTCTCACCCTGGCACCAGGACAAAGCCTGGAGCCCCTCCACCCCACAGCAGCCGGGGAGGAGGAGAAGGGAAGAGGGGCACTTTTGTAATGATGAAGGCAGCTCCCTGAGCACCCACCTCCTGGGCCTGGGGTGTTTCTTGCTGGGGAAGGTTCAGGTAACTCAAGGGACAAAGAGAATCATTTATTTTCCAAGTTAGACTCCCCAGGGGAGGTGAGTGGGGGAGCCACCATCTTTGGGGAAGCAGGCAGTCACCTAATTACAACGACCACAGACACCACAGTGCCTACCCTGCCCCGCCCCTCCCCGTGCTCCTGATCCTGCTACCCTTGGGTCTTGTGGCTCTGGAAAGAGTGGCTGTGGCCAAGCACATCCTTAAAAAGCACCTCTTCAGGGTGTTCCAACAGGCACCCTGAAGAGCCCCCAAGAAGAGGAAATCAGTGGAAGTGGTCCCCACTCAGGACCTCAAAGCCAACATCTAACTCAGGTATAATTGGTGGTGAGTAGAAACCAAGTCAGAGGATGCTTGGCAGCTTCCTGATTTCTTCATGACAGGCAGCTGTGGCCCAAACTGTTCTCCTAATTACCTCAGAGCCCCTGAGCTTTTACTGAGCCCAAAACAGGCCGGACTATTATCAGAGACACAAATTATTTTTAATTGTTTTATTAAAACCTCTGACAGTCACCTGGGGCAAACTGCTCCTGACAGGGCCTGGCCTTGACTTGGAGGCTGCTGCCCCTGGATGCTGCTGGCCCAGGACACAGGCAGGGACCCCACACCCTTCTTGACCTCTCTTGCCTCCACCCCCACCAGGTGTTGCAAGTCCTGTAGGCGTGCTCAGCTCTGTCCTCTTCCCACCCCTCTGCTCTAGTTCAAGCCTGCTCTCTGGCTAGATGCCTACAGCAGGCTCCCAGCTCACTTTCCCCGCTGGCATCCTACACATTGCCTTCAGTGGCATCTTCTAGAAATGCCACGCCACCCCACTCCCACTGCCTACTGAAGGGAGCCCAAGGCCCTTTCCCAGGCATTTGGGCCCCCTCTATCTCCCGGGCCTCGGCTTCCACTTCCTCCCAGCCCACTCACCACTCACTCTAGACTAACCACTTCCCATCCCCTGACAGCTGAAGCCTTCTAGGTCCCCTGCCTCGCCTCTATGACAACTCCTGCGAGTCTGTGAGTGAGCATTAACGCTCTGCCCTTCTCAGCACACTCCTTGTAACACCCTTTTACACTATTTTACTATTTGGCTGTCTGGTACAACTAGTTGTCGTTACGCCTGATCCCTTTTCTGAACAGCAATCTCCTTGAGGCAGGAGCGAAGGTGCATTCAGCTTTGTGCCCACCCTTCACTGCTTCCTACCCAACCAGTGCTTCGCACACACAGATTATCCTACACATTTCTGTGGGCAGAACATGGTATTTACAGGTGTTCTAGGGTCCCTGCCTTCCAACCCTCTGAGAACAACCTGCTTGCCATGTTGAAATCTTACTACTGCCTCACATTTGAAACAAAGAGGCGGGGTAAAACACTAACAGCAGTGACTAGAGAGACATTTGAACCTACCGGAAGTCTGCATGTCCCAGCCAGGGGGACTCTAATCCAGTGCAGCCCTGCAGCACACATGGGGAGAGCCCCAAGACTTGGAAGCCAGTTTGTTTCTTATTCATCTGTAAAATGAGGAGCAGTGCTTGCCTGCTTACCTACCAGCTGCATCTGGTTACCACATGGATGGAAGGAGAAAGAGAAAGAAAAGCTTATTGAAAAATCAAATGAACAGAGTGGTGATTTCTTTTTATTCCATTTCACAGATTTGTCGGGTTTGTGTTTTGGTCTTCCATTTCATACCTCAATTGACACCATCTTTGCTTCTGCAAGGCCAAATCCTGGTATCTTATCATAATATGAGCATGATAAATATGATATGATGGAATTG